>NC_000010.11:93021883-93324913 GCF_000001405.40 Homo sapiens | reverse complement strand
CAGCTACTCGGGAGGCTGAGGCAGGAGAATCACTTGAACCAGGGAGGTGGAGGTTGCAGTGAGTCGTGATCCCACCACTGCACTCTAGCCTGGGTGACAGAGCCAGACTCTGTCTCACAAAAAAAAAGAAAAAAAGAAATATTAATCTAATGGATGCAAATATTGTTGACCCTGACAGCAAAACTATGGACACGCTGATTGCAAAAGGGTTGGCCTGGGCTTTCTAGGTTGTTTTGTCACTTCCTTCTTGCTTTTATTTTGTTCTACATTTCCATTTCTTCCTTTTCTTACTCTTCCTTTCACCAAAGAACTTATTCCTCCTTCTTTCTCTCCTCTCACCCCTTAGCCATATGAGGAGTTTCAAGAAATGACAGAGTGAGGAAGATTTCTCCCCGGGAATCCACAAACCCCCATCACTTCTGCCTCCAGCATTAGCCACAGACTGTGGCTGGGTTTGGGGAGACACTGGACGCCTAATATTCTGTAGAGTGCTTGATGAATTGTAGAGCCCTGAGCCCTAGAGATTAGTTGCAGGAGAGTCAGGATCATAGTAAAATACATCCTTTTCAAGAGCTCCACTTAATGTATTTTGATCACAATGCATTAGGAAGCCAATCTAGTGGTTTCCTTGGCAACTTTCTTGAAGATCAGTTTGTTTTTGTCTGAAGACAGAGTCTACAGAACACTCAAAAACAGTTTGAAGAATATAAATTGGTTTGTACGGTTGATATAGTTTTTTCGTGGCATTCCTGACCTGTCTGGAAGAACATTCGAGTCAGATGGATGGGCCAAGTCTGTGTCAGTCAAAGAGCTGAGCAGGACCTCACCAAGATGGAGCACAAATGTCAGTCTAGGCTTTCACCTCCCCTTCCTGCTAGCCACTTACCTGGTGGTGGGCACTAATGAACCAATGGCCAGGAATCCTTACCTTTTGGGAACTGTAATATTATCATTGTTTGAGCTCCTCTTTTGAAAATGCCATGTTGTTTTTCTTTTACAAAATTAAATACCATTTTCACTAATTGCATTCATTACTTTGATTTTATATTTTGAGGTAAGTAGAGAAACCCTTGGGTATGGCAAAATGGGGATTGGTGTCAGGTGGGCAATGTGATGGATAGAATGACAGCCTGAGAACTGCTAAAGGCGAAGGACCCAATTTTAAGTCATTGTAAGAGGGGGGATGTGCGCGCACGCGCGTGTGTGTGTGTGTGCACGTGCGTGTGCCTGCCTGTGGGATGTGTATGTTGGGGTTGGGTTAGTGATGGGAAGTCTGCAGTTTTATTAACCAGGCGAGACCCAGACTATGATACAGGTGGGCATGTGCAGCCGTCAGAGACCCCTGAGTGAGAATGGAAAGTGGGTGGCCTAAATGACATTGTACATAAAAGATTAACCTTGGTTTGCTCTCTTCCACTTCTTGCCTTCCATGTGGACTAATAAATTAGAGAGACCAAAGAAAGAAATAGTTTCATCTAAGAAATATGAAAGAAAATTGTGACTTCTGCTACCCATCATATAACTTCAGTCCTCTTTTCATTTTCAAATGGTTTAGGGAAAACTTCAGATGTGGGTGGATGTTTTCCCCAAGAGTTTGGGGCCACCAGGCCCTCCTTTCAACATCACACCCCGGAAAGCCAAGAAGTAAGTCAGTCATCCTGAGACCCTGATACATACACTGGGCTGGGGACTTGGTCCAGGACCAGAAAAAAAAGTACCTTCCAACTGTGCTTCTTGCAGATACTACCTGCGTGTGATCATCTGGAACACCAAGGACGTTATCTTGGACGAGAAAAGCATCACAGGAGAGGAAATGAGTGACATCTACGTCAAAGGGTAAGGTTAGCATGTGAGAGACTTTGCCAAGCTCAGGGAAACAGACTCTCTCCTTCGTGAGTTTTCATTACTGAATATGCCCAAGATAGGATTCTTGGTTTTTTGAGGTTATTTTATCTCATTAATGTGATCTACTTAGGTAGCTCCTGGAAAGCAAAGGAGAGAGAGCAAGACCTGTACAGACTTTGTTTATGAGGAAAGCTATATAAGGATTATAAGAACTGATAAATATTTCTTTGTTTCCTTTTTGACAAAATGGATTTTCTTCAGTTTCTTAAGCAGATGTATTATTTCTGGGACGTTTTAGCCATGTAGTTTCTTTTTATTCCTCTTTGATACCCTGAATAACTAGCCTTAGAAACACAAGTAAAGCTCCCAAAATTTCATTTTCTACATATTTTATTACCAGCAGCCCATGTCTATGGAAAAGAGGAAATGTTCGCAGATTTCAAAGGAAGTAATTTATTCTCCCAACCTGCACTGAGTGCCAGCATCCAACATGTCAAGTGTCATTGTTGTTCAATATTCTCTTACTTGCCTAATTCAATTAAATCGTCTCTGTGGATGGCTATGCCTTGATCATATGCCTCGATCATAGATGTTGCGTGCAGTACAGCATAGCGACTACATTCTGGTGCTTTCCCTACTGTCTGGGCAAGGTAGTTAGCTCGCTGTTCCTCATCTGTAAAATGGTGATAATGATTATTCTTCCTTCCCAGGGATATTCAGGTGATCCAGTTATCCAAAGCATTTAGGACAGTGCCTGGCACATAGTATTGTTGCTATTCCACGTGGACTGAGTTTGATTCCTTGATACATGAAAGATAAGACTTGCGACATTTAATATATTCATAAAGTGAGAACAAAGTTTCACCTATAATCCCATGTGGCCTTCAATCAAAACTTTGTTAAAGATATAATTAGTATCATTTAGGTTCACTATAAACAGGGAATGTTTCATCAAGTTCTTCATTATTATTTTTGGATCTCATTACCATTCTCTAGGGAAACTAATCTCAGCTAATTATATATATGCAAATTTATTTGACTATCATAAGCATTATTTTTTTTTTTTTCAAATCAGGGAAACAAACTCAAGTAATTCTGAACGGAGAGAAAACTCCTCTAATCAGAGAATAAAGCTCAACTTAAAGTACCTTGCAAAATTTGGAATAAAAATCTAAATACGACATGTGAAAAGATGAATCGTGCATAAATACCATGCCTAGTGCTAGACACAGCTGGGTATTATATTACATACCAAGCTATACATATACATACATGCACACAAATACGTATACCTATAGGAGCTGTTTGACTTGTCTTAAAGTATGAAAAGATTTATGTTTAAAATTAAATGTGAAAATTCACCAAAAAAAGAGAGGAAGAGCTGTAAGGGTGAGCAGTCTAGGGTAGGATGATGGTGACCCTTAGGGGTGGGTCAGGAGGTGAGGCCACCAAGGTCATGGCCAAGAGAATGTGAACTCTCCTCAGTGAGTTACCTTAAAAGTTAATAGTCAAAACTGGGCATGGTGGCTTACGCCTGCAGTCTCAGCTACTCAGAAGTCTGAGGCAGGAGGATCACTTGAGCCCCGTAGTTTGAAGTCCAGGCTGGGCAGCATAGTGAGAACCTGGCTCTTGTAAAAAAAAAAAAAAAAAAAAAAAGGTTAATAGTCAAAAGGAATCTTTCAACTCATTTATCTAGTCAGTTAATTGACTAGCAAAAAGGAAAACTACTGCAGTTGATTGGTATTAATACCACTACTAATAGTAGGACTTAATATTTTCAAGTGACTTTGCAATCTCTGTGGTTCTTTGAGGCAGAGTAACAGATGTGGACTTCGCAATCAGACTGACCTGGGAATCCTACTTAGTTCTGTCAGTTCTGGGCTATGTGACCTTGTGCAAGTTAATATATTCTCTCTGAACCTCAGTTTCCTCTTCCACAAAATGGAGATAGTTACGCAGTTGTTGGGAAGAATAAAATAATGCATGTAAAGTACCTGGTTCATAGAAGATGATAACTGTGTGTTAAAGGTACCTCCATTCCCACTCTGCCCCTGCTAAACCATAATCTTTTCTGTCTGCGTGTCGACCATGTGAAGGGCGCACATATCATTAATCTTATTTTACAGATGCGAGATGAGGCTCAGAGAGTTTTTCCAGCCAGGCCTGCCTCCTACCATGAATCTCTATCTATCTGTGGGGTCCAGGCATCAATATTTTTAAAACGTCCCCAGTCGATTCTAATGTGATTCTAATGTGCAGTTTCGAGAAAACCATGCGCTCTCTATTGCTTTGACAGTGTAAAATCGAATGTTACCCCCTGGTTTCAAACTAGAAGTCTTCCCAGTAGCAACAACTTCTTTCTGGGCACACTCATTCATTCATTCATTCCTTCAGTAGGTATTTATCTAGTGTCTACTATGTGCCAGGCACAAGCAGAAGAAAACTTCTCAAACGTTAAAAGTTAAGATGTTACTGAAATGAATGCTCATAGATATGCATGTGGAAATAAGAGCTGACATCTTCCTTGCCGGTATCATTAATATTATCATAGTGAATTTAAGAATAATTTATAAAAAGGAAGCTGTAAGATTACTTGATTTGTGCTTCTTTGGTTTGCTTAAGTAAAATATGGGAAAGGAAATGCTAAAATTTTGAGCTAACTCATATTCATTTAACCTATCAGCAGTGCTGAAAGACACTGATGAGTTATAGTTGTGAGGACTAAAGTCATAGCCAGCAGGCTTCATTGTACCCAAAATAGAAGCTACATTGTTGATATTTTCCAGAAAATTTCACCTTAGCCCTGTTAACTGAAGTCTAAAGGGTTTCCTGCTTTGGTTTTAGGGGAATGATATTTTATTTGGCCACAACCTGTGTTGGATGCAATAGAGCACCTCCCCTCCATAAATCACCCCCAGCTCCGAAGATAACTGGAATCTGCCCAAGAAAAGTGCATTAATTCTCCTGCTCTTTGCTCCCCTAATTACTGCACAATTTTGCGGCTACATGACTTGTCAATCACGTGAAGCTAAGTCTGTTTGCCTCTGCCTTTCAGCTGGATTCCTGGCAATGAAGAAAACAAACAGAAAACAGATGTCCATTACAGATCTTTGGATGGTGAAGGGAATTTTAACTGGCGATTTGTTTTCCCGTTTGACTACCTTCCAGCCGAACAACTCTGTATCGTTGCGAAAAAAGTGAGCTCTGAAATATGCCGCTGGGAAGTGGGTATCATGGATCTTCCTTAACTCAGAAGCTCATAGAATGCTGGAGCTGCTCAGGATCTCGGAGGTCACTGAGTCCGGCTCCTTCTCAGCAGAGATGGGGAATCTGCCACCTTGACACTTGTCCAAGGTCACACTGCTAGGACAGGTATTTGTGTCATTAGGAAGCATGAGGAGCACAACTTTCTTTCCCCTCACATACTCACATACTGGTGGCGAAGGATAAAGGGTAGAAGTAACGGTTTTGTATTAGTATAAACAACAACCCAAGTGTGTTCTTTATGTGATGGGGAGACTGATGTCTTCCCATGCTAGGCAGAGTCAAGCAGAGGCCCAGTATTAAAGTGGGTATCCTTCCTTATCAAACTTCCACATCTGCTTTACCTCCCTCAGAGGCACTGCCATGAGGGCTCAGGGCCCTCCTGGTCTTAACTAGTTAGACTTTCAGTTACAGAACTCAACTCAAACTGGCTGACACCAGAAAAACGATGTATTGGTTCACATTACCAAAAAGTCCAGGCTTCTGCTGGCTTTAAGCCCGTCTGGATCCCACAGTGAAGTGATAATGACTTTAGAAATTGGTTTCACCCTCCACACTCTTCCCCAGGAGACAGTGGCAGCCTCAGCTCACATCCTGTCCTCCCCGCAAACCTCAGCAGAAAGAGAAGAGCGAAGCCCTCATGGGGCCAACCAGAGTTCTGTAATTGGGCCTCAATGTCTCTGCTTTTGGGGGTCATGTGCCTATCCCTGAACCAACCATTGTTGCCCAGGGATGCTCTGATTGTCCAGGCTCTAGAGTTAGTGACAGAGGCAGCTTCTCTAAAATTTGGGGAAAAGGGGAGTCCGCTAAGGAAAATCTGGGTGCTTTCATTCCAAAAAAGGGGGCCTAGAACCTGCATAGTCAATAACAACAGATGTCTTCTATAGGTGCCCTGTTCCATTCCTGCCTCCACATTCTGTCAGCTTCCTCCTCTCCCCACACCTGATCAGAATGTACCAGCCACCAGCCCTGTGTCGCATTAGGCCTACCCTCTGCTGGCCCTACTCAGTGCTAATGCTGTAGTAAGCACTATTTTTTGTTTTTTTGAGACAGAGTTTCACTGTTGTTGCCCAGGCTGGAGTGCAATGGTGCAATCTCAGCTCACCACAACCTCTGCCTCCTGGATTCAAGCTATTCTCCTGCCTCAGCCTCCCAAGTAGCTGGGATTACAGGCATGTACCATCACGCCCAGCTAATTTTGTACTTTTAGTAGAGACGGGGTTTCTCCGTGTTGGTCAGGCTGGTCTTGAACTCCTGACCTCAGGTGATCCACCCACCTCGGCCCCGCAAAGTGCTGGGATTATAGGTATGAGCCACCGTGCCCAGCCAGCACTGTTTTAATACCAGTGGGATGAACGCCTTCAAAGGGGACTTTTTTCTTTTTGAGATAGGGTCTCACTCTGCCACCCAGGCTGGAGTGTAGTGGTGCACTCACAGCTCACTGCAGCCTTGACCTTCTGGGCTCAAGCAATCCTCCCACCTCAGCCTCCCTAGTAGCTGGAACTATAGGCATGCATCACCATGCCTGGCTAATTTTTGTATTTTTTGTAGAGATAAGGTTTCACTTTGTTGCCCAGGCTGGTCTCGAACTCCAAGGATCAAGCCATTCTCCCACCTTGGCCTCCCAAAGTGACAAAGGGGACTTTTAAGAGGCACAGAAGCTCAATGTGATATCAAAAATGCACACTTTCAGATGGTGTGGCATCAGGGCTGATGGTGGGGATCAGGGCTTTAGGTATGGTTACCTTTCCTGTTTACCCACATCTAGGGCCAGACCTCCCCACACCCTGTGGTGCTTGGAGCATGATCCTACCCAGGACAGTCAGGCAGCAACAGATAACAGCAGAGTGGGCTGCCGAGCCCCTCAGAGCCAGGCTTTCTGAGCCCTGCAAAGGAAAACATTCCTGGAATATGAAAAACAACCCAGTAATCTTCCTTCAAATTCATGAAACACTGGGAAATTCCCTTTTCACTGGGGCCAGAGGAACTTAGGTGTACCTGAGCTGTAAAGATGTTTAGTCTTAGTTAACATTGTCTGAGGCAATGGAGGCAAGAACTTGAAGGACACTTACCTAGTCTTCCTTCAACCTACCTCTAGCATGAGGATCTGAGGGTCTTAAGTGACCACAAGCAAACAAAAGCCAGTGGTTTGTTTTGTTTTGTTTTGTTTCTGAGACGGAATCTCTGTCGCCCAGGCTGGAGTGCAGTGGTATGATCTCAGCTCACTGCAACCTCCACCTCCCAGGTTTGAGTGATTCTCGTGCCTCAGCCTCCCAGGTAGCTGGTATTACAGGCATGCACCATCATACCCAGCTATGTTTTGTATTTTTAGTAGAGACGGGGTTTCACCATGTTGGCCAGGCTGGTCTCAAACTCCTGGCCTTAAGTAATCTACCCCCTCGGCCTCCCAAAGTATTGGGATTACAGGAATGAGCCACTGCACCCAGCCCAATGGTATTTTTCAAAGGCCAAAAATCCCAGACATTCTAAATCTGCACTGATAAAAGAGCAGAAGTAGAATCTGGGCCCCAGTCTCCTTACCCCCATGTAAAATGAGAGCATACTCAGACATCTGTGTGGGTGGGAGGGTGGGTAGAAAGTTGCTGAGCAGAAGTGACACCCCGGTGGGTGATACTGTGGGCTGATCTAGAATGCCTGGCCTTAGGAGGATAATCTAAATAGGACATAGTGGTCTTTGGTGGGGAGATGAGTCACTCTCCAACCCCCAGGTGGCAGCGGGAAGTCACACTGATAGGGACATGGCAGGAAATCTTCTTTGGGAAAAACCTGGGACATTCCTTCAGTTGCCCAGCTTGTGATTTCCTGGGGAGCCTGACTGCTCTCTGTACAGATAGAGTGGAAGGATTTAGGCCCAAGGGAGTGTCAGGGTGGGGGTGCAAAGGAGAGAAAGGCCCCAGGCTTTGATGCTGTCTTAAGGAGCCAAAGGTGAGTGTTTCAGAGTCATCATGATCATGTTTCTTTTTGTTTTAGGAGCATTTCTGGAGTATTGACCAAACGGAATTTCGAATCCCACCCAGGCTGATCATTCAGATATGGGACAATGACAAGTTTTCTCTGGATGACTACTTGGGTAGGGCTTACATTTGGATCATTGTTTCTAAGAAACTGTACTTGGAATTAGTGGGGTCAATGAAAACTTGGAAGCAATTCTTTAAATCTTCAATACTTTTTGGTAATGGGGGCCTGGTGGGGGGACAGGGGATACACCCAGTGCTTGTGTGAGCTCTTGGCAGTGCAGCCTGACAGTGAGTGCCATCCCTTTTCAAGGGCTCTGGTGAGGGTCTTGCACCAGCTCCTGTCTGTCTGTGAAGACTCAAGTCCTGTTTCTGCAGGGGGATGCCACACTCCTACATCCACTTTCAAACCAGCCACTCTCTCCTCAGCACCTGGGAATCAGCTCCTACCCTCCTCAACCTGTTCCCAAGTTACCAAGGTCCCCAACCCCCCCGCCATTTCTCCTGTCCCTAGGCCCATTCTCCTCTGTGGTAAGGGCACTAGTTCAATGCACCCTTAGCCCGGGCCCTTCCCTCTCCTGGCACACTCCTCCCTCGCCCCCCATGGCACTGTGCTCTCCAGATTTTCACTCTCCCAGGCTCTGGTCTTGTCACATTAGCCAGCTCTGTTTCTGCATCCCACTCTATTTTTTTATTTTTTTATTTTTGGAGACAGGTCTCTCTGTTACCCAGGCTGGAGTGCAGTGGCACGATCATAGCTCACTGCAACCTCAACCTCCTGGGTTCGAGAAATCCTTCCACCTCAGCCTCCCGAGTAGCTGGGACTACAGGCATACGAAACCTGGCTAATTTTTTTTTTTTTTCACTTTTTAGTACAGACGAGGTCTCACTATGTTGCCCAGGCTGGCCTTGAACCCCTGAGCTCAAGCAATCCTTGCACCTCAGCCTCTCAAAGTGCCAGGATTACAAGCATAAGCCACAGCGCCCAGCCTCCCACTTTTTGAATACAGGCCTTCCCTGAGGTTCTTCTGCTCTCCTCCAACCCGCCAACCACCCCCTCCAAGGATTTACCCACTCTCACCTCAGTGGAAGGTCATGCTTCAACTCTCACCTTTCCACAAAGTATGGCTCCTAAACCAGGACGTGTAGCCTGCGCTCTCATAGTGCCTGCAGTACAGTCAAAGGAAATCGTTGTGAGGGTCATTCCTGATTCCTGGCCAGAACCTCCCACCTTTATATCTGGCTGGCAGTGAGCCTGTACTGTGACTGAAATCTCACTCAGCATTTCTTCCCTGACCTCACCCCTGCTCTCCTCAGGAACTTATTTAGCAGCTCACAACCCCTCCATTTCCCCAGCCACCCAGGCGAAAGCACCCGGAGTCCTCTGTGGTTTTCCTCCTCTCTTTTCTCCCCACGCCCCGCCAGCCACTCCATTCTAGCAATGTCATCTGTTTTATCACGCACACTTATTTTCTTAGTCCTGTGATCTCTGCCACTTGCCAGTTGAAACTCACTTTCTGCTAGCCACATGTTACAGTAGCCCCTGACTGGTCTCCCTGTTTCCACGCTGCTTCCAGGGGTCCCTCCTGGCAGAGGAAACACCCACCAAAGGCTGTGTCTTATTTATCCCTTTTCCCCGCACAGTACCTAATGCAATGGTTTTGACTAAGTGCTTAGTTAAGAGGTCAGCAAATAAATGAGTATGCAAGTAGGCTTACATAAAGTATATGGATAGTAAATTCTAGGATAATAAAGGGTTTGCCCTTGGCTTTGTTTGTTGAGACAGAGTCTCACTCTCTCACCCAGGCTGGAGTGCAGTGGCATGATCTAGGATCACTGCAACCTCCACCTCCTGGGCTCAGGCGATCCTCCCAACCTCAGCCTCCCAAGTAGCTGGGACCACAGACACGTGCCACCAAGCCTGGATAATTTTGTGTATGTTTTGTAGAGACAGGGTTTTGCCATGTTGCCCAAGCTGGTCTCAAATTCCTGAGCTCAAGTAATCTGCCCACCTCGGCCTCCCAATATTGCTGGGATTACAGGCATGAGCCACCATGCCTGGCCTTCCCTTGGAATTTAAACAAAACTATCAGACAACAAATAAAGAGAATGACTGTGTCTCAAAATGCCAAGTGAGCACATAACCAAAAGGAGAGGGGAGACAAAAGCAGTCATAGGTCAAGAAAGGCTAAGGTCACGTGTCTTATGGGTCCACTATATGCTGAAGGGTAGTCCCTGAGCCTGACAGTTTAAAGAGAAAATGCCACAACCTCCTTGTTGCTCTTTGCTGCCACTGCTGAAGGCCAGACTCTTGCCCCAGTCATCCATAGACTTGACCCCACATCACAGATACCATTTTCTTAAGGAAAGGGCTCACAGGAGTTCCCAAGCCCAAAACACACTTTTCCCTTACCGTGGAAGTGGTACTAAAGAGTTAATGTGGCCGGGCACAGTGGGTCATGCCTGTAATCCCAGAACTTTGGGAGGCCAAGGTGGGTGGATCACATGAGGTCAGGAGTTCAAGACCAGCCTGGCCAACATGGCAAAACCCTGTCTCCACTAAAAATACAAAAATTAGCCGGGCATTGTGGTGCACACCTGTAGTCCCAGCTACTAGGGAGGCTGAGGCATGAGAATCGCTTGAACCCAGTAGGCGGAGGTTGCAGTGAGCTGAGATCACATCACTGTACTCCAGCCTGGGTTATAGAGAGAGACTCAGTCTCAAAAAGAGTGAATGCCTTACATCATAGAAGGGACAATGTGCTTCTCCAGACACTCTGATTGAGGCTAGGAGTCTCAGTTCCTGGTGAGCGTTTTCTGTTGAGTCATGTTCCTTCTCAAGCTTCTGTTTCTGAGGTTTTACTAGGAGAGTCTTGGACATGCACATTTCATGCAGCATCCTGTGTTGGTTTTCTGTTTTGTTTTTTTTGAGACAGAATCTCGCTCTGCTGCCCAGGCTGGAGAACAATGGTGCGATCTCTGCTCACTGCAACCTCTGCCTCCTGGGCTCACGCGATTCTTGTGCCTCAGCCTCTTGAGTAGCTGGGATTACGGATGTGTGCCATCGTGCCCGGCTAATTTTTATATTTTTAGTAGAGACGGGGTTTCACCATGTTGGCCAGGCTGGTCTTGAACTCCTGACCTCAAGTGATCTGCCCACCTCAGCCTCCCAAAGTGCTAGGATTACAGCCGTGAGCCACTTTGCCCAGCCAGCATCCTGTGTTCTAAGCACCTATTGTCTTTACCCAAAGCCAAATGACCTCTCTGCTCAGGGCAGCTCAGAACTAAAAGGAAAACATTTCACATCCAAGGGCCTTGAGTTGAGTGAAAATTGTGTCTGTAGATATTTCATTACTTTGAGTTTAAAGAACTCTGTTTATGCTCATATCTTTGAGAAAGAAAACAGGAGATGCTGTGCAGTGGACGGCTATTTCTTCGGCCATTTTCCTTCCTAACTGGAAAGACTTTAAATGTCCACCAGGCTCCCTTTCTCTAACTCACCATTTACCTGTTCAAAATCACTGTGTGCCTCTCTCCTGATAAGAACGTTCTGTTCACTTGTGAACAACAGCTGATCCACTTGAAGCTCATTTGGACTTACTGTTGTTTCCTTGGCTAGGTTTCCTAGAACTTGACTTGCGTCACACGATCATTCCTGCAAAATCACCAGAGAAATGCAGATTGGACATGATTCCGGACCTCAAAGCCATGAACCCCCTTAAAGCCAAGACAGCCTCCCTCTTTGAGCAGAAGTCCATGAAAGGATGGTGGCCATGCTACGCAGAGAAAGATGGCGCCCGCGTAATGGCTGTATGAACATTTCCTGGTTCTGGTTGAAAATCGTTTATGCCTTTTATCATTTAGGTTTTGCCCTTTATCCATAGACTTACTCCAGATAAAATGAGGAAGTTTTAAATTGGTGGGAGTTTAAGTTATGGGAACAGTTTGTCTTTGGGATATGTTTGCCTTTGTCTTACAATATAAGGTGGGAGATGCTGTGAGCATGTGTTTGGAGTTGGAGGAAGGTGAAGAAGTTGGAATGGTCAAAAAGTAGAAGCCCAGGTGGTTTCACTATATTTTCCTTTCTTCTTCATCAGGGAAGTTAATTAATGCTAGGCTTCTAGTACAATTTCGTATGGAAAAGGGAACTTCACATTTGAATTTTTCTCATTAAAAAAAAAAGGTAGGGCTGGGTGTGGTGGCTCATGCCTGTAATCCAAGGCAGGTGGATTACCTGAGGTCAGGAGTTCGAGACCAGCCTGGCCAACGTGGCAAAACACCGTCTCTACTAAAAATACAAAAACAACAACAACAAAAATAGCCAGTAGTGGTGGTGCACACCTGTAGTCCCAGACACTTAGGAGGCTGAGGCACGAGAATCACTTGGACCCAGGAGGCATAGGTTGCAGTGAGCCAAGATCGTGCCACTGTACTCCAGCCTGGGTGACAGAGTGAGACTCTGCCTCAAAAAAAATAAAAAAGAAAAAAAAGAGAGGTGGAAGAAGCAAGGTGTGCTGGCATTAGTTGAATAAGAAGGCCATAAATTACAAGCAAGTTGAGGAACTCAAGATGTATTTTGATCTAGAAGCAATAGTGTGGGTTACCATGCCATATCACGAAAGACTACCTAGTTCATTATGCATTATTAAAAATAGCTAACATTTTTGATCATTAATTTTGAACCAGGCAGCATGCCAAGTACCTTACATTCATAATCTTTTTAAAAACAACCTTGGTGTATAATTTACATAAACTGTATTCATTTAAAGTACACAATTTGATGACTTTTGACAGATGTAGACACTCACTGAACCATAATCAAGATCCAGAACCTTCCCATCACCCCCAAAATTTCCTTGTGCTCTCTCTCTGCAGTCCATTGCTCCCTCCCTCCCTGGTCCCAGGAAACCACTGACCTGCTTTCCGTTACAATACAGCAGTTTGCACATAACCTCACTTAGTTCTGCTGACAACGCCATGAAGTAGACATTGTCCCCACTTTAGCGATTCCAAAAACAGTCTTGGAGAGATGGAGCAACTTGCCAAAGTCAGAAACCCAGCTTTGTCTGACTTGTAAGGGTAGAGGTCATCAGGGCTCTACTCAGGGCCAGGGCTTCCCAAATTGTTGGTGACCTTGCTGCCTTTCCTGGCTCTTAGAAAGTCTGTTACAAAGTCTGTTACAATCTTAGGTATGGCTCACTATAAAAGTGGGCAGGTTTGTTGCTTTTTTTTTTTTTTTTAGAGATGAAGTCTCACTCTGTCACCCAGGCTGGAGTGCAGTGGTGCGATCTCTGCTTACTGCAACCTCTGCCTCCCAAGTAGCTGGGACTACAGGCGCACGCCACCATGCTGGCTAATTTTTTTTTTTTTTTTTGTATTTTTAGTAGAGATGGGGTTTCGCCATGTTGGCCAGGCTGGTCTTGAACTCCTGACCTCAGGTGATCCTCCCGCCTCAGCCTCCCAAAGCACTGGGATTACAGGCATAAGCCACTGCGCCCAGCCAAAAGTGGGCAAGTTTCTAGACCACTTTCACTTTGGCCTCACTGTTCTCATTTGCACATGAGGACAATAATAGTACCTTTGTAGGGTTGCCATGAGCATTACATGAGATAACCCATGTAGAACATTTAAACGGTGCTGGGAACATCACTCAGGAACCCGTGAGCAGGGAGAAAACATTCATTCACTCACTCATTCATTCATTTATTGAGCTAGTGTACATGGAGTACCTACTGAATGCCAGCCACTGTGCACAGTAGGTGACAATGATTGATAGGCATGAAGAGATATGGCTCTGTTCTCTTACTGGGAGCCTACAATAATGCTCAATAAATGTTAGATATTGTTATTAGTGGTATTCAGGTTAGTCTGGGTCCAAGTGAAGTTACATAGGAAGGTGTGTGGGGAGACAAGGAGACCAATGTGAGAATGTTAGAGTGAGGGGGATACAGAAAATGAAAAGTAGGGAGTGGGGGAAGCAATTTGTCCTCAAAGTTTCCCACACAGAGTCAGTTCAGAAACACATGGAAGAGGAAATGGGATGAAATCTCTTGAGGAAAACTGAAGGCAATCTAAGGATTGTTTTACAAGAATAAAAATCATTGCTCGGGGAATACTCCTTGGGTTGAAGTAAAAATATTTGTGAAACATGATGTCATATGTTTAACCTGCTCTGCTTTACTGAAGGGGAAAGTGGAGATGACATTGGAAATCCTCAACGAGAAGGAGGCCGACGAGAGGCCAGCCGGGAAGGGGCGGGACGAACCCAACATGAACCCCAAGCTGGACTTACCAAAGTGAGAGGCCTTCTTTGTTCTCCCACTCCCCAAACACCTGCAGGCTGAGAGCCCCCCTTCCCATTGGCTTAATGGGATGGATTAGCTTTTGTGGTCCTCCTAATCTGGTATTTAATAGTGGTGGGTGGGGGTGGAGAGGTTGGTGATCTGGCTTCATTTTAAGAATTCTCCTTTCCAGGAAACCAAAGTTCAGCATCTTAGGAAGCTGTCGTAGGTTAAAGAGCCTTTCTCAGTCAACGAAGGGGAACAGTATTTTTTCTTGACCTTATTAATGTGATTCTTTATTCCTGAAACTGTGTTATGCTCTGGAATAAAATATGCATCCCTCCTGAGTTGGGTAGGTGATACTGTTTCTTTGCAATGCAGTCGACCAGAAACCTCCTTCCTCTGGTTCACCAACCCATGCAAGACCATGAAGTTCATCGTGTGGCGCCGCTTTAAGTGGGTCATCATCGGCTTGCTGTTCCTGCTTATCCTGCTGCTCTTCGTGGCCGTGCTCCTCTACTCTTTGCCGGTAGGAGCCCTTCCTTGGCCCCTTGTCTTGGCTTTCTTGTGAGTTGCAGTTGGTCCTCTCCCTTGGCATCTGCCCTGACCACTGTGCAGAAGAATGACCCGCTCAGCAGCATGGGGTTGTAACCCTTCTGCTTTGGGGAAATTTAAAGTAATGTGTCTTGTAATTAGAATCACATTCTCAGGGTTTCACAAATTACGGGCAGAACTTTTCTTTATGATCTGAAAATAACTTTGGTTTCAGGAATTCTAGGAGAAATCACTCAGGTCTCGGTCAGTGTGTGTCTGGACTATGGCCAGCGTTTCCAGCTGATCTTCCTGCCTTCAGACTTTCTTGTTCCAAACCATCCTGCATCCTAATTCCTTGTCCTAGCTTCAAGAATCCCCAAATCTGGGTTCATTGTGGGTCTACATATACCTTGTGTTCCACCCAAACTAGATCATTGATCCCAACCTCCCCAAATATTATTGCCCTTACCTATCTGGATGCCTTTGCCAATTTTGTTTCTCTGTCCACATTTATCTATCAAAACCTCACTCATTTTTTAAGGCTCATGTCACGTATAACCTCCCCCTTAAATGTTCCCCTAATCACCCCAGTCATAAACGGGAGTCCAAGTGGGAGATTTGGCAGCTTGCCTAGAAGTAGTACCTCCCTTCCTCCATCCAGAGGATGTATTGCGCATCTACGACAGGCTAGGAATTAAGTTATAGTGATGATTAAATTATTGGCATGATTTGTGCCCAAGAGCAGTTCATATTCTGGGAACAGGCAGCCACGGGAACAAGGACACATGACTAAGGGAGGTGAGCTGTTATGGAGACAGAAACAAACAACCGTGGGCACCCCCTGCTAAGACAGTTCCTCCAAGGAGGGGACATTCAAGTTTGCCAAGTGGAGAAGGGATAGTCCAGGCAGAGGAAGCCATGCTCAGAAGTTGGGCCAGTGGCACTGAATGTCACAGGAGACATTCAAAAGCTCTTACTCCAAAAACACATTAATAATAATATCAGCTGGGCGAGGTGGCTCATGCCTGTAATCCTGGCACTTTGGGAGGCCGAGGCGGGTGAATCACTTGAGGTCAGGAGTTCAAGACTAGCCTGGCCAACATAGCGAAACCCCGTCTCTACTAAAAATACAAAAATTAGTTGGGTGTGGTGGCACATGCCTGTAATCCCAGCTACTAGGGATGCTAAGATAGGATAATTGCTTGAACCTGGGAGGCGGAGGTTGCAGTGAGCTGAGACCACACCACTGCACTCCAACCTGGATGAAGAAGTGAGACTCTGTCTCAAAAAAATAGTATCGTAGCCATACAAGCAGCAGGGGTTTTGTGTCTTCATTTTTCCCCAGTATAGTACTTCTAGTTTGTCATCTATGAGTATATGTACACTATTATACAGTCGTAGCTGGTCAAACTGCTTTTTTTTTTTTTTTTGAGACAGAGTCTCACTCTATCACCCAGGCTGGAGTACAGTGGCACGATCTCGGCTCACTGCAACCTCCGCCTCCCAGGTTCAAGCATTTCTCATGCCTCAGCCTCCCGAGTAGCTGGGATTACAGGTGCCTGCCACCACACCCTGCCAATTTTTGTATTTTTAGTAGAGACTGGGTTTCACCATGTTGGCCAGGCTGGTCTCGAACTCCTGACCTCAAGTGATCCACCCACCTCAGCCTCCCAACGTGCTAGGATTATAGGTGTGAACCACCACATTCGGTCCCAGTCCAACTGTCTTGACCATTTAAAAAACTTCTATTTTTTTTATTTTTTATTTTTTTTGAGATGGGGTTTTGCTCTGTCACCCAGGCTGGAGTACAGTGGCGCAATCTTGGCTCACTGCAACCTCTGCCTCACAGGTTCAAGCGATTCTCCAGCCTCAGCCTCCCAAGTAGCTGGGATTACAGGCACCCACCACCATGCCCGGCTAATTTTTTTATTTTTAGTAGAGACGGGGTTTCACCATGTTGGCCAGGCTGGTCTCCAACTCCTGACCTCATGTGATCTGCCTGCCTTAGCCTCCCAAAGTGCTGGGATTACAGGTGTGAGCCACTGCACCCGGTCTAGTTAATTCTTTTTCCTGATTTAGATTCTGTTGGCAGCCGGGTACAGTGGCTCACACCTATAATCCCAGCACTTTGGGAGGCTGAGGCGGGCGGATCACCTGAGGTCAGGAGTTTGAGACCAGCCTGACCAACATGGTGAAACCCTGTCTCTACTAAAAATTTAAAAATTAGCAGAGCGTGTTGGTGGGCGCCTGTAATCCCAGCTACTTGGGAGGCTGAGGCTGGAGAATCACTTGAACCTGCGAGGCAAAGGTTGCAGTGACTGGAGATCACGCCACTGCACTCCACCCTGGGTGACAAGTGCAAAACTCCGTCTCAAAAAAAAAAAAAAAATTCTATTGGTTTAAACCAGTGGTTACTGCAGGGCGTGGTGGCTCACGCCTGTAATCCCACCATGTTTGGAGGCCGAGGCAGGCGGATCACGAGGTCAGGAGACAGAGTCCATCCTGGCTAACACAGTGAAACCCCATCTCTACTAAGAATATAAAAAATTAGCTGGGCATGGTGGCAGGCGCCTGTAGTCCCAGCTGCTCTGGAGGCTGAGGCAGGAGAATGGCATGGCGTGAACCTGGGAGGCGGAGGTTGCAGTGAGCCGAGATCGCGCCACTGCACTCCAGCCTAGGCGACAGAGCAAGACTCCATCTCAAAAAAAAAATAAAAATAAAAATAAACCAGTGGTTCCCAATTAGGGGAGATTTTTGCTCCCCACCCCCAAGAGGACATTTGCCAACGTCTGGAGACATTTTGGTTGCAACAACTTGGCGGGGGGGTGCTACTGGCACTCGGTGGGTAGAGGCCAGTGAAAGCTGCTGAACATCCTACAATGCACAGGACACTCCCCAACAAGAAAGAATCATCTGGTTCAAAATGTCAATTTTTTCTCAAGATTGAGAAACCCTAACTGAAAAACATATATACATACATGTTTTTTTACCACTGTTTTTGTTTCCTTTCCAGAACTATTTGTCAATGAAGATTGTAAAGCCAAATGTGTAACAAAGGCAAAGGCTTCATTTCAAGAGTCATCCAGCAATGAGAGAATCCTGCCTCTGTAGACCAACATCCAGTGTGATTTTGTGTCTGAGACCACACCCCAGTAGCAGGTTACGCCATGTCACCGAGCCCCATTGATTCCCAGAGGGTCTTAGTCCTGGAAAGTCAGGCCAACAAGCAACGTTTGCATCATGTTATCTCTTAAGTATTAAAAGTTTTATTTTCTAAAGTTTAAATCATGTTTTTCAAAATATTTTTCAAGGTGGCTGGTTCCATTTAAAAATCATCTTTTTATATGTGTCTTCGGTTCTAGACTTCAGCTTTTGGAAATTGCTAAATAGAATTCAAAAATCTCTGCATCCTGAGGTGATATACTTCATATTTGTAATCAACTGAAAGAGCTGTGCATTATAAAATCAGTTAGAATAGTTAGAACAATTCTTATTTATGCCCACAACCATTGCTATATTTTGTATGGATGTCATAAAAGTCTATTTAACCTCTGTAATGAAACTAAATAAAAATGTTTCACCTTTACACCTGGCTGTTTGTTGTAACTGTGGGTCAAGTGAGGAAGGAGGCATTTTTCTGGCCTTGTTTTTTCAGTGAAGAGAATGCCCTGGCATACCTCTTGGCCATATACCCTTTATAAATATGCTGCCCAATTTTAGCCAGTAGGTCAAACTGAATATAACATTGTAAATAAAAGCTAACAGTTGGCTGGACAGAGCGGTTCACGCCTGTAATCCCAGCACTTTGGGAGGCCGAAGCGGGCAGATCACCTGATGTTGGGAGTTCAAGACCAGCCTGACCAACATGGAGAAACCCCGTCTCTACTAAAAATACAAAATTAGCCGGGTGTGGTGGTGCATGCCTATAATCCCAGCTACTCGGGAGGCTGAAGCAGGAGAATTGCTTGAACTCAAGAGGCGGAGGTTGTGGTGAGCCGAGATTGCCCTGTTGCACTCCAGCCTGGGCAACAAGAGTGAAATTCCATCTCAAAAAAAAAAAAAAAAAAAAGACCGGGCGCGGTGGCTCACGCCTGTAATCCCAGCACTTTGAGAGGCCGAGGCAGGCGGATCACAAGGTCAGGAGATCGAGACCATCCTGGCTAACACGGTGAAACCCTGTCTCTAACCAAAATACAAAAAATTAGCCAGGCGTGGTGGCGGGCGCCTGTAGTCCCAGCTATTCGGGAGGCTGAGGCAAGAGAACGGCGTGAACCTGGGAGGCAGTGCTTGCAGTGAGCCGAGATCGCACCACTGCACTCCAGCCTGGGCAACAGAGTGAGACTCCATCTCAAAAAAAAGAAAGAAAAAGAAAAAGCTAACACTAAAGGTACTTATTCTGTGCACGGCAGTGTTTTAAGTGGTTTATATGTATTAACTTACTTAAGGATGAGGAAGCCCTATAAACATAGGTCACAGTCTCAACCCCAGGTGTAAGTCCGTTTTCACACTGCTATAAAGATACTACCTCAGACAAAGCACATTATAAACAAAGGAGGTTTAATTGACTCACAGGTCTGCATGGCTGGGGAGGCCTCAGGAAACTTACAATCATGGTGGAAGGCAAGGTGGCAGGAGAGAGCGAGCAAACAGGGCAGATGCCAGACACTTAGCAAACAACCAGATCTTGTGAGAACTCTCTCACTATCATGAGAACAGCATGGGGGAAGCCATCCCCATGATCCAGTCACCTCCCACCAGGTCCCTCCCTCGACACCTGGGGATTACAATTCAGATCACAATTCAAGAAGAGATTTGGGTGGGGACACAGCCAAGCCATATCACCCCATTTACAGTTGAAGAAATTAAGTCACAAAGAGGTTTAGGAACTTGCCCAAAGCCACACAACCAATAAATGGTAGAGCTGGAACTTGCACCCAAACAATCTTAACTTCTTTTTTATATAATGGAGTTTTGCTCTTGTTGCCCAGGCTGGAGTGCAATGGCGAGACCTCGGCTCACTGCAGCCTCCGCCTCCCAGATTCAAGCGATTCTCCTGTCTCAGTCTCCTGAGTAGCTGGGATTACAGGCACCACCTACCATGCCCAGCTAATTTTTTGTATTCTTAGTAAAGACAGGTTTTCAGCATGTTGGCCAGGCTGGTCTCGTACTCCTGACCTCAGGTGATCCACCCAGCTTGGCCTCCCAAACTGCTGGGATTACAGGCCTGAGCCACTGTGCCTGGCCAGCTTCTCTTAACCATAAATCTATACCACCAGTGGGAGGTCTGTCAAGAGGAACATAGGGCTGCGATTGTCAAGTAATGAGTGACAGCAACACAGTGTGACTCCATGTCAACATGAAAGACAGCGTGTTCTAGAACATGTGAGAACACTGTCCTGTTATATGAGAGACCACAGTAAGATCAGTAAACAGCTCTATTCAAACGGCAACACAGAGCTGAGGGGAGTAAGAAATGGTACAATAACGACAATGCTTTTAGACACTTAGACAAAGTTAAACCGCAACGGTGATTGTGTCAGTGTCATTGCTAAGTTGTTTCACGTTTTGAATATTTTAATTCCCTTCATGTCCTGCTCCAAATCCTAGCATTCAATACACAAAATCGCTGGGAGGCAATGCACAGGATATTCTCCAATATTGCTGAATTTGAATGCTTATCATCTCCCATACACCTTGTCCCCTCCTTTCTCAATGGCACCCCTGCCTTCATTGGTGGAACTCCTGCCTACCCTCGATGTTCTGGTTCAAATGCCACTTTCTTTTCTCTTTGAGACAGAGTCTCACTCTGTCACCCAGGCTGGAGTGCAGCAGCGCAACCCCGACTCACTGCAACCTCTGCCGCCCAGGTTCAAACAATTCTCCTGCCTCAGCCTCCTGAGTAGCTGAGATTACAAGTGCCTGACACCACACCTGGCTAATTTTTGTATTTTTAGTAGAGTCGGGGTTTCACCATGTTGGCCAGGCTGGTCTCGAACTCCTTACCTCAGGTGATCTGCCTGCCTCAGCCTCCCAGAAGTGCTGAGATTACAGGCGTGAGTCACCACACCCGGCCATCCAATGCCACTTTCTCTTTGACAACTCTTGCACCCCAGAGTGAATATTCAATCTTAGAAGCAGACAAATTAGGGCTGGGCGCGGTGGCTCACGCCTGTAATCCCAGCACTTTGGGAGGCCAAGGTGGGTGGATCACGAGGTCAGGAGATTGAGACCATCCTGGCTAACACGGTGAAACCCCCGTCTCTACTAAAAATACAAAAAATTAGGCGGGCATGGTGGCGGGCGCCTATAGTCCCAGCTCCTCAGGAGGCTGAGGCAGGAGAATAGCGTGAACCCGGGAGGCGGAGCTTGCCATGAGCCGAGATCGTGCCACTGCACTCCAGCCTGGGCGACAGAGTGAGACTCTGTCTCAAAAAAAAAAAAAAAAAAAAAAAAAAAAAAAAAAAAAAAAGGAGACAAATTAGTACAACCTTTCTGGAGAAATACGTTTGTTAAAAGTTTTAAAACTGTTTATGCCCTTTGAACCAGTAATTTCACTCCTGAGTATTAACTCCAAGGAAATAATCAGAAAGGCAGCCAAGGTTCATGTGGAAAAACGTATGTTACAGTGTGCTTTATCATGGCACAAATCAGAAACAACCTAAATGCCCACTTTTAGGGGAATCATTTAATATATAATGAAGTCCCATATGTTGATGCAAAATGAAAAAGAATAACAATTTTCTCCCATCCAAGTACTAACCTGACCCTGCTTAGCTTCTGAGTTCAGACAAGAGCGGGAATGTTCAGGATGGTATGGCCATAGACAAGAACAACAATTTTCTTTTTTCTTTTTTTTTGAGACAGTGTTTCACTCTTGTTGCCCAAGCTGGAGTACAATGGCACAATCTTGGCTCACTGCAACCTCTGCCTCCCGGGTTCAAGCGATTCTCCTGCCTCAGCCTCCCGAGTAGCTGGGATGACAGGTGCGCACCACCACGCCCTATTTTTTTGTATTTTCAGTACAAACGGGGTTTCACCATGTTAGCCAGGCTGGTCTCAAACTCCTGACATCAGGTGATCCACCCACCTCGGCCTCCCAAATGCTGGGATTACAGGTATGAGCCACCGCACCCGGCCCAGAATAACAATTTTCTAAATTTTGTGACTGGCATAGGAAAATGTTAGCGTATGGGAAATTTTTGAAGATCATAATTATAAATCGATTTAAAGTAAAGTCCCAAATACTTGAGGTACATATATAAGGAAATGCACCAAATTATTAGTAGTATAAGAAATATATGCAAAGTTTGTATTTGTGCATATTTAAATAATTTATGAATGTAAGTCAACACTGGAGGTTCATTACAATTTTTGGGGGGTAAAACCAGGACCTCAAGTTTGACAAACATTGTGATACTTAGTTTCACCTTGCAGCTATATGGGCATGGCTCATCTTCCCAACTGACTGTAAGCCCCCTTAGGGCAGAGGTAGCACCTGTAAGATCTGTCCCATGAAACAGCAGGCCTGGGTTTGCATCCCAGGTCTTGCCCCAGCCTCCTCCAGGACTTGGGAGAAATAATGCCTGTCTCCCTGGATTGAGGTGAGGGATGAATGGCAGCATGTGTGTAAAGTGCCTTCACAACTCCCAATGCCCAGCAGGTAGCTTTAGGCATTGCATTTGACTGGTTAAAGTCAGATGTTCTGGTTCCAAAAGTATAACTAAAAAAAGGTTCTTTTCCTTTTAACCGTGGGACTTTTATACAGAAAACACAGACTCACATATAGAAGGGAAGCAAAAGCAAGATTAAGATGTAAGGCTGTCTCCCACCTTCCCAAGACCCAGAAGGAAAGAAGGAGGATCCCAGTTTCAGGGGGTAGGAAGAGGTCAGCTCTTGCCACTCCAAGCAGCATGGTGCAGGTTGCTGTGTGTGGGGTGGTAGCAGGAACGATTGCATTGTTCCAGTGGAACAGAGGCTATAATTCTTATTTGTTATTCAGGCTCCCCCTGTAGACCTCTGTCTTAGGAGGCTGACTGAGTATTGCCATGGCCCTCAAGAAGAGCAGCCAGCTCTTCTGGGTCCAGGCCCCCAAGCACATATAACCTTCCAATTTTTTCAAATCATATTATACCTACACCCAAACTACTACTTTCTAACAACGTCATGTCATCTTGCTTAGACCTTAAGTAAGAGTCTACAGCTTTTATCTAATAAAGGAGACACTCTAATGATGAAAGGGAATTTAACTGAAAATGGCATTTTCTTGCAGAAAAAGTAAGCGTCATAAAAGAACACTCCAGGCAAGGGTGTTATTTGGAATTTTTAACAATCAGTATGGCACTGGCACCAACCAATCAGAATAGATGTGCCAACCTATCATGGTGGATACACTATTAAAAAAAACACACACAAAAAAAAACTACAACAGCCATACCAGTATGTGCAGGCCGAATATTAGCCTTCGTACCAGGGAACCCTACCAATACACCCTCCTGCAATGACTCCCTCAAGGAAGAGTTGCTGAGTGGATAAATGAGTGGCTGTGAGGAAAGTCTTTTCCTTCTTTGACTTCATGATACCTAACCAGAATCTACTGTAGTCTTGTGCCACATAACAACGTTTTGGTCAATGGCAGACTGGATGGTATAATAGTGATCCCATAAGATTATAATATTTTTTTTGGAGAGAAGGCCTCACCCTGATGCCCAAACTGTAGGTGTATAATACCCTGTTTTTAGAGTACCTTTTCTACATTAAGATGTTTAGATACACAAATACCTACCATTGTATTACATTACCTGCAGCGTTTAGTAGAGTAACATGCTGGACAGGTTTGTAGTCTACGAGCAACTGGCTGTACCATAGAGACGAGGTGTGTGCAGGCTGTATCATCTAGGTTTGTGTAAATACCTTCTATGATGTTTACACAATAACAAAATCACCTAATAACACATTTCTCATAACATATCCTGGTCTTAAACAGTGTGTGACTGTAGCGTGGAACCTTTGAGTAAGTAGCAGCAAAGCTTTCGTAGGAATGAAGTTATTCCCATGGAGAGCAAGGAGCTGGGCTTTCTGGGTGGAACTCCTCTCTCTCCCCTTCTATCCCCCAGAAAAAAAAGCTTCATCTTGTCAAAAGATAATGGTCTCTCAATTGAGGTTGTTAGCCACCTGGTGACCTATAAATGATAGCTAAAAGCTGGAACTAATCACAGTCCAGTCAGATTGTCGCTTCACCGTGAATTAAATAACACTTAGTCCTAACTGTTTCTAGCAAGTGCCACCATTAGCGCTGGAGCCTTCATTAGGAAAATAAATTTCCATCAATGCCATGACATGACAGGGAACTGAAAATCCTGACAGGCTAACACTTGATTTTGTTTTGTTCTTCCTTTCTCGTTTTAAGACTAGAAAAAAAAATATGTCACAATTGGACCTGCATGTTGCATTAAAGGGCTATTTAAAAGATGGACAGTTTCAAAAACCCATTTGGGAAACCCCAAATGGGCAGAGGGAAGCTGAGCTGTCTGGCGTCCAAGTGCTGGCCAAGTGGCAGCTTTTTGCCCTTCCAAGCTCACCCCAGCTCACAGGATTGTTTGTCCTAGGACTGGAGCTGACTTGTTTCACCACCGTGAAGCAGATGTTGTGACAAACACAACTAGAAGGTGAGGGAACTTTCCAGAAACTGCCCATTCTGTTCGGGGAGACAGAGTGGGCACAAAGAGCAACTCGACTCCCATCTAGGGAACCAACAGCCACGGTGATCTCAAAGTTTAAACACCCTCTACGGTGTACATATTTTGTGCTAAACAGATTCCTTTGTGAGGCTAAAACATTTAGTACTTGGGACCATATGCATCCAGCCTCCAAAGGCAGATGGGAATTCCATTCAGAAGAATTCTTTTCAAAGTCGGCTTGCTGTGGAATTAGTTCATAATGGAGTTGACGTTGTAAATAGATTAAGCACTCGCCATTTTTGCAGCTGAATTTTGTGTTTGTTCAGCGTTGAATGAAAACTCCCTAATCTTTCTTAGGTTAAACATAATGGGGTCCTGAGGAAGATCAAAGGAAGGCTACTTTTCCCTTGGATATACATCCGTGAAATGAAACGCCAGAGTTCATGAAGTTCAAGAAAAACACGAAGGAAACGTGTAACGTGGACTAACTGCAAACCCTAACGAGTAAGGGAACGTAATGAAAAACACAGGCTCACCATACATAGGATCTGACTCATCATTTCAAGGGTGCAAGTTTGCAAGCGATGCAGACTCCAGGTTTTTACTATTTAAATAAACTGAACAAGGGGAAAAAAAACGTAATTTTTTGACAGACTCTCTCACGGTACATTGAATGCTCCTCGGGGCAACCTGATTTTGCTAAAATTTATCTCAAGTTCTTAAAAAGGCTCTTTCAGTCCTTGACTAATACTAATATGCTACTTCCATGTGTTTTCACAAAATCCTAGAGCCAAACCTGTAATCCTCCCCCATCATATTTCAGCTCAGTCCTGCCTCAGTAATGATCAGGAGGACGACCAGGAAGATCCAGCTGGATTCAGACGCAGCACAGAAGCCTCTCAGATGAGGTTTTGCCTGGGTCACTGGGATAAACAAAATAAATGAATGGAATCCTGTCTTAGAGGCAGCAAGAGCATGGGGCCAGGGGATTCCAGACGTCTGGAAGCCTGCAAGTTCACCCCAGCTTGGTTTACGACCTGAGGCATCTCCCCTCGGGGGCTCCTTTCCCTCATTGGTGAAAGTAAGCATTGAATGAAATGATCTTGTCCACCCCAGCATCGTTTTATGGGTCTGCTTCTCTGTGACTCAGTTTCTTCATCTGTAAAATTAGGGCAACAATCTCCATAGAATGATTGTGAAGATAAAATGACTTACAATATGTTAAAGTGTTTCAAATCATGCTTGGGACAAAGTAAGCCCTCAATATATTTTATCATCCTAATCATTTTTCTAATTGTCATCATCATTATGGGACAAGAACAGCCAAACAGATAGAGGCTGGAAGGTAATAGCCGTTCTGCTCTTGCAATTTGACCTTAGAAAAGAAATAAATCAACACTGTCCAAAATGAGACTGATTTTCCCTCAAGTTCTAAATGCACAATCAGAATTAAAGAAAGCAGGTAAAAAATATTAAGAAAGGCCAGACATGGTTTAATCTCACGGCTGTAATCCCAGCACTTTGGGAGGCTGAGTAGGGAAGATCGCTTGAGCTCAGGAGTTCAAGACCAGCCTAGGCAACATAGGGAGACACTGTCACTACAAAAAAATAAAAATAAATTGCCAGGGATGGTGGTGCGTGCCTGTAGTCCCAGCTACTCGGGAGGCTGAGGTGGGAGGATGGCTTGAGCCTGAGAGACAGAGGCTGCAGTGAGCCATGATCCCACCACTGCACTCCAGCCTGGGTGACAGAGTAAGACTTCGTCTCTAAAACAAAAAATGCTAGGAGAGTAGGGCAATTCCTCAAAAAATTAAATATATAATTACCATACAATCCAGTAATTCTACTTCTAGGTATATATCCAAAAGAGAAATTGAAAGCAGGGACTTTGAAGAGATTTTTGTACACCCATGCTCATAGCAGTATTACTCACAATAGCCAAAATGTAGAAGCAATCTGCTATAGACTGAATATTTGTGGCCCTAACCCAAATTCCTGTGTTGAAATCTGAACCCCCAAGGCAATGGTTTGTAATGGAACCATTACAAGGTGAGACTTTTGAGAGGTGATTAGGTCATGAGGGTAGGGGCCCCATGGCTGGGATTACTGTCCTTATCAAAGAGACTCACATAAGGTCCCTTGTCCTTTCCACCATATAAAGACACAGCAAGACAATAGTGACGAGGTGGCCAAGTGGTTAAGACACAGCAAGAAGATGGTCATCTGTGGCTGGGCGCGGTGGCTCATGCCTGTAATCCCAGCACTTTGGGAGGCCGAGGCGGGCGGATCACGAGGTCAGGAGATCAAGACCATCCTGGCTAACACAATGAAACCCCGTCCTACTAAAAATACAAAAAATTAGCCAGGCGTGGTGGTAGGGGCCTGTAGTCCCAGCTACTGGGGAGGCTGAGGCAGGAGAATGGCGTGAACCCAGGAGGCGGAGCTTGCAGTGAGCCAAGATGGTGCCACCACACTCCAGCCTGGGCAACAGAGTGAGACTCCGTCTCACAAAAAAAAAAAAAAAAAAATAGAAGATGGTCATCTGTGAACCAGGAAGCAAGTTAATTCTTACCAGACACTGAATCTGCTGGAGCCTTGAGCTTAGACTTTCCAACCTCCAGAAATGTTAGAAATAAATGTGTTGTTTATAAGCCCCTAGTCTATGGTATTCTCTAAGAGCAGCCCAAATGGACTAAGACATTCATGGATGGATGAATGGATAAGCAAAATGTGGTATCTACATACAATGGAATATTATTTGGGTTTAAAAAGAAAGGAAATTCTGTCCCATGCTACAACATGGGTGACTCTTGAAGGCAGTATGTTAGGTGAAATAAGCCAAATGCAAAAGGACAAATGTTGTATGATTCCATTTATATGAGGTTCCTAGAGTAGTCAAATTTATAGAGACGGCCAGGAGTGGTGGCTCATACCTGTAATCCCAGCACTTTGGGAGGCCCAGGTGGGCAGATCACCTGAGATGAGGAGTTCGAGACCAGCCTGGCCAACATGGTGAAACCCCCGTCTCTACTAAAAATACAAAAATTAGCAGGGCGTGGTGGCACATGCCTGTAATCCCAGCTACTCGGAAGGCTGAGGCAGGAGAATAGCTTGAACCTGAGAGACGGAGGTTGCAGTGAGCCGAGATCACACCACTGCACTCCAGCCTGAGCAACAGAGCGAGAGTCTGTCTCTAAATAAATAAATAAATCTATGGAGACAAAAAGTAGAATGGTGGCTGCCAGAGGAGGCTAGGGGAAGGGGAGGAATGGGGAGTCGGTGTTTAATGAGTACAGAATTTCCATTTTGTAAGATGAAAAGAGTTCTGTGGCGTGCAACAATGTGAATGCAATTATGCCACTGAACTGAACAGCTACAAGTAGTAAATTTTACATCATGCCTGTTTTATCACACACACAAAAGTGCTAAAAGAACGAGTGTCCTCTCAGACGATGCCTCCATGAAGTCAGGGGCCTATTTTTTCTCCTGTTCCCTACACAAAAGTAGGTCCCCAGGCCTCAGGAGACAGGTAATACTTGCTGATTGTCTGAGGAGTGAACCTTGTCTCATAACCAAAGCTCGGGTCACTTTGAGCCTTTTGACAGCTACCTCCAGCACCCACAGACACAGCTGATTTGGCCCAAACCACCTTTATTTAACTAGCTGACGATGTTTAACCATTGGAAAAAGTCACATTAAAGATTATATTTTGAGCTTTTCCCCACACATTGAAAAGTCTGCCAGCATTTCACTGTTCAGAAATTGTCTGGAGTCATGTGCCTGCCAGTCACCCCAAGTCCCCTGCCTTGCTCCATGGACGTTTGCTGCCCAGCTCCTCAGGATGCTGAGGGTGGGACGTGGGTGCATTTTGTTATCAAAGTAACCAGAGTAGGCTCGCCTCTAACCAAGACAGAGAATCAACCAGAAGTTCCCTGCTGGGCAGCACCCTCTACATGTCTCTGCCATTGTGGCCAGGCCCCTGCTCCCCATGGCTCCACGCTGGACTTCAGGGTAGCACCCTGCTCCTTCCTGGGCCCTCCTCACCCTCCCCAGCTGCTCCAAGTCAGCCATGACCCCAAGATTCTAGGGACATACAATCAGCATCTCCTGAACAGCCTCCTCTCAGCAATGAAAATTCACATGGCCAATATGGCAATGCTCAATTTGATTAAAAAGGAAGAAAATATAAATTAAAACCACAATGAACTATCATTTCACATACTCCAAATTGGCAAAAAATTTAAAAGTCTTTGACATCAAGACTCAAGAGGGCTGTGCAACAACATATATTTTTATACATAGCTGGTAGATGTTTAAACAGGTAAAACCACAGTAAAAAACAATTTGTCATTATCTACCAAAGGTATCAGTCCCTGCTCTGTGACCCAGCAACCCTACTCTTAGATTTGTACCCTAAGGAGACATTAACACAGCGCACTTGAAGAAAAATTTTTAAATGTTTGAAATTGCAGAACATTGGAGAAACTCTCATGTTTTCCATTAACAGTAGATTGGATAATAAATTGAGGTATAGTCATTTAATAAAATACTATAAAGTGGTGAATGTGAGTGCACTGTAGCTACACATTACAAATGAATAAATCCGAAACCAGAGGTACGTAATCTTTTGGCTTCCCTGGTCCACACTGGAAGAAGAAGTGGGCCACACATAAAATACATGAACACTAACGATAGCTGATGAGATTTAAAAAAAAAAAATCACCAAAAAAAAAACCTCTCATAACGTTTTAAGAAAGTTTATGAATTTGTATTGCGCTGCTTTCAAAGCCGTCCTGGGCTGCATGTGGCCTCTGGGCCGCAGGCTACACAAGCTTGGCCTAGAAGGAATGTTACAGCTGGGGGAATCTAAGGGATAATTCTTCCCTTATATCCACAGCATAGAAGCCCTGAACATAACTCCTAGAAATATTTTTTCTTTAAAAATTTTAAAATTCATTTATATTCACTGCAGATACTTTATTGGGAAAAAGCATAAAAAAGAACATTAAAAATCCATAATCTATCATGAGATAACTACTGTTAACATTATTTTGTGGTGTTTCCTTCTACTCTTGCCGTTTTTAAAGACATAAAATTGGGATCCCACCTCCAGAACTTCCCTGGCCTTGCCTTCATGATTCTCCAAGGCTTTTGTTTGTTTTTTGTGACAGGAGCTTGCTCTGTTGCCCAGGCTGGAGTACAGTGACACAATCATGGCTCAGTGCAGCTTTGACCTCCCCAGGTTCAGATGATCCTCCCACTTCAGCCCCCCACGTAGCTGGGACTACAAGCACGCACCACCATGTCTGGCTAATTTTTGTTTTTATTTTTGTTTTGGAGAAAAGGAGTTTTGTCTTGTTGCCCAGACTGGTCTCGAACTCCTGGGCTCAAGTGATCCAACCGCCTCAGTCTCCCAAAGTGCTGGGATTACCGGCATGAGCCACCATGCCTAGCCAACTCTCCAGTTTTATATCTTGCTTTTCTTCCCTCTCTTAAAATTGTATTTCATAGGCCGGGCACAGTGGCTGACGCCTGTAATCCCAGCACTTTGGGAGGCCGAGGTGGGCGGATCACGAGGTCAGGAGTTCGAGACCAGCCTGGCCAACATAGTGAAACCCTGTCTCTACTAAAAATACAAAAATCAGCTGGGCATGGTGGCGCGTGCCTGTAATCCCAGCTACTCGGGAGGCTGAGGCAGGAGAATCGCTTGAACCCGGGAGGCAGAGGTTGTGGTGAACCGAGATTGCGCCACTGCACTTCAGCCTGGGCAACAGAGCGAGATTCCATCTTAAAAAAAAAAATTGTATTTCATAAACATTTTCCACAATTTATGAATTTCAAAACCTAATTTATAATGGTCATTTAAAATTCCATCACATGGATCTACTCTAATTTAATCCCCTATCACTGAGGATATATGTAACAATATATATTGTTTCCAATTCTTTGCTATTTACAATGCTGCTTTAAACATCCATGGACAAAGATCTTTGCCTGTATTTTGGGGCCTCTAGATCTATTAAATTGTTAACAGTATAAGGTCAGGGACAATGTTTGTCTTGTTCACCCAACCTTGTGCATGAGATAGAGCAGCATCAATGAATGGGCAAATGAATTTCTTATTCATTCCTGAGTCAAAGGGGAATTCCTGAGTCAGAGGGCACGAGCATATTTAATGCCCTTGAGATACATTGCCAGTTGCTTCCTGAAATGTAGTACCAATTTATACCCCGCCCCAAGTAGAGTCTTGAGAAGGTTCCAGCCAGAATTAATGGCCATTCCTTAGCCACTCTTTCCATCTGCATGGGGTGACTTTCTCCACCTTGATTGCTGGCCCTCAAACGCAATGGGGAAGAAGGGGCCTGCCACAAGTCTGTTTTGAGGACCTCCTGTGGGGACAGTAGTCTCCCCTCTGGGTCGGGAGAAGTAGAGAAGTCCTCCAGTGCCCTTTAGAAAGAGCATGTACTTGGACTCTTTGCTCTTGGAAAATGTGAATTCTACTAAAGAATCCTCAATATGCTTCAAGTACGCTGAGCAAGTCCCCATCCAGGACGCTAAGATCTACAAGTCTGTCTTGAAGCCTCATCAATTTTCAAATTAAACTTCTTCATATTTCTTTTAAAAAGAGGAGAGGGCACTTTGAGTTCACTCACAAAAAAAGACAAAAAGTAGAATCAAGCAGTAAAATAGAATTTCCACAAGATTAAAATAAAGGTATAAGAAGAAAAGCAAATGTTCTAAGAGTCAATGTACTGCTCTGATTTGGGTTTAAAAAGTGACTTGGAACATCCGTGAGGGGAATATTTGTCCTCTGGCTGTTCTTAACTGGTTGGTAATATGAAAGGAAGATAAATCTTGGGACCTCAAAATCATTAAGCCAAAGGGAAAAGTCAAGCTGAGAACTGCTTAGGGCAAACTTGCCACCCATTCTATTCCTAAAAAAGATATTTATTAAAGGCCAGGCGCAGTGGCTCATGCCTGTAATCCCAGCACTTTGGGAGGCCGAGGCGGGTGGATCAGTTAAGGCCAGGAGTTCGAGACCAGCCTGGCCAACATGGTAAAACCCCATCTCTACTAAAAATACAAAAAATTAGCCAAATATGGTGGTGGGCATCTGCTACTCAGGGGGCTGAGGCTGGAGAATCACTTGAACCTGGGAGGTGAAGTTTGCAGTGAGCCAAGATCACGCCACTGCACTCCAGCCTGGGAGACAAAGTGAGACTCCATCCAAAAAAATAAATAAATAAAAGATATCTACTAAGATAAAAAAGCTACATACCTCCGTCACAAGGAAATTTGCTGTGGACAAAGGACAGACAGAACTCAAAGTCATCCCTCTGCTGAGATAAATGCATATCTGGTTGCCTCCTTTGAAAAGTCTCATTAGAAACTCAAAAGAATGCAACCTTTGTCTTGTGAACCCCAAATATCTGAGACAGGTCTCAGTCTATTTAGAAAGTTTATTTTGTGGCCGGGCTCGGTGGCTCACACCCATAATCCCAGCACTTTGGGAGGCTGAGGCGGGCAGATCACAAGGTCAGGAGATCGAGACCATCCTGGCTAACACGGTGAAACCCCATCTCTACTAAAAATACAAAAAAATTAGCCAGGCGTAGTGGCAGACACCTGTAGTCCCAGCTACTCGGGAGGCTGAGGCAGGAGAATGGCGTGAACCCGGGAGGCGGAGCATGCAGTGAGCCAAGATTATGCCACTGCACTCCAGCCTGGGCGACAGAGCAAGACTCCATCTCCAAAAACAACAACAACAACAAAAAAAAAAAAAAAAAAAAAAAAAAAACAAAAAAAAAAAAAACAGAAAGTTTATTTTGCCAATCTCTTAACTACCTATGATCTGGCCCTTCCCACTTTGAGTTGTCCTGCCTTTCTGAATGGAAACATATATTAATTCATGTCTCATGTCTCCTAAAACGGATAAAACCAAGCTGTGCTCTGACCACCCTGGGCACATGTCGTCAGGAACTCCTGAGGCTGTGTATTGGGCACGCATCCTTAACTTTGGCAAAATAAACTTCCTAAATTGACTGAGACCTGTCTCAGATTTTAGGGTTCATTGTAAAAACATACAGGCCTTCAGAAAAAAAGTTATTATACCAAAAGTGACAGAAATGGCTCATCAGGATCTTAGCGCAGGTCCTACATTTGTGAAGCTCCCATTAATATTCACTGTTCTTCTTATTTTTTTTTTTTTTTTGAGACAGAGTCTTACTCTGTCGCTCAGGCTGGAGCGCAATGGTGTGATCTCAGCTCACTGCAACCTCCCCCTCCCAGGCTCAAGCAATTCTCATGCTTCAGCCTCCCAAGTGGCTGGGATTACAGGCACCCGTCACCCTGCCCAGCTAATTTTTGTATTTTAAGTAGAGACGGGGTTTCACCATGTTGACCATGCTGGTCTTGAACTCCTGACCTCAGGTGATCCACCTGCCTTGGCCTCCCAAAGTTCTGGGATTACAGGAGTGAGCCACCGTGCCCACCCTTGTTGTTCTTATTTGTATATTTGTAGAGGGCAGAAATGTTTCCCATAACAGCTTTTAATAAAAGTCAGAGAATACTACAAAAGCAGTCCTTTGAAGAACTATGCTGAGATGGCTGGCATTCATACCTATTTCAAAGAGTACAGCTTTTAAATTCTTTCCCAAATATTTTTCCTTTCCCTGAGACGTTTGATAATGATCCTGATGGTGAAAAGATCAAAGCTCTGCTCTCAGGGAGGACGGGCCTCCAGGCCCTTTGCTGCTGCCGGGGGACATCTCTGTGAGCCCAGCATGCAGGTGGGGGTGGCATCCAGAGGTCACACCTGGGTGGAAGCCACGCCACCTCTGCGCAGAAGTGGGTCCATGCCAGTGCCACATGCACATACTCGCTCAGGCTCCTGCAGGCATGCTTGTTTCAGAAGCTTTCCCTCACTTGAGGGGGCCATCATTCATGCCCTTTTCTCACTCCCGACCCGGTCACAAGCCAAGCTTCTCTGTCCAGAAGGCTGGCACATTCAGACAGCATGATGATGGAAAAATATGAATACTAGTGAGACTGCTTTCTCTGCAGTACTCCTGACCTCAGAACAAACATGCCAGTGCTGGGGACACACACCATGCAGGTCCAGCAATCAGACCTCCTTGCAGTCACAAAGGGCAGTAACTTCGCGGGCTGCTGGGGACAGTCATGGGACATTGGTTGCTGCCAGGCATTTTAGAAGGGCCCGAAGAGGACACTTCTGTTTGAGCTGAGTCCAGGCCTCCTCTAAGGTGTCTGAGTCATCTCTGTCACCTCCTCTAGAATCCATCCCCTCACTCTGCTCTTCCTCTCCCACCCTCTCCTCCCTCTGCTGCTTTCCTCTCTGTATCTCTTGTCTCTCCATTTTGTCTTTAGCCCTTATAGGTGTTGTTACTGGTACAGTACAGGTGGTACCGGTGATGCTGGTACTTAAAGCTGGGAAACCTGCCAGCCCCCAACAGGAACAGAGACTCTGTCCTCTTCTTTCCCTGTCCCTGAAGCATCTGGCCTTGTGCCTGACCAGTGATGAGTGCGCCATACTCAGGTCTTGAATCAAGGAGAAAAGATGGCTACCCTGAGTTCAGTCACTCTGTGTGACATTGCTTTATATACTGGCATGACATATGACCCTTGGTGAACTTTTACCCAAATAGCCCAATACAAAGGGAAATTGACTAAAAACCTTTAGGTTTTGCCTGGAGGTTTAAAGCTTTCTGAAAGCCTTGCTTTAATTTATACATTTATTCTAATTCTTGCATTCCATTTCACAATCTTTTTACTTTAATCAGCTTTGATTCTGTCTAGTACTGCCTCAAATGAAAACTGCCTGTGTTTTCTTCATCCAACACAGAGGATACGTTGGGGGCAGTCCAACTTAAAATAGAGGCTATATGGCATATGTGATATTCACTTTGTGTTCCCTTCCATTCCAGAGAGTCTCAAAGAGAGAGGCTATTTCTCCTCCACCCTTTACATCCCCAGCTGCAAATAAATTGCTTCACATTCAAGCAACTCTGTGTCAAGTGCTCCAGGGTAAGTAGCAAAGAAATGTCTGTACATATAAATTCAATAATGGTTGGCTGGGCGCGGTGGCTCACGCCTATAATCCCAGCACTTTGGGAGGCCGAGGCGAGCAGATCATCTGAGGTCAGGAGTTCCAGACCAGCCTGGTTAACATGGTGAAACCCCATTCCCACTAAAAAATACAAAACTTAGCGAGGCATGGTGGTGCACGCCTGTGATCTCAGGAGGCTGAGGCAGGAGAATCGCTTGAACCCGGGATGTGGAGATTGTAGTGAGCTGAGATTGCGCCATTGCAGTCCAGCTTGGGTAACAAGAGCGAAACTCTGTCTCAAAAAAATAATAATAATGGTTAAGGTTCACCTGAGCAGTGCTGGGGAGGCCGGTTTATATAAAAACGAGGTTGTAAATAACTAATTAAATTACCAATCTCTCCACCACTGCCTTTGTCCATCTTCAATTATAATATATTCCAGAAACACACTCCACGTCTCTCCCATGGCTTTATACACACCCTGCACACGTACACTGGGAAGGCCTACAGTCCAGTTTGACGTGTGTTCACACACTCCTAATCTAGCACAGGGCCTGGTGCATAGTTGGTGCACAGAGGTCAATGAAATCCCTGTACTCAACAGCTCTGACCAGTCATCAAGGTGGTCACTGTCTTGTTGGAAAGGCAAACACATAAGCAAATCATTGAGACAAGATGTGACTACAGGGACTGATACATAATCACAGTAGAGAGTTGGAAGGGAAAGAAGAGAAAGAACTCAAAAAACGAAAGAGTGTGGGGAAATGGCCAAAAGTTGGGTCCAGAGTGGATGGGATGAGGTCAAATCCTGGTTCTCTTACTAGCACAGTGCCTAAAACTCAGCAAATGGGAGTTATTGTTGTTGTTGTTATTATATTATTATTATTTCAACAGAGGAATACAAATAGGTTAAGGATGGGTCTGGTAACATGGCCTAATGCACTGCTAAGGAGAATATTTCATCATGTAATAGAATCAGCCAAGGTTTCTTTGGGAGAAACGGCCATCACGTCTCCTGTGTTTCAAATACTGTCCACAAGATGGCAGCAGTGGCCTCAGGTTCTCACCGGGCCTAAAAGGCATTCCATTCAGTCTGCATTCCATGGAACCCCACCCCAGACAGGCATCTCTGGGACATATTTTAAGTGGAAGGCGACCAGCACCGCATCTAAACGATGCCCTTCCTTCTGGAATGCTATGGAAATCTATGACTAGACAGACAAAAACGCTCTGGCCTTGGGAAACGCTGGAACTCACGCATTCATTCGCCCCTTCATTCCTTCAACAATTATGTACTAAAAGCCTACCGCATCCCAGTTATCCTGCAAAGGAATAAAACAGAAGGGCCTGCTCTCATGACCCATAGCGAGTCGCAAATCAAACAGTGGTAGATCACAGGAAGGAGTCTCTCATGCAACGAAAAATTACAAGCCTGCAGACTGTCATAATACAGGATTGAAGGTTAAGCAAAGGAAAACAGACCTTGTGACGGGATGTCCATATTGGCTCTGCTGTACATACGGACAGGAGTGGCAGGGAACTTGAAGGAATAGAAATTGGTAGAATTGGCCAGGCGCGGTGTCTCACGCCTGTAATCCCAACACTTTGGGAGGCCGAGGCAGGCAGATCACGAGGTCAGGAGTTCAAGACCAGCCTGACCAACCTGGTGAAACCACGTATCTACTAAAAATACAAAAATTAGCCAGGCATGGTGGTGCACGCCTGTAATCCCAGCACTTTGGGAGGCCAAGGCAGGCAGATCACGAGGTCAGGAGTTCGAGACCAGCCTGACCAACATGGTGAAACCCCGTCTCTACTAAAAATACAAAAATTAGCTGGGCGTGGTGGCGCACACCTGTAATCCCAGCTACTCAGGAGGCTGAGGCAGGAGAATCGCTTGAACCCGGGAGGCAGAGTTTGCAGTGAGCTGAGATCGCACCACTGCACTCCAGTCTGGGCAACAGATCAAGATTGCCTCAAAAAAAAAAAAAAAAAAAAGGAAGAAGAAAGAAAGAGAGAGAGAAAAAAAAAGAAAGAGAGAGAGAAAGAAAGAAAGAGAAAGAAAGAAAGGAAAGAAAGGAAGAAGGAAAGAAGGAAAGAAAGAAAAAGAAAGGAAAAGAAAAGAAAGAAGGAAAGAAATTGGCAGAATTAAATAATGATTGAGGGGTTTGCCCTTGCAAAATTACTGAAGTTCTTTTTCTCCCCCTCCTTTAAGCTAGAAATCTGGGCTGGCTAATGGAAGCTGCCACCTGGAATGTCTGGGGCAGCCATGCAAGGTTACATTCCAGGCTCCAAGCAAAAAATGCCAGCAATTTACCTTTTTGTCAACTGCAAATTAAAGTAATTTCCAGGCAGAGGATTTCTCCTGCTTGTGATGAGCACCCCAAAACACCAGGGCTGTTTGCAGTTACCTGGCTGCTCTGCGGGGGAAACAAACCTGAGGCTGAAGGCACCTCAGGGTTGGAATCAAGGAAAGGTTTGCTTGGCTTTTCTTTCACTGAAGCACCAAATCAAGTGGATACGAAGTGGGAAGCAGGGAGAATGTCTTCTATCCCTAGCACTTTCTAGAATGTGGGACAAGAGAGGCACTCAGCTTTAAATAAATAAAGAGAAGGCGTATCTGCACCTGCTGTCATACCCAGCTCTATGATGACAATAAGATATACTCATCATTACCAAGAGTGCCATGCCAGGCAGACATGATGCTGAGAACGTTACAGCCACTTATCACTGAATCCTAAGGTGAAATAATTATTGGCGTTTTATAGATGAGCAATTTGAGGCTCTGTGAAGTTAAATGATTTGGAGAAAGTCACAGGTAGTAAATGATAAATGTCGGATTTAAACCCCCATTTGTCAAATTCCTCCTTACTTAACCCCATACAGCCAACCCAAGGTAGAGGTGGTGAGAGAGCCATCTCCTCACCGGAAGACATGAAGGCATATTCATTCACTGACTGAACAACTAGAGAGCACCCACTTTTTTTTTTTTTTTTTTTTTTTTTTTTGAGACAGTCTTGCTCTGTCATCCAGGCTGGAGTGCCAGGGCACGATCTTGGCTCATTGTAACCTCCACCTCCTGGGTTCAAGCGATTCTCCTGCCTCAGCCTCCCGAGTAGCTGGGATTACAGGCACCTGCCACCACGCTTGGCTAATTTTCATATTTTTAGTAGCGACAGAGTTTCACCATGTTGGTCAGGCTGGTCTCAAACGCCTGACCTCAAGTGATCCGCCCGCCTCAGCCTCCCAAAGTGCTGGGATTACAGGCATGAGCCACTGCGCCCAGCCTGAGAGCACCCAGTCTCTATCAGACCCTGAGCATGCAGAGGTAAGTAAGCACTGTCAACTGCAGAGTAAGGCAATTTCCAGGCAGAGGGCTTCTGCCAAGCTTGGAAACTGGAGATGAAACAGAATTTGCGCATCCCTTTCACTAAAGAGGGAGGCCAGTGCCTGGGACTCAGATCAAAAGCAAATGAACAAGGAACACTCACTTGCCAATAGCATGTTCATTTGGCTCATTAGAATGTCACCCATACTTAGAAGACAAGCTTTACGCCCCCTGTGTGCACCTGGAAAGAGACAAGGCCCACTCCTCCAACACATGTGCACACACGAACACACACACACACACACACACCCCTACCTACCCAATGTGAGGCCTGGCTGTGGACCTTGCAGATTCTGGGATCACTCCCAGTCATTTCCAGAGCCCTCCTTAACCTATTTCTAGTCCTCTGTTGAAGTAATAATAATTATAACAATAACTCACATCTATTGAGTTTTAGGCCCTGTGCTAATAAGAGAACCAGGATTTGACTATAGCCCGTCCACTCTGGACACAACTTTTGACCATTTCCCCACTGCACTCCCTCTCTCGTGTAGCTTCCAGCAGAGCCCTAAACAGCATGACCCCACTGGAACTCCCTCATCTTCCCTCATCTGTGGCATTTTGGGGCCTCCTTTTTCCCCTCTATTAGACTGGATGACCTGAGAGCTCTTCTAGCTTAAAGCTGCTGTGGGCTCTCTGTGGTCCCTCGTATAAGGGCACTCCTTTCATCCATGAGGGCTGCACCCTCATGCCTAATCACCTCCCAAAGGCTCCACTTCCCAATACTGTCACACTGGGGGTTAGGATTTCAACTTATGAATGGGGGGGTTGGGGGCAGGGGCAGGGACAGGCCAGGCACGGTGGCTCATGCCTGTAATTCCAGCACTTCGGGAGGCCAAGGCGGGCGGATCACCTGAGGTCAGGAGTTTGAGACCAGGCTGGCCAACATGGTGAAACCCCATCTGTACTAAAAATACAAAAAATTAGCCAGGCACAATGGCAGGTGCCTGTAATCCCAGATACTGGGGAGGCTGAGGCAGGAGAATTGCTTGAACCTGGGAGGCGGAGGTTGCAGTGAGCTGAGATCACACCATTGCACTCCAGCCTGGGCAACAAGAGCAAAACTCCATCTCAAAATAATAATAATAATTTGGGGGGACACATTCAGTCTATAACACTGATACTCAAAGCCTCAGTATTTCTTACTGCCTCTAAAAAGAAAAGGTTGAGGCTTCCTCTTTCTCCTCCAAGTCACTAAACCATCACCACTGTCCCACCTCTTCAAATCGGAAGTCTTCACAATCACTTACGAAGTTCTCCCCTCATCCTCATCACCACCCTCCTCTGCCCTCCTTGCCATTGTTCCTGGAAGACTTTGGTACCTGACACACTCTTGCCTGTCATCACTTATGGGGATACCCCCAATGCCTTGACCTTTGGCCTTCTAAGATGCTGTAACTTTCAGTCTTAACTCCACTGGAGGCACCCCCAACACCCCCAGCCCAGACACCACTCACACCTATTGGGCCTTGGGACACACCACCCCAAAATATGACTGTAGGAGACCAGAATATGCCACCCCAAAATATACTTCTTTGGCATATTTTGAGCTGCTTATTCTGAGAAACTGCAGGCACAGCAGTAGCTCTGAAAAGCTGTCATTTTATAAAAGAAATTTACATCCATAAAGAAAATGGACATTAGTAAAAAATATTTGTATCAGGAAGAGGGCTGCTCCAGAAAACGTTTATTGCCCGACTTTCATCTGCGTAACAAGACAACCTCCATTCACCACATATCTCCTCCCCTCACCCTCCCATTGCCTGTCTCTGCCACCCCCAAGAAGCTCTGGGCCCCTATTCCTGTCTTTAGCTCAGGATGCTGTATATAAGCTTCCATCTTCTGGCCCTTGTTCGAGTCTCATATTTGGTGTGACTCTCTGTGTATGCATGTAATCAAAATGCTTTTTCTCCTGTTCATTTGTTTTATGTCAATTTAATTTGTAGCCTGGCCGAAGAGCCTAGAAGGGTAGAGGGAAGCCATTTTTCCCTCCCCTACTAACCCTGTGGAAATACCTTGCCTTCAAGGTATGGGCTCCAAGTTCCTGACTCCCCCACAACCTTCAGGCCCTACAGAGACAGCATCAAGACCTGAAGTCCCCAATCCATCACCCCCTTACCCAACCCCACTGGTTCTTAGCCCACTTAACTTCCCCCATAGACAGAGCTAAGTCAGCCATTTCCCCTCCACCTGAGTTCTCTCAGCTCTCCTCCCCTACCCCTCTAAGTGCCTGTGAATTGACTCCTTCATTTTTTAACTTCAAATGCCACAATAACTTTACACAACTTCGCTCTTTCCCTAAGCAGCCTGAGGTAATCTGTGAAAATGGTTCGCTATTCACTTGACCTGGAGAACCCCATGAAATAATGCAAATCAAGAGTTCCAATCTTCGTGTTCACTTTAAGAACACTTGTGAAACTGCTCAGGCCATCAAGGGTATGCATATACGAAAAGCCACGAAGTATCTTAAAGATGTCACTTTACAGAAACAGTGCGTACCATTCCGACGTTACAATGCTGGAGTTGGCAGGTGTGCGCAGGCCAAGCAGTGGGGCTGGACACTCTTTCGGTGGCCCAGAAAGAGTGCTGAATTTTTGCTGCATATGCTTAAAAACGCAGAGAGTAATGCTGAACTTAAGGGTTTAGATGTAGATTCTCTGGTCATTGAGCATATCCAAGTGAACAAGGCACCTAAGATGCGCCGCCGGACCTACAGAGCTCATGGTCGGATTAACCCATACATGAGCTCTCCCTGCCGCATTGAGATGATTCTTACTGGAAAAGGAACAGATTGTTCATAAACCAGAAGAGGAGGTTGCCCAGAAGAAAAAGATATCCCAGAAGAAACTGCAGAAGCAAAAACTTATGGCACGAGAGCAAATTCAGCATTAAAGTAAATGTAATTAAAAGGAAAAAAAAAAAAAACTTTACACAACTTCTCCATCTTCTTTTCCTTCCTCTTTCTCAGAAACAGTTGCCGCTCCCTGCCCCCTAAACCTACTCCCCTCTAAGCTTTGAGTTAGGGACACCTCCTCCAGGAAGGACCTGTCTTACTCAAATATTTCCTCTGTTTCTGGCACCCTCAAACTCGCTCTCTCTTCAGGCCACTGCCCTCAAACTACAAACCTGCTCGGGTCTTCCCACCAGCTTGGGAGGAGTCCCCAGCTGGACGGAAGATATGTTTCCTGCCTTCCTTCTCCCGCCATGCCTGCTTTTGAAGACTCACTCTTCACGCCCGATTCTCACAATGGCTTAGCTGCCATGTTGTCAGAGGCGTGTGAACCAGAGCAACTCCATCTTGAATAGGGGCCGGGTAAAATGAAGCTGAGAACTACTGGGCTGCATTTCCAGATGGTTGAGGCATTCTAAGTCCCAGGATGAGCTAGGAGGTCAGCACAAAATACAGATCATGATGACCTTGCTGATAAAACATGTTTGCAGTAAAAAAGCTGGCTAAAACCCACCAAAACCAAGATGGTGATGAGAGTGACCTCAGTCACTGCTACACTCCCACCAGCACCACGGCAGTTTACAAATGCCTTGGCAATGTCAGAAAGTTACCCTATATGGTCTAAAAAGGGGAGGATGAATAATCCACCTCGTTTAGTATGTCATCAAGAAATAACCATAAAAATAGGCAACCGGCTGGGCGCAGTGACTCACACCTGTAATCCCAGCACTTTGGGAGGCCGAGGCAGGCGGTTCACCAGGTCAGGAGTTCAAGACCAGCCTGACAAACATAGTGAAACCCTGTCTCTACTAAAAATACAAAAAGCTAGCTGCCCATGGTGGCAGGTGCCTGTGATCCCAGCTACTCGAGAAGCTGAGGCAGGAGAATCGCTTGAACCTGGAAGGCGGAGGTTGCAGTGAGCTGAGATTGCGCCATTTGCACACCAGCCTGGGCAACAGCATGAGACTCCGTCTCACAAATAAATAAATAAGTAAATAAATAGGCAACTAGCAGCCCTCAGTGAAGTAGCCCTTCTTTTATTCCTTTGCTTTCTTGATAAAGTTGCTTTCACTTACTCTATGGACTCGCCTTGAATTCTTTTTTTTTTTTGGAGATAGAGCCTCACTCTATCACCCAAGCCGGAGTGCAGCGGCACAATCTCAGCTCACCGCAACTGCCCACTCCCAGGTTCAGGTGATTCTTGTGCCTCAGCCTCCTGAGTAGCTGGGATTACAGGCGCCCACCACCAGGCCCGGCTAATTTTTGTAATTTTAGTAGATCCAAGGTTTCACCATGTTGTCCAGACTGTTCTCAAACTCCTGACCTCAAGTGATGTATCTGCCTCGGCCTCCCAAAGTGCTGGGACTACAGGCGTGAGCCACCACGCCCAGCCCTTGAATTGTTTCTTGCACGAGATCAAAGAACCCTCTCTTGGGGTCTGGATCGGGACCCCTTTCCTGTAACAATGTCATTCCTCTGAAACACCACTGTCCAGTCACCAACAACTCCTACTTTCTAAATCTAATGATCTTTCCCTACTTCTTATTCCTTGTGACCAACACAAGTAGAATCTGCTGTCAAACCCAGGTCCTTTGTACTCCAGACGTCTTAACGTCTCCTTGACATTGACTCTCAGCTCTAAATTTCCTGACTTTGTTGGGCCTCAGTTTCCCTATCCATTAAAGGAGGAAAACAAATGCCAACATCATAGCATTGTTGTGGGCACTGAATGAGATCCCACATGCCTGGCATATTGAAGGGGCCCCTAAGTGGTTATTATTAGTGTCGCCTTCTCTCTTGTGCTGAGAGAATATCTCAGTTGTTGCCGGGCACGGTGGCTCACGCCTGTAATCCCAGGACTTTGGGAGGCCGAGGTGGGCAGATCACGAGGTCAGGAGTTTGAGACCAGCCTGGCCAGCATGGTGAAACCCCGTCTCTACTAAAAATACAAAAATTAGCCAGGCATGGTGGTGGGCGCCTGTAGTCCCAGCTACTTAGGAGGCTGAAGCAGGAGAATTGCTTGAACCCCAGAGGCGGAGGTTGCAGTGAGCCAAGATGGCGCCACTGCACTCCAGCCTGGGTGACAGAGCGAGCCCCTGTCTCAAAAAAAAAAAAAAAAAAAAAAAAAAGAATATCTCAGTTAACCTGTAATCCACCAACAACAGCAATCACTGTGGCCTCGTAAGGGCAGACTCTTATGGCTCTAAGAAAATCCAGGTATTTGCCTTGCACACAGTAGGTACAGCATAAGCTCACTGTTGAGGGTAATGATTGCCTTGTAACCTCTAGCTGTTTCCTCAGTCTTTTTAATTTCCACAAACCACAAATGCTTTTTCTGCCATGGACTTGGCTGCTTAACGGTTTCAATCCTTTGAAAAGGAAAATGACTCCTTTATTTTTTACTTACTGTGTTTGGGGAGTCCTTTGATGTTCCAAAGGCCTTTCAAGACTGCCTCCTTAGAAATAGGAGCTTGGCTTTTGCCACAGGGAAGTGAACTTGAACCCCAAAGGTTGAGCTGGGACCCCGGAGTCCCAGGCAGGCGTGTTCCTCACAGGCCCCAGGCCTGACCCCAACCTGGAGCTGGGAGAAAATGCTATTTGCAAACTCTTCATCCTTCTCAAAGCTGTCATTTTCGTCAGCCCCACTGGGCATTTTGACAAATGCCTTTGCTAATTACTTAATTATTTTGGCCTGCACAAGTGTGGGAGCTGTTTTCTTAAAGAAAAGAGGGCTTAGCCAGTCCATTCTTATCCATGCAAGGCCTGAAAGTAGCCCATTTCAATCCTATTAAAGTGTTTGGGTAACTAAGAACCCCCACCCGTCAAATTAACTCAAATACATTATGATGCAAGAACCCAGAGGCACAAAGCCCCCCTTCCCCAAAGCCAGGCTAAAACTAGCACTTGTTTTCTTACACCACCGGCTTGTTTCTTCTAGCTCAAGCCTCTTTTGCATAGGAAAGAAACCTGTGCTTATCTGCAGACTTTCAATTAAAGAAACAATTAGGCTAAATGGTAAATGCTTAAATGAGTCTCTCCTGGAATTAGCCAGGAGTGTGAGTCTGCCACCCAGTCATCAACACAGTGGGGTGCTCGGGCAGCCGGAAAGCCCTGCAGATTCCGCCCTGGAAGGGGGTTGAACTGGCCCTGCTGGGCCCGGCCTGCCCTGACAATCTTAGTCTTGCTAATACTCTCTCTGCGCATCCTCTCCCTCAAGTGCTACCAAGCAGCACTTAGCACCTGGTCGTGGGCCGGATTGTGTCTTCGTTGAGCACTGGAGAAAAGGCTGTTGACTAGTTCATTGGCTCAGAATACACGGAGGCCACAACAATCTCAGAATCAGCCCCAAAATGCATTGCACTTGGAGGCCTGAATCATCCAAAGTGGTTGTCCACCCTGATCAGATACACAGCCAATGGCCACAGCCAGAGGCTGGCCTGGTGCCTGGCACATGGTAGATAGATGCCCCATAACTGGGTATGGAATAAAGCTGGGGTATGCCTATCCTGCTGGGGTATCCAGCCTGCAGGAGGAATCTCAGGGCACAGTGGAGTCTTGGTGAATCAGTGGAGGGGGCTGGGGGCTCACAGAGGGCTCCAATTAGGGTTGACCCAGGTATTTGTTTGCACAGCTGGGACCAGAGAAACTGAGCTGACCCAGGTCTTTCTCATGAAAATTCAATGAGGGCAAAGCTGCCCCTGAAAATACCAACATTTTGCATTGTTAAGAATCAAGTCATAAACGCTTCAACTAGCTTTAGATGAAGCGATCTTAGAGATACATGCCTTTCTTTACCCACAAGAAAATTGAGGTGTGGAGAAGATGAGTGATTTGTCTAAAGTCACACAGCCAGTTGGAAAACATGAGAAGTGCCTATTTGCTGTAGAGGCTGAAAAGGTAAAATTCCTAGGGAAAAATTTAACAAGAAGAAAACTCTATTTTTTTGGAGACAAGATCTTACTCTGTTGCCCAAGCTGGAGTGCAGTGGCATGATCACAGCTCACTGCAGCCTCCACCTCCCTGGGCTCGGGTGATCCTCCCACCTCAGTTTCCAGAGTAGCTGGAACTACAAGCACAAGCCACCACACTCAGCTACTTTTGTATTTTTTTAGAGACAGGGTTCACCATGCTGCCAAAGCTGGTCTAGAACTCCTAGGCAATCCTCCCACCTTGGCCTCAAAAGGATTGCAAAGTGCTGGAATTCCAGACATAAGCCACTGTGCCCGACGGAAAACTCTCAGGTTCGAATGGGGTTCATAAAAGAAAACAGGAGTAAATGTGAAAACATGCCCTGCTTTTGTATTAATTCTCCCTAATTTAATCTATAGCTCAATGCATTTCCAATTAAAATGTCAAGAAAATGGGGTAAAGGGGCTTGATAAAATGATATTTATTTATTTATTTTATTTTTAAATTTTTTTGAGATGGAGTCTCACTCTGTTGCCCAGGCTGGAGTGTACTGGCACCATCTCGGCTGAGACCTCCGCCTCCCGGGTTCCAGTGATTCTTCTGCCCCAGCCTCCCGAGTAGCTGGGATTACAGGCACCCGCAATCATGCCCGGCTAATTTTTGTATTTTTGTAGAGATGGGGTTTTGCCATGTTGGCCAGGCTGGTCCTGAACTCCTGACCTCAGGTGATCCACCTGCCTCAGCCTCCCAAAGTCCTGGGATTACAGGCATGAGCCACTGTGCCCGGCTATTTAAATTTATCGGAAAAAATAAACGTGAAAATGACTAGAAAAGGTCCAAAGAAGGATAATCGGTCACACGCGGTGGCTCACGCCTGTAATCCCAGCACTTTGGGAGGCCAAGGCAGTCGGATCACTTGAGGTCAGGAGTTCCAGACCAGCCTGGCCAACATGGCGAAACCCTGTCTCTACTAAAATACAAAAATTAGCTGGGCGTGGCAGCAAGTGCCTGTAGTCCCAGTTACTTAGGAGGCTGAGGCAGGAGAATCACTTGATCCCGGTAGGTGGAGGTTGCAGTGAGCCAGGATCATGCCACTGCACTCCAGCCTGGGTAACAGAGCAAGACTTCGTCTCAAAAAAAAAAAAAAAAAGGATAATCAGGGAGGACTACTCCAACTAGATATTAAAATACATTATGAGAGCCAGATGTAGTGGCTCATGCCTATAGTCCCAGCACTTTGCAATCCTTTCAAGGCCTCAGGAGGCTGAGGCAGGAGGATTGCTTGAGCCCAGGAATTTGAGTCCAGCCTGGGCAACATAGCAAGACTCTGTTTCCAAAAAAAAAAAATTAAGAAACAACAATAATTTTAAAGGTTTATGATGGAGAAAAAATAGTATAACAAAATTGGAGGGGACCAGAAATAGGGTGAAATACATGCAGAAATTTAGTTTATGGGGAAAGTGGCATTTAGTGAGGAAAAGAGAGATCACTCAATAAATCATTTGGGGACCACTGAAAATCAGTTAGAAAAAATAATGAAGTTAGTTAGACCCCCATTTCAACCCTTAACACCAAAATTAATTTTGGTTAGATAAAAGATTTAAACTTTAAAAAAATCAAACCACAAAACGTCTTGAAGCAAACATGTAAAATGTATCACATAAGAGTGGAAAAGAACTTTCTTTTTGTTTATTTGATTTTTGTTTTTTAGACGGAGTCTCGCTCTGTCACCCAGGCTGGAGTGCAGTGACACAATCTCAGCTCACTGCAAGCTCCGCCTCCCGGGTTCACACCATTCTCCTGACTCAGCCTCCTGAGTAGCTGGGACTACAGGTGCCCGCCACCACGCCCGGCTATTTTTTTGTGTTTTTAGGAGAGACGGGGTTTCTCCATGTTGTTCAGGCTGGTCTCGAACTCCTGACCTCAGGTGATCCGCCCACCTTGGCCTCCCAAAATGCTGGGATTACAAGTGTGAGCCACTGCACCTGGCCAAGAGTGGAAAAGAACTTTCTAAGTAGATCACAGAACCTTGAAGCCAAAGAAACGACTGATAAATTTGACTAGATAATACACAGCCAAAAGAAATTCTATGAACAAAATAAGATAACATTGGAGATAATTGTTTGTGATCTTTGACTGATAAAAGTTTCATTTCCTGTTTCACAAAGAGCTCACACCAATCAGCAAGATCTATATGTACAGCTCAATAGAAGAATAAGCAAAGGGTATGAACAGGCAGTTCACAGAACAAAAGAACCAGGGTAACCAGGCAGAACTTACAATGGTCCTGCTTCAGCTCATTAAGCAATCTTTCCTATGACTTATTTTCATCAGAAAATCCATCAGTGGAATTTTTAGTTGTACATTTGCTTAGAATCGTCATTGTTATTTTTGTTCTCCCTGAGCCAGCTCTTCAATGGGCAGAGTCCCAGGCATAGCTAGCAAAGCCAGGAAAACGCAAGGGCCACTTCACACTGCTTGCCAGCCAAGTAATTCACTGCCAGCCCTCCTTGGTGTCTCCAGATGTGCAGGTCACCAAGCCTTTTAAATTCCATGCTGGGGTGGAGAAGGAGAAAGCCATTGGGCAGGTATGGGGCTGCCCTCCAGCATTTGAGAAAGGGAACCAAACCCACGCCATCTTAATGTCACCAAACACTCATTCGTGCCACCTCCTGGTAATACCTTAACCCTCTTGGCTTCCATAAACATGGAACCCACTGTTAATGCTCACTCACCATGGAGTTGGGCTTCCTGCAAATCCAACTACACATGTATATATATATATATATATTTTTTTTTTTTTTTTTGAAGTAGGGTCTTTCTCTGTTGCTCAACTGTTGCTCAAGCTGGAGTACAGTGGTACAACCTCGGCTAACTACAGCCTCGACCTTCTGGGCTCAAGCGATCCTCCCACCTCAGCCTCCAGAGTAGCTGGGATCACAGATGCCCACCACCGTGCCTGGCTAATTTTTGTATTTTTTGTAGAGATGGGGCCCCACTATGTTGCCCAGGCTGGTCTCGAACTCCTGGACTCAAGCCATCTGCCCACCTTGGCCCCCCAGAGTGCTTGATTACAGGTGTGAGCCACCGTGCCCAGCCTCCTCCAACTACCTATAATGCAGAGAACCCAGAGTGCAGGCAAAAAAAAAAAAAAAGCCTCTTAAACAGATGTCACTCTTTACCCCATAAGACTGACTCTCCTTGAACGCTCTTCAGTTCTGGGTTTATGTACATTTCCATTGAGACATGCTCTGCGAATTTCTCAGAGTGCAGCATATGAAGACTGCAGACAGGGGTCTGCCATGCTAACAGACCCATACCAGAAAGGCTGATCCAAGGCCCACTGAGCGAAGTGCAGTACTGAGGTGATGCCTCAGGGACAGACTGAAAGAAGGGCCATGCATAGTTCTGCTGTGTTTAAGAAAAGGCAGCATGTCACCCATTTGAAAAATAAAATGGGCCAGATGCGGTGGCTCACACCTGTAATCCCAGTACTTCGGGAGGCCAAGGCAGGTGGATCACCTGAGGTCAGGAGTTTGAGACCAGCCTGGCCAACATGGCAAAACCCCAGCTCTACTAAAAATACAAAAATTAGCCAGGCATGGTGGCACGTACCTGTAATCCCAGCTACTAGCGGGAGCTGAGGCAGGAGGATTGCTTGAACCTGGGAGGCGGAGGGTGCAGTGAGCGGAGATTAAGCCACTGCCCTCCAGCATGGGCAACAGAGCGAGACTCTGTCTCAAAAAAAAAGAAAAAAAGAAAAGAAAAGAAAAAGAAAAAGAAAATGGGCTGGGTGTGGTGGCTCACGCCTGTAATCCCAGCACTTTGGGAGGCTGAGGCGGGAGGATCACCTGAGGTCAGGAGTTAGAAACCAGCCTGACCAACATGGCGAAATCCCGTTTCTACTAAAAATACAAAATTAGCTGGGCGTGGTGCCATATGCCTGTAATCTCAGCAACTTGGGATGCTGAGGCACGAGAATCACTTGAACCCAGGAGGTGGAGGTTGCAGTGAGCCAAGATCACACCATTGCAACAAGAGCAAAACTTGTTTGCAATGGTGTTTGGGCAACAAGAGCAAAACTCTGTCTCAAAAAAAAAAAAAGAAAAAAAGAAAAGAAAAAGAAAATAAATTTCATCCTAGAAAGAATCAGCTTCAATGACTACCTTAAAATCACCTACTGTGGAATATCAATAAATGAGGTATTGATGAAGTTTGAGGTCAGTCATTCCCCTACTTATTTTCATTCTCTTTAAGCACAGACCATGCCACAGGAACAAGAACAGTGTGGACTCTGATACAATACACAGCACTGATCCGCACATAAACTCATGATTGCTGTTGCCCTATGTGATTGGCATCAACAGGAAACATAAAGGACTAAGTCTCTATTCTTTTACTGTTTTCCTGTTGCAAATTTACCAGACTTTCCGTTTCTTCATTTACACACTGGGAATAAAAATACTCACTAGTAATATTTCGTTGCAGGCGTTAACCGAGGCATGTCAGAGGCCCAAACAGCACCTGGCACATAGCAGGCAGGCAATAAATAGAACTTTGTTGTTGTGGTGGTGGTTATTGTTGTATTTCCATCATGTTAATATCCCAATTTCCAGATTAGAATCTCAGAATCAATCACCATTTTTTCTTATAACATTAAAGCTCTCTCTCTCACATATACACACGTACACACACACACACACACACACCCCTTATACATCTTAAAACACAAAAATTCAGGATCTTGGGATTAATTCTTTATTACTTTTTCAATTCCCACAATAATAACAATAGCTAACACTTTTCTAGAGCTCTCTGCACGCCAGGCACTGGTCTAATTGTTACCAGAAAGGAGTCTCGATCCAGACCCAAGGGAGCGTTCTCAAATCTTGCCCAGGGAAGAATTCGGGGCAAGTCCATAGAGTAAAGTAAAAGCAAGTTTATTCAGAAAGTAAAGAAACAACAGAATGACTATATCATAAACGAGTACCACTGAGGGCTGCCAGCTATTTCTATGTGTATTTCTTGATTATATGCTAAACAAGGGGTGGATTATCCATGAGTTTTATGAGAAAAGGGCAGGGATTTCCCCAGGAACTGAGAGTTTCTCCCCGTTTAGACCATATTGGGTGACTTTCACTACAAATTGCCATGCATTTGTAAACTGTCATGGCACTGGTGGGAGTATCTTTTAGCATGCTAATGTGTTATAATTCACGTGTAATGAGCAGTGAGGACGACCAGAGGTCACCATCTCGGTTTTGGTGTGTTTGGCCAGTTTCTTTACTGCATCCTATCTTATCAGCAGGGTCTTTACGACCCATAACTTGTGATACCAGTCTTGCTGACCTCCTGTCTCATCCTGTGACTAAGAATGACTGACCTCCTGGGAATGGAGCCCAGCAGGTCTCATCTTATCTTACCTAGCCCCTATTCAAGATGGAGTCACTCTGGCCTCTGACATAATGATTTTACATGAGTTAACTCATTTAATTCTCACAGCAGCCCTATGAGGGAAATATTTGTATTATCTCCCATTTTACAGATGAGAAGATTGAACACAGGGAAATTAATCACATTAACAAGATCTTATAAGTAGCAGGCCTGAAAAGCATTGCTTTGTGGAAAAAAGCAAGATAATTAAGAGTGTGTTGTGGCTGGGCACAGCGGCTCATGCCTGTAATCCCAGTAATTTGGGGGGCTGAGGCAGGCAGATCACTTGAGGTCAGGAGTCCAAGACCAGCCTGGCCAATGTGGCGAAACCCCATCTCTACTAAAAATACAAAAATTAGCTGGGCATGTTGATGTGCACCTGTGATCCCAGTTACTTGGGGGGCTGAGGCAGGAGAATCGCTTAAATGCAGGGGGTGGAAGTTGCAATGAGCCAAGATCGTGCCATTGCACTCTAGCCTGGGTGACAGAGCGAGACTCCATTTCAAAAGAAAAGAGTGTGTTGTGTTGTATAGACTGCCCAAATGTAAATACACACATATACATACATACATATTTATACATATGTGTATTTTTACATATAGAGAGAACATGGGAACTAGGGTTCAAAGGGAAACTTGGTTTTCACTTCTGAACCTTTGGAATTTTTCATGCACATTTTACTTATTTAAAAATTAATTAGGCCAGGCGTGGTGGCTCACACCTGTAATCCCAGCACTTTGGGAGGCCGAGGCAGGCGGATCACTTGAGGTCAGCAGTTTGAGACCAGCCTGACCAACATAGTGAAACCCTGCCTCTACTAAAATACAAAAATTAGCTGGGCATGGTGGCACATGCCTGTAATCCCAGCTACTCGGGAGGCTGAGGCAGGAGAATCGCTTGAACCTGGGAGGCAGAGGTTGCAGTGAGCTGAGATCACAACACTGTACTCCAGGCTGAGTGACAGAGCTAGACTCCGTCTCAAAAAAAAAAATTAATTAATAATTGAAGAGTTCTCCAGCTCAAGCTGGGTCACTCCTCTCTGGAGTCCCCTGCCCCTCAAAGCAGGCTCAGACCTGTTTCTGCACACATAGGCCAGCTATCTGGGCCGGGGCGCCAGCCCCAGGTTACAGGCAGGCTGGTGACTTGGAAATGGAGTTCATGTCCAGAAACCTTGTGGAGAGTGGGGAGGAAGTCATATGTTCTTGGTGCCACCCCCATCCCCTCAACTCAGCTTTTTTATCTGCACCAGGCTTGGAAGTAGAATGTCTGCACCCCCAACACACACACACACACCAGCACAAAGAAGACCCCCTCCTCTCTCCACCTGATTTCCATTGCCTGCCCTTCTTTTCAGGCCAGACAAAGCCTTGCATTCCCAATTAGCCACCAAGGGTTTAAAATGCAAATTTCTGGAGGAGTTCACAACCTGTGTGAAAGTTTCCATGTAGGTGTTAATTATTTCCACCTCCTCCTTCCTGGGCTGGGCAGGGTGAGAGGAAGCAAGCCTGGTGGGACTGCTGGCCAGAGGTGAGTGCCCCGGGTGGAAGGGAGGGCGCCTCCCTAATCCTCTCCCATTCCAGTTCCCTACTCGCTCTGGACAGGACGTGCCATGGCCCCTGAAGCTCCCTTCCCTGTCACTATCTCCATCTCAAACATGTCTCCCGGCAAGAAAGCTGGACAGGGACACAGAGGAGACAGAAAAATAACCTCCTGGCATCTCTTGCTTCAAATCCTGATCCCTCCTGGAGGAGGTGCAGACCCTGAAAGGAAGATCCAGGGGTCCTGAGAGAGGGTCCACCTAGTAGACGAGTCTTGTTCCCTGTGGCCCCAGAACAGGAAAAGAGTAGAAGCCACTAGGAATGGGAAGGAATGTGCTTAGTAAGTACCCAGCACACAATAAATCCGTAAGTGATACCTAATATCTGTATTTTTGGCTGAAAAATTGCAAGAGCAACACGTTTGTTGCAAATGTTCAAACATTATGGAAGAGTATGAAAAGTAAAACTCCACCCTGCCCCCAGAGTTTAGGTTCTTCCAGAACTTACTTTTTTTTTTTTTTTTTTAAATTGAGACAGGAGTCTTGCTCTATCACCCAGGCTAGAGGCAGTGGCACGATCTCGGCTCACTGCAACCTCCGCCTCCCGGGTTCAAGTGATTCTCCAGCCTCAGCCTCCCAAGTAGCTGGGACTACAGGCATGCATCACCACGCCCAGCTAATTTATGTATTTTTTTTTTAGTAGAGATGGGGGTTCACCATGTTGGCCAGCCTGGCCTCGAACTCCTGACATCAGGTAATCCACGCGCCTTGGCCTCCCAAAGTGCTGGGATTACAGGTGTGAGCCACCGCGCCTGGCCCAGAACTTTTTATATATACAAATACACACACATAGGGTTGTTTACAATAATGCAACTGCAGTACATGCTTTGCCCCATAGCTCCTTTGCTCTTTTCCCCCACTCAGTAATATATATTGTGGATATCTTTTTATATCAGTACATTTGATACCCATGGTTAATATCAGTAGTTTAAGTAGATACCTTATAAAAAGCTGTTTTAGGTGACTCGGCCTGTAATCCCAGCAGTTTGGGAGGCCAAGGCAGGTGGATCACCTGAGGTCAGGTGTTTGAGGCCAGGCCGGCCAACATGGTGAAACCTTGTCTCTACTAAAAATATAAAAAATTAGCCAGGTGTGGTGGCATACGCCTGTAATCCCAGCTACTTGGGAGGCTGAGGCAGGAGAATCGCTTGAACCTGGGAGGCGGAGGTTGAAGTGAGCTGAGATCGTGCCATTGCACTCCAGCCTGGGCAACAGAGTAAGACTGTCTCAAAAAAAAAAAAAAAAAAGTTGTTATAATTCTTTTTTTCTGATTCTAAAAGTAGTGCATATTTAAGGTAGAAAAACTTGGAAAACATACATAAGTATAAAGAAAAAAAACACAAAGCACCCACAATTCCAGCCCTTTGAAGTACCTGTTGTTTCCCATTTGGTCTGTTTCCTGGAAGAATAACTTGGTATAAAAAGGCCCTGAGAGGCAGGAAGTTCCCACAGTCATGGTAATGATAGCCATTATTAAGTGAGCACTAATCTGGAGCTTGGTGCTGGTGCATCCATGACCTTCAGTCTTAACTGCAACCTTGCAATGAAGCATGGACTGGGAGGCAGGTGCAGAGCCTCTGGGATTCATCCATCCCTGACACTACAGCACTGATGGTTCCCACTTCCTGAGGACCCTGCTTGCAAGACAGGTCACTGCCCTGACTATTCTCCCAACCCTTTTGCTGATGTTCTGCTCCTCCCCAGAACATTTCAAAAATTCTTCAACAGCTTGATATTTGAAGTCCTATTGACTGTCCCATCTCCCTCCTTCACCTCCCCAGCCCACTGGACTGTAAGCTCCATGAGATCAGGGGCCGTATCCAGTGTGCCTGTGCTGTGCCAACCCCTTAACAGCCTTCAGTAAATGCTTGTCGAATAAATGTATCCACCAAGCCACAAGCTGGTCTGCATACGCTCCCACCTCACAGCGCCTTTTTTCATCGTCACATTGTGTCTGTGGACACTGTGTTTAGGGAGTGCTTCAAAGCTCATCTCCAAGCCTTTCCTGGCAGGCTCACCTCCCTCTACTGAAACCAGCCCTCATCTCTTTACATTTTGATTGTCTCAACCATTCACCAGATGATCTGCTGTTCACAGTCTCATCCACAACATTTACTTTATTTATTTATTTGTTTGTTTTTATAAAACTGACCCAAGGGAGACTGCTTTGGTTGGTTGTATTGCTTTAGTATCAAATTAGAAGTTAGGAGGTTCCCTGTGATCTGGGGCTGCCACATTTTCTCTAGATCTTAGTTCCCTCTTCTGTAAGTGAAGGGATTGCACTACAGTCACTCTGTGTTTTTTTTTTTTTTTTCCCAAGTGCCAAGTTTTATGATTCTGGGACTTTGATGTGTGAAAGGAAAATAAATCTTGGGACCCCCAAATCACTAAGCAAAAGGGGAAAGTCAAGCTGGGAACTGGTTAAGGCAAACTTGCCTCCCATTCTATTCAAAGTCATCCCTGGGAGGCTCACCTGAGATAATGCATATATAATTGCTTCCTCTCCCCTATTGCTTATGTAAAAATGCAGATTCACTGAGGCAGACTCAATTGTATATTCAGTGGAAGGCTGATCAAAGACGTAAAAGAATGTAACCTTTTGTCTCTAATCTACTTCTAACCTTGAAGCCCCCACTTCAAGTTGTCCCACCTTACTGGAGGACAGAACTAGTGTACATTTTACACGTTGAGGCTGTGTCATGGGCGTGTCCTTAACCTTGCCAAAATAAACTTTTAAATTGACTGAGACCTGTCTCAGATATTTGAGGTTCACAGATGTCTACTTCTATTCATTCCTGTAAACTTTCACTTTGATAAGAAGCCTCACTTCCTGAAAAAAATTTCATAAACCTGAATTCCGGGCTTCAATTTTTAAACTATGAAATTAGAAAATACAAGTAGTCTTCATTTAATTAGAGCTGATTTTCAAGAATAATTCCTGAGTTTGCCAATTATTCTTTCTTGTTCCGGGTTGCAGTTGGAATTTATAGACAGGGTGCTACTTCTAAATGACAGTAAGAGCTGGTGGTGCCTCCCTCTTCCATCACTTTTCTCCAAAAAGTTCTGGTGTCTGGTGCAAGAGGAAATGGCCCTAGTGCTGATGCTAAGGCTACTATGGTTATCAAAATAGTTGACATCTTTGAGATTCCTAAAGCTCTTAGAGGTCCAATTTCTACAGCTTTTTTTATTTCTTTTCCTCCCACTCATCACCCACAATTCCAATTATACGAAGCCTAATGTTCCTTTCCATTGAAGGCCTTGCCTCTCATCTTCTCCCAACTAGGGCAGTCCCTTAAACTTTTCTATGAAACTCCAGTGTGTTTAATTTCGGTTCCTATGTGTTCTATTTCTGGAAGTTCTATTTGGTTCTTTTCCATATCTGCTAGATTTTTTAGAGCCTATTTTTCCTTCAAATATGTTCAAGTTTGTAATTTACATAATAAAAAGCTTATTTACAATATGTCCCTGATAATTCCACTTCCAGAAGTAGGTGTGGGTTTGTTTCTGTTATCTGTTGTTTCTCTTGATTTTTACTCCTGTTACATTCCTTGTGTTGGCCACAATCTTAAGGCATAAAAATGCTTTCAAATGACACACAGAAACAAAATTCTCCAGTCATTTCTAAGACCCAGTAGTTTGCAGTCATCTTGAAACAAGAAAGAGAGATATGTTTTGGAAATACGTATGTAAGGATCATCGTCAAGACCTATTGGAGTTCAATCTACTAAACTTTTGATCTCATCTCTTTGTAGAGCTGGCTTCTGCTCCTCATGCTTAACTGAGGCAGAAGAATAGGGTCTGGAGGCAGGGAACATAAGGCTGATTCATGCTGACTTCCTAGAACTAAATCAAATAGAAACATATATCCTCTCCATTTACATAGGGCATACACTGAGTAAATGACTTTGTAACTTTATTTCATCCTCTTCACTTACATAGGGCTTACACCAAGTAACCAGTGGAAACCTCTAGAGGGTATTTAATCCCCAGAAAATTCTGTAACAGGGCTCTTGAGCCCCTATGCTCAGGCCCACTCCCATACTGTGGAGTTTACTTTCATTTTCAATAAATCTCTGCTTTTGTTGCTTTGTTCTTTCCTTGCTTTGTGTGTTTTGTCCAATTCTTTGTTCAAGACACCAAGAACCTGGACACCCTCCACAGGTAACCATAATTCACATAACCATAACTCATCCCTTGCCCTCAGGCTTACATAGTTGTATGTGATGTTTGCAAAGGTTGTCACATCTATTACTACTGCAATTCTCCCTGCAGTCCTATGAGATAGACAGAACTGGAGGTTTTTATCCCCATTTTCCAGACAAGGAAATAGTTATAATGGGTCAAGTGTCTTGCTCAAAGTCAGAGGGATAAAGGATGGGGAGGGAGATACCAGCTCCCTGTGCCTGCACCTCTGCTTCCATGCAGCCTCTCTTGATGGGCAGTTAGAATCCACTAGTGCCCATGATTACAGGCAGCTGACTTCCCAAACCGCTGTAGTATTTCTGAGCAAGAGGCAGTTTTTCTCAACAACTGTGTTGGAAAACATGAGATTACAAGAATGAGCCACTCCTTGCTTGGTCAATTGAACTGTCTAGAAGATGACAGCTCCTCCTGCCAGGCCGTCAACACTTTCAGTGAGGCCAGGGTTCTCAGGCACAGGCAGCCAGAAGCTCCTGTGATTTGTGTCGTGTCCCCCATGTGAGAGGAGGAGAATCATCCAGGAGAGATGGTGGGAGGAGGAACAGACCTCATTAACAGGAGCTGTTGGCTTCAGACCTACTGGGGCCAAAAGCCCCTAGAGAAATGTTGCACCTACTTGCAGAAATCTTTACAGCAGGAAGCCAGAGAGACAGACCACTGAGGCGGGGTCCTAGAAATGCCTGCAATAGCCTGAAAGTTGACATGTTTGAACCCTTCCCTGGAAGGCAGGAGATAGGGGACAGTAAACATCATTTTCAAAGCTTTCCTGGCCTCTCTATAAGGTTGGTGGCTGCTGGAATATAAAGAATGAAAGATAAAATGGGCCAGGCATTTTTTTCACTGAAGAAATCTGATAGGGATATAAGAGAAAGGTACTCTTCCTAGAGCTGCAAGAAGCTCTTGAATCCCACGAAAGGGTGTCTGATGCCAAATACAGACAGAACTGGTTCACATGTCAGTGCTTCATTGACTGGCTGGGTGACCTTGGGCAAATTGTTTCAGTTCTTTGAGTTTCAGTTTCTCCATTAGCAAAATGAGGATAATAACCATAACACCCACGTTGTGGTGAAGGTTTAGAGAGAACGAAATGACCTAAAATCCATTCAGTGTATGACAGCTAATAGTGCTACCTGTCATTTTATAGAAAGAGGAACTGAAATCCAGACAGTCAATATAAGGTGCCCAAGGCCATCCAGGAAGGACTGGCTGATGAGCAGTCAGGAGATAATGTGGATTTTCTTGTTTTAATTTCTCAGGGATTCAGTTTCCTCATCTATAAAATGGGAATAATATATATTCTCGATACCTTATCTGAAACACTTGGAGCCAGGTTTTCAAATTCTAGAAGGAACAGTCTGAATACCATACCTCTAGCAGGGTTTAGGGCAGTACCCAGTAATCAAACACATTACCATTTCTGCAGCAAAATGTCAGAGTATTTATATTAGGCGGGAAAAATAAAGACTATATATAGCTTCATGTTGGTTCAGGTTAGATTTCGCTACAAGAAGAATTTGGGTTTTTAGAGCTTTGGAATTTCAGATTGTGGACCTGTGATACCTACTTCAAGTTGTTTGGAGGATTCTACACCAAGTGACCAGTATGGCGGGGAGTGGGACTCATGTTAAAGTTTACTATTATTATCAGCTAGTCTAGTGATTTGACACAGGGCTAAAAGCTGCTAAGTCACCAAGACTATCTAGGCAGGATGCTACATCTCAGAAAGCCTCAAGAGGATGTCTACTGTATGTACTTTGAGTATACCACGCCCTTCCTGCAGGGCTGGGGAAGAGATGAGAAGGGACAATTTTCTGTGAAGACGTCCCATACTATCAGGCTGAACCATGAGCACTTGAAGCGCTCCCCTAAAGTACCACTGGGGTCCTATTGGGCAGGTCCTGGTTCTGGAGCCTCTGGAAACTGGGCTGAAGGTCATTTCAATTGGGGAACAAGAAGATGATGCTCTAAACCAGGGGTTGGCGCCTCAGAGACCTGGAAAGTAATATAAAGGAACAAAGGGGCCCAGATGTGGCCTATGGCAAGTGGAAAAACACCTGCCCATCCCAAAGGGCAGATGACACCAACTTAAAGTTGTTGGTTGCCATATAATAATTTAAGCCTTGTACTGACTAATATTTTGATTTTTAAAGAGACGTTAACATCTGAAATACGTGAAATGTCCTGACTTTTACCTATTGGCTACTCATATTTTTAAATGCTGTGCAAACCCAACAAAACACATCTGTAGACCTCCGATCTAAATAATTGTAGTGAGTGTAATTTAATTGAAAGCTTACTACGTGTCCGGCAGTGCCCTACAAGTGCTACATGTGTTACATTTAGTGGTACAACAACCCTATGAAGGAGGAACTGTTATTGGTGTTTTACAAAGCAGGAAAACTGAAACTCAGATGACATTAGATATAAAATGGTTACTGTCCTACAGGTCAGTAAAACTGATCTTTGCACTCTCATTTCTACAAATAGAAATAATTTACATCTCTACTAGAAACATCCACAAGCAACTTGTCGATCTTCTACAAGTGAATGCCCAACGTTACAGAGTCTGAACGTTAAGCAATAATGTCTTAGCTCAGGCTGCCGCAACAAAGTACCAAGACTAGGTGGTTTAAAATATATAAATTAACTTGTTCACAGTTGTAGAGGCTTGACATCCAAGATCCAGGTTCTGGCTGGTTTGGCTTCTGGTGAGAGCCCTCTTTGTGGCTTGCAGAGGGCCACCTTCTCACAGTGTCCTCACCTGGCCTTTCTTCAGTGTGTTCAAGCTGGTGTCTCTTATAAGGACACTAATCCTATCACATCAGAGTCTCACTCTTATGACCTCATCTAATCTTAATTGCTTTCTTAGACACCCCATCTCTAAATACAGCCACACTGGGGGTTAAGGCTTCAATATACAAATTTGAGGAGGGACACAAACATTCAGTTCATATAAATAGTAAAGAGTAAGTGAAGCAAAATAATAATTCCAAGAGCACAAGATGATCTCTAAGTGAGCTTCTTGGACAGTTCTCTAGTATGTCATTGAAACAAGGACACACAACAATGTCTTTGCTTTATTTCCAAATTTTGGATAATTTTTCTGAATAAGTACTTGGAAAGCAAATTTTATTAAGCTATCACTTGACAACTCAGGAAAGCTGAAAGCCTGTCTTGTTCACATGAAAATAAGCTCAGCAGTGACAATTGTCAAAGAAACACCAGCAAAACTTTTCCACTGATTTTCCTTTAAAAAATATTTTTCATATCAGTGATAAAACATTTTTGCCGTTATAGGCCAGGCACGGTGGCTCACGGCTATAATCCCAGGACTTTGGGAGGCTGAGGCAGGTGGATCACGAGGTCAGGAGATGAAGACCATCCTGGCTAACATGATTAAATGCCATCTCTACTAAAAATACAAAAAATTAGCTGGGCGTGGTGGCATGCACCTGTAGTCCCAGCTACTCAGGAGGCTAAGGCAGGAGAATCGCTTGAACTCGGGAGGCTAAGGCAGGTGGAGGTTGCAGTGAGCCAAGATAGTGCCGCTGCACTCCAGCCTGGGCGACAGAGTGAGACTCCATATCAAAAAAAAAAATTGTCACTATAATAGGACGACAAATGATTTTCAGTTTCAGGGGACTGAAGAATCTAGTCTTCCCCTAAGATCCCAGGATAGGTTCACAAAGTGTGACTATCTGAAATTGAAGGAAGGAGAGTGACAAACGTAGATGAGATAGGCTGGGCGCGGTGGCTCATGCCTGTAATCCCAGCACTTTGGGAGGCTGAGGCAGGCAGATCATGAGGTCAGGAGATCGAGACCATCCTGGTTAACACGGTGAAACCCTGTCTCTACTAAAAATATAAAAAATTAGCTGGGCATGGTGGCAGGTGCCTGTAGTCCCAGCTACTCGGGAGGCTGAGGCAGGAGAATGGCGGGGAGGCGGAGCTTGCAGTGAGTGAGGCAAGATCAGGCCACTGCACTCCAGCCTGGGCAACAGAATGAAACTCCGTCTCAAAAAAAAAAAAATGTAGATGAGATAATCTATCCCTCCCTCACCCCGTCAAGACTGTGAGCTCAATAAGGACAGGAACTGTCCTCACTGATTTCCAATCAGTGAGCCATTTCCATATTCACTAACTGAACTCCTACATGGTGGAAGCTCAATAAATGTTTGATAGAGGGATGGAAGAAGGGAGGGATAGATGAAGGGAGAGATGGATAAATGGATGGATGAATGGATGGTAATTAATTGAATGAGTGCTTAGGGTGGCTCTTGACTCAGTTTTCCTCTGCTATAAGGACACAGTAGGAACATTTTCTGGGTTTGCCAAGCATAGCTTGGACAGTTTGGGGAATTTGGATTCAGTTATTGTCCTCATAATTTTCATGAATTTAGCTTCTCTTTCAGTGGTTACATTTTCATTGGTGTTCCCTTTTTATAACTTTTTTTTTTTTTTTTAGAGGCATCATCTTGCTATATTGCCCAGTCTGGACTCAAACTCCTGGGCTAAAGAGATCCTCCCATCTCAGCCTCCCAAGTAGCTGGGACTACAGGCATGTGCCACTGCACCCAGCGATGCTTCCATTTTAGGCTCACTGTAGGCCTCTTGCTAAGATTTGCGCAGTCCCCTAGCATTTCTTAAGAACATATCACTGTGTCAGGCATTGTGCTATGGCCTCTTAAATATGTGATTCTATTTAATCCTCCCAATAACTCTGTGAGGTAGATGCTATTGATCCCATTTTAAAGACATGAAAATTGGTACCCACAGCTAGTAAATGGAGATCAGACTCAGGGGCTGGGTGCGGTGGCTCATGCCTGTAATCCCAGCACTTTGGGAGGCCTAGGTTGGCAGATCACTTGTGGCCAGGAGTTCAAGACCATCCTGGCCAACATAGTGAAACCCCATCTCTACTAAAAATACAAAAATTAGTTGAGCATGGTGGCATGCACTTGTAATCCCAGCTACTCGGGAGGCTGAGAGAGGAGAATCGCTCTTGAACCTGGGAGGTGGAAGTTGCAGTGAGCCAAGATTGAGCCACTGCACTCCAGCCTGGGTGACAGAGTGAGATTCTGTCTCAAAAAAAAAAAGGAAGAAAGAAAAAGAAAAAGAAATCAGACTCAAGCTTTCTTACTCTAAGTCTGATGTACTTTCTATTACTTAGCAGTTTGGGTGCTACAAATATTTCCTGAGAAGACTGCAACAGTTTTATAATTTGCATGAATTTATATTTATAAAATTATAATTATAAAATTAATAATTAACTATTATTAATTAAATGAATATTTGCTAAGCATTGAATATCATATTGCCAGGCCCTAGGGATAAAACAATGAACATGATTAACAGAGTTCCTGTCCTTATTGAGCTTACAGTCTTGATGGGTGAGGGAGGAATAGATTGTCTCATCTACTTTTGTCACTCTCCTTCCTTCAATTTCAGATAGTCACATTTTATGAACCTATCCTGGGATCTTAGGGGAATACTGTAGATTCTTCAGTCCCCTGAAACTGAAATATGGGCAATTTTGCCAAGGAAGAAAAAGGGCAGGGTCATGACCAGAGCCCCTTAGACAACTGAGGATGCAATTTCCTAGTGGCATTGGTGTCAAGTGCCTCTAGTGCTGGACTAGGCCAGGATCCTCTATGCAAGAGAAAGGGACCTCCCAGGATATTTCCTTCCTAAACACAGACTGTCTTCCTGGGATCCACTGGAATTCTTTTTGCCTCATTGAAGGGCTCATTGGCAAATACTCTTCCTTGGATTTCAAAAAAAAAATGTGCTTTTCAAATTAGAGTCCAAGAAAAATAGGATTGCCTTTAATATTCATTTTTTTCTTGCTTCATTTCTCTAGCTATACACAGAATGACAGAGAGAAGAGCAACCACATCCATATAAATTCCATAGCTGGACCAAAACCTCAGGATTGGCTATCCCTCTCTATAAACAAGGAACAAACACCCAGGGATAGTAAAAAGCCAAAAGTCAAGACTGCGTTGTTATTTCCAATTAGTGAGCCATTTCCATATTCACTAACTGAACTCCCACATGGTGGGAGCTCAACAAATGTTTGATAGATGGACGGAAGAAGGGAGGGATAGATGAAAGGAGAGATGGATAAATGGATGGATGAATGGATGGGTAATTAATTGAACAAGTGCTTAGGGTGGCTCTTGACTCAGTTTTCCTCTGCTATAGGGACAAAGTGGGAACATTTTCTGGGTTTGCCAAGCATAGCGTGGGCAGTTTGAGGAATTTGGATTCAATACCAAGAAAGTATCCAGAGGCTTGTCAATGCCCTCCAAAGGGCAGAAGGAAATTGAGCTTGTTGTAGCTGGTCTTATCACTGGGATGAACACACATGAGTGTGCCCTGACTCATGCTCATGAGTTCAGCATCCTTTGAGCTACTTTTATTCTTTATTTTGTATCCATGACACTATTTCCACAATCCTGAATAACTGGGCTTACTTGATTATATTTAGTACACATCTTCTCTGGAGGTTTTGTTGCCATATTATTGTTCTCATTAGCCTGTTGATGTCATAGAATAAAAACACTACATTCTGAAAAGGACAGTGTGTTTTATTACATGAAGGAAAGAAAGAGTCATAATTGGTTTTGATTGTTAAACACTAAGAACAGGCTCCGTCATCGCTATTTAAACTCACTGAAATGAGAAAATGATGTTCCAGCTTTGAATGAATAATCTATATTGCTTAAGTAGAGTAATTATAAAGGGATAAGTGGAGAAAAATGGAAGGAAAAATAAAGGCCATGATGCAGCAAGACTGAGGAGCCACAGCTCTGGTCCTCAACTAGCCACGTGTTCTTGAGCAAGTCAGTTGGCCCCTGAGACTCATCTCTCCGTCTGCAAAACAAGGGATCTCTTCCTACTTCAGGACATTGCTTTTCTTATCAGAACCTATTTACTAGCATTATGGGTTTTTCAAAGGAAAACTTTATTTTATTTTATTTATTTATTTTTTTAGATGGAGTCTTGCTCTGTCACCCAGGCTGGAGTGCAGTGGTGTGATCTCGGCTCACTTCAACCTCCACCTCCTGGGTTCAAGTGATTCTTCTGCCTCAGCCTCCCGAGTAGCTGGGACTACAGGTGCGTGCCACCGTGCCTGGCTAATTTTTGTATTATTAGTAGAGATGGGGTTTCACCATATTGGATAGGCTGGTCTCGAACACCTGACCTCATGATCCGCCCATCTCAGCCTCCCAAAGTGCTGGGATTACAGGTGTGAGCCACCGTGCCTGGCCAGAAAATTTTAAAAGATCCTTTTTCAGGTAAAGATTAGCCTTATTTTTCCTCTTCTTTTGACTTTGAAATGCCTTTCTTTCAGCCCCAAGCCATCTTTTCTATTTCAGTTTCTTCTATGTTGTTTTTCTTGCTGTCTCTGACTTTGTCTTTTCTTCCTCTTGACATGTTCTCCTGGGCATTCCTGCTGCTTACTGCAATGTCAATCTCAGAGAACACAGAGCTGCGAGAGTTGTGAAATCTTAGAGTCAGAATAGATAAATAACATGTCCATGGAAAAGGTACTTGAGGTATTTGCCTTTGAGGTAACTGTCATTAGCCAGGTTTCACATGGGCACTTTCTAATATTTGAGTTTTTAAAATGAAATCTTTATGAGAATGCTTTTGACCTAGCAATTTCCCCCTAGGAATGTATTTACACAACAGTACAAGGCTATAGGTTCAGAATGCCTTCTTAGCATTGCTTGGAAGAGTCAAATGCACCTAACCTACAAGCTCTGTGATGGTTAGACAAATCATGGCACAGCCAGGCAATCCATGGCCTGTCTCAGCTCTGTGACCTGTGATAGCTCACCTATTCTGAGGGTTGTTTCCAGGACATTGAGAAACTTGGACACCTTATTCAAACCCCCTTAAGGATACTAAAAACTGTAACAACTTCCTTTGTATATGGCAGAAGCATGAGCATCCTTTTTTAGGTACAATGAGACCCTCTCATCCACGGGGGAGACGTTCCAAGACCTGTGGTAGAGGCCTAAAACTATGATAGTACTGAGCCCTATATATACCATGTTTTTCCTATACATACATACCTATGATAAAGTTTAATTTATAAATTAGACATGGTGAGAGATTAACAACAATAAATAATAATGGAATAGAATAATTATAAAAATACACTGTAATAAAAGTTATGTGAATGTGGCATGACTTTCTCCCCTCTATCCCTAAATACCTTAATATTTTTGGACTGTGGTTGACCACTAGCAACTGAAACCATGGATAAGGGGTAACTACTGTATTAGTAGGTAAAGGCCCTAACGTTCAACTCATTTTTCTTTTTCCTTTGAGACGGAGTCTCGCTCTGTCACCCAGGCTGGAGTGCAGTGGCGGAATCTTGGCTCACTGCAAACTCCGCCTCCGGGTTCACGCCTCAGCCTCCCAGGTAGCTGAGATTACAGGCGCCTGCCACATGCCCGGCTAATTTTTATTTTTATTTTTATTTTTTATTTTTAGTAGAGACAGGGTTTCACCGTGTCAGCCAGGATGGTCTTGATCTCCTGACCTCGTGATCTGCCCCCCTCGGCCTCCCAAAGTGCTGGGATTACAGGCGTAAGCCACCGTGCCCGGCCCTCAACTCACTTTTCTAAGTAAGTGTTTATGCCTATAAGCTTCTCCTTGAGGTGAAAGATTTAGTGCTTCTTGATCATAAATGCAGTCTATTGTCCAGACATTTACTGAGCTGTAACCAGGAGTACTGGGTGCTGAGGCTGGAGAGATTTCCAAGATTTGAAAGGTACACAGAGACCCAAACAGGAAATTCTAGTGCAATGTGGTGCATGGTGAGAAAGAAAGAACCTCATGGGGCTATGGAAATGTTTATGGGGGTAGAAGGACACCTATTCTGGGCTGGCAGGAGACAGTTGGGGATAGGTGGCAGCCAGGAAAGTTTCCCTAGAGATGACCCAGAGCTTAGGCTAATTAGAGAGCCTCGCCTTTCTGACGCCCTTCATAGGTGGGAACTGTCCAAACTGCATCACTCTGCATCCTAGAAGTCTGCATATGACTCCTATCTCTGCCACGACTTTTCTCTTTCCACTTTTTCTCTTCAGACTCAATAGGCATTCAGCCTGTTCCACCTGGTCCCTTCCTGCTTCCCACTTTCCAAGGGCAATATGGTACAGTGGACAGGCAGTCAGCATTGATTGTGAGACTTGAGCCTCAGTTTTCACATCTGTGAGATGGCACTACTCATAGTACTTTTCTTATTAAAAAAGTATTTTTTGTGCTAACAAAAAGCTAGCGCAGATGGCATATTATGGACCAACACTATGGTCAGCTCTTTACATACAAATTATCGCTTCCTTTCATTTTCACAACAACCCAGTGAAGTAGTTCAATATTATCTCCATTTTACATACCTGGGAAATGACCACAGAATGCTCAAGCAACTTGCCAAGGGTACCAGCTGGTCATGCCCTTATTTCAACATCTTGTTTCAAGGATTAGGTAAGACAATGAGTATAAATGCTTAGCAGGGTGCTGGCACACAGCAAGCACTCCATAAATGATCATTATTGTGGTCGAGTATAAACTCTAGTGCAGAGACTCGACTGCTTTGGTCTTGTTTTATCCCTGGCACCCTGAACTATACCTGACGCATAGTAGGTGCTCAAAATATATGGGTTAATTATTCAAGAGTTCTTGCTCCTGCTTTTTTGTGTTTTTTGTTTGTTTGTTTTTGTTTTTGTTTTGTTTTGTTTTTGTTTTTTGAGACAGAGTCTCGCTCTGTCACCAGGCTGGAATGCAGTGATGCGATCTTGGCTCACTGCAATCTCTGCCTCCCGGATTCAAACCACTCTCCTGCCTCAACCTCCCAAGAAGCTGAGATTTACAGGCATGTGCCACCACACCCAGCTAATTTTTGTATTTTTAGTAGAGATGGGTTTTTACCATGTTGGCCAGGATGGTCTCAATCTCCTGACCTTGTGATCTGCCCACCTCGGCCTCCCAAAGTGCTGGGGTTACAGGCATGAGCCACCGCACCCGGCCTGCTTTTTTGTTTTATTCGATGCTTCGTTTTGTTTTTTTTCCTGCTCCAGACTAGTTTCTTCTCTCTCAGCACCTGTTGATGTGGGGTCCCTGAAACCTTAAGGACAAGACTGAGATCATATGTGCAAATCACCAATATGGTTTGGCCTTGGGTGGTTTGTCCAACTGCCTCCATTTTAGTTTTTGCCAAGATGTTTAAGAATATCCTAAGCAACGGCACCTAAGGGAAATGGTGAATTCAAAGATATTGAAGCTATTTTGAAGCCCAGTGGTGGAGAAAGGTGAGTTCTGAATTTACACTACCTAGATTCCAATCTTGGCTTTGCCACTTTCTAGCTCAAACAAGTTACTTAACTTTTCTAAGGCTCAGTTTTCTCATTCTTAAAACGCAGATAATGATAGTATCTATTGCCTGCCTTGGTGGAAGGACTAAACAGGACAACACAATTTAGATGTTCAGTGTCTGTTTCAAAGAATGGAAGCTGTGCCCGGGAAAAGCACAAATCCAGAGGCTGCTTAAGATCTCAGGTTTGTTTTTTGTTTTTGTTTTGTTTTTTTTTTGAGATGGAGTCTCGCTCTGTCGCCCAGGCTGGAGTGCACTGGTGCGATCTCAGCTCACTGTAACCTCCACCTCCCAAATTCAAGCAATTCTAGTGCCTCAGCCACCCGAGTAGCTGAGATTACAAGCGCATACTACCATACTCAGCTAATTCTTGTATTTTTAGTAGAGATAGGGTTTCACCATGTTGGCCAGGCGGGTCTCAAACTCCTGACCTGAGGTGATCTGCCCTCCTCGACCTCCCAAAGTGCTGGGATTACAGGCGTGAGCCACCGTGCCCAGCCTCAGGTTTCTTTCTTTTTTTCTTTTTTTTGAGACAGAGTCTCGCTCTCTCAGGCTGGATTGCAGTGGTGTGATCTCGGTTCACTGAAATCTCTGCCTCCTGGGTTCAAGCAATTCCCATGCCTCAGCCTCCCGAGTAGCTGGGATTATAGGTGCCCGCCACCACGCCCGGCTAATTTTTGTATTTTTAGTAGAGATGGGGTTTCACCATGTTGGCCAAGCTGGTCTCAAACTCCTGACCTCAGTTGATCTGCCTGCCTCGGCCTCCCAAAGTACTGCGATTACAGGCGCGAGCCATTGTGCCCAGCCTCAGGTTTCTTTCTGTTATGATTTTCTTCTCATTCTTTCAAAGTTGAGACTGATCAAGAGAAGTCCTCTTGCTTTCGTGGGTTTATATTTGCAGCTTTGCAAATGAAGAAAAATGCTTTTATTATCATTATCAGATATTCTTTCTGCTAATAAAAATTATTTTATTTATTTATTTATTTATTTGAGACAGGGTCTCGCTGTGTTGCCCAGGCTGGAATGCAGTGGCACAATCTCAGCTCACTGCAGCCTCTGCCTCCTGGGCTCAAGCAATTCTCCTGCCCCAGCCTTCAGAGTAGCTGAAATTACAGGCATGCGCCACCACACCCAGCTAATTTTTGTATTTTTAGTAGAGACAGGGTTTCGCCATGTTGGCCAGGATGGTCTCGAACTCCTGGCCTCAACTGATTTGTCTGGCTCAGCCTCCCGAACTGTTAGGATTACAGGTGTGAACCACCATGCCTGGCCCAGAAATTATTTTAGCTAGTGGTATGCTGGCAAATGTTTAATAGGCTCTCTGGGGAAAAAAAAAAAAAAGCCCTTATTAGGAGCATTTGCTAATTTCCATAACGTAAATACTCCTACCATGGCTGATCTCAAGCTACTGAAATGAATGTCACTGAGTGTGGATTTTTCAAAGAAATGCGAACAACCAGCTTTGAGGTGGCTCCAATGATTTTGGATGCCATTTCATACAAAGATACTCAAGATACTTTTAAAAGCATTGATTACATCCCTCAGTTCTGCTTGACTTTTTCCTTGACATTATATGAAAAATGTAATATATTATGCACAAGAGGCAGTGCTCAGGCTGCTGGAGTCACATCTTGGCTCAAACATTTACTGGCTCTGGCACCTTGGATAAGTTATTTACTATCTCGCCTTTAGTTTCTTTATGTGCTAACTGGGACTAAAGAAGAACTTATCCCATATATGTACATGGATGTTGTGTAAAGTGCTTAGCCTATGCATAATATGTACAATGCAAAAATGCATCATACATGTTAGCTATTATTAGTACTATATTAGCCCAGAGAATTCTTGCTGCCAACCCAATAATTAATAGCTTGTCAGTATCATATTTAACTCTCATAATAGCCTTGTATTGAAGACCACCCTGTCCCATGGTTGAAAAACCCAAGGTCCAGTGTCATATTGGAGTTGTTGTGGCTATTCAGTGGAACACTTATCTTTCAATACTTGGTCCTAGGTTCAGAGTAATGTCCTAATCAAGCACATTGAAGAACATGAGTTTATTACAAAATTGAGTCTATCCTAAAACTCCATTCAAGTCTTCAAAGTTCTCAGAAAAGAATCAAGGACTACATAATTAGGCTGGGCGCGGTGGCTCACACCTGTAATCCCAGCAGTATGGCAGGCTGAGGCGGGTGGATCACCTGAGGTCAGGAGTTCAAGACCAGCCTGATCAACATGGTGAAACTCCGTCTTTGCTAAAAATATAAAAAAAGTTAGCCGGGCGTGGTGGTGCATGACTGTAATCCCAGCTACTCGGGAGGCTGAGGCAGGAGAATCGCTTGAATCCGGGAGGCAGAGGTTGCGGTGAGCCAAGATCGCGCCATTGCACTCCAGCCTGGGCAACAAGAGCGAAACTCCATCTCAAAAAAAAAAAGAAGAAGAAGGACCACATAATTTGCTATGTAGCAAGGCAGAAACCAAATTGAGAGGACTAAAACTGTTTTCTAGAAACTCAGGATGGAATTAACCTTGTCTTGATAACTCAGAGAATCACTATAATCCAGGAGCATACCAAGTTATAACACATGGATGGACTTAGCTCACCCTTCAGCCTTCTTCTCACAGACATTGAAGGAGAACCTTAGAGCTGGGTTTTCTTCCTGATTCTCAGCTGTGCTCTGCTTAGATGAAGTTGCCTAAGTAGTTCCAAATGGGGAAGTTCTTATTGTACTAAAAATCCAGAAAATAGATTTCTGGGAAACAGAGCACCTGGAAAGTGCTGGAATGTGCTTAATGTTCCTATTTAAATACTCGCTCCTTGCTGTTTTCTTTTTTATTATGGTTAAAAAAAAAACCCTAAAACACACCATTTTAACCATTTTGAAAGTATACAATTCAATGGCTTTTAGTACATTTATGATGTTGTATAGCTGTTATGTCACTACAATCTAATTCTAGAACATTTTTATCACCTGCAAAAGAAACCCTGTACCCATTAGCAGTCACTCCCCATTCCCCTTACCCTGAACCCCAGCAAACACTAATCTGCTTTTTGTCTCCATGGATTTTCCTTTTCTGAACATAACACATATTTGGAATCATACAATGAGTGGTCTTTGATGACTGGCTTCATTCACTTATCATGATGTTTCCAAGGTGCATCCATGTTGTAGCATGTATTAGTATTTCATTCTTTGTGACTCAAGACCATTTTGTTGTATGGGCACATCACGTTTTGTTTATCCACCCATCAGTTTGTAGATATATGGGTTGTTTACATATTTGGCTATTAGGAACAGTGAACATTCATGTACAAGTTTTTGTTTGATTATCTGTCCTGGATTCTTTTGGATATATTCCTAGGAGTAGAATTGCTGGGGCATATGGTATTTCTATGTTTAACTTACTGAACATATTTTCTTCTTTTCCAAGATAAATTTAGGGGAAAAGTTATCCTAGAATGAGAAAGTATGAGCTTTCGTATCAGAGAAACCTGACTGAATCCCAGGTCATTAACAAGCAGCCATTTGACTCTGTTAACCTTTCTCCTACATAGTTGATAGCAGAGTAATACCTTAACAACAATATTGCTAGTAAGCAAGTATATGTGTGATACTTTACTATATCTCAGACTCAGAAATAGAAGAGGAATTTCTTGGGTTTCTGGGAAGATGTTGCTTTACTCATTATGTCCCAGGCTCAAAAGAGAAGCAGTGCAAATGAGGTAATGTCGACATTAATAGTAGATTCTTGCCAGCTCCCAGCCCCCATCTGCTCATCAAATTAGGCCTTGCTTGACATCTTCCCTCTCCCCCAACACTTATTTTCCAGAATTCCCAGGGGATTCTGATCTCCATATACACAGCACTGAGTTTCTCATGATATTCTGTCTCTGTGAGGCACTATCCCCTCTCCCCACTATGTCATTGCTCTCCATAGGGCCCCTGCCGGTGGCCCCTTTGGGCAGAATGGAAGGGATGTGGGAAGACCTGCCCTCTCCCTGTTTGTTCAGTGTCACATTTTGTCCCTTGGACTCTGAGCCAACAGTGCTTGGGCACAAGTTCAAAAAGTATCATATAAACATAGCTCCTTCCCCACCCCAGTATTAGGGGACAGGGAGACAAAAACAGTGGTTCATGCCCTCCATTCTCCCCTCCCTCCCAGGTACTCCTGAGGCAGAGGTTGGTGGGAGGAACTCCACCATTTTCTCTCAATTAAGAACCAAACTGATGTGCACATCAATTCGTGCAAACAGTTCTTGGGGTAAGGGGGTGGAGAGCACCCAAATCCCCTCCCAGTGGTGTTGCAGCTTCAGCTCGGGTTGGACAAGAGCTTCCATAAGCATTATCTCAATCAATCCACAATCTTATGAGCCAGTTAGTATTATCTTATGAGCTAGTTAGTATTATCCTATCTCATAGTTTAAAAAAAGATTTCAGTATGAAATGTTCAGTATTAAAACAGAAGAGACTAGGCCGGGCACAGTGGCTCATGCCTGTAATCTCAGCACTAGGCCGAGGTGGGCGGATCACGAGGTCAAGAGATTGAGACCATCCTGGCCAACATGGTGAAACCCCGTCTCTACTAAAAATATGAAAATTAGCTGGGCGTGGTGGCAGGTGCCTGTAGTCCCAACTACTCAGGGGGCTAAAGCAGGAGAATCACTTGAACCCCGGAGGCGGAGGTTACAGTGAGCTGAGATTGCTCCATTGCACTCCAGCCTGGTGACAGAGCGAGACTCCATCTCAAAATAAAACAACAACAACAAAAAACAGAAGAGACTAAACCTGTTCAACAGGCAGCAAATTTAGTGCATTCCTGTCTGCCATCTTCAGCCAGGGATTTGGTTATCTTTTTTTGTTTTTTTTATGTTTTTGTATTTTTAATAAACATTTCTTCTGATTACAAAAATATGAGTTATGTATTTTTAAATTATTTTGACTATAATTTTTAATGTTGTAGAACTATTATTGGGTTTTTCTTTTTTATTTTATTATTATTATACTTAAAGTTTTAAGGTACATGTGCACAATGTGCAGGTTAGTTACATATGTATACATGTGCCATGCTGGTGTGCTGCACCCGTTAACTCGTCATTTAGCATTAGGTATATCTCCTAAAGCTATCCCTCCCCCCTCCCCTCACCCCGGATTTGGTTATCTTAAGGCACATAACTAGAATGCCTGGACACCTGCATGTAAACCTCCCTTTGTGGCTTCCTTTTTCCAGTGAATTGTTTAAGCATATCCCTGCTGATCCCCTATCTTTGCTGCCTATGGTCTTTTATGGCCCCTGATAGGATCCCAGACCACCCCCTGGTATGTAAAAGTTTTAGACAACTTAGGGTCTGTGAAAACAAGATGCCAATCTTGGCTCCCAAAAGACTAAGATAGAAGGAAGAGTCAGGGTCTGGCTTAGTTGTGTTGTTTACCCTGAATGGAAGGAAGAAAATGAGGTTCTGGAAAACATGGATGTAAAAAGCTTTCTATCTTGCCATCCATCATGGATAGAGAAGGGGATTTTTGAGATTTAGATAAACCTGGGCCAAAATGCTTGCCTGGTTTTATCCTTTCTTTCTTTCTTTTTTTTTTTTTTTTTTTTTTTGAGATGGAATCTCGCTCTGTCACCCAGGCTGGCGTGCAATGGCGTGATCTCAGCTCGCTGCAACCGCCTTCTCCCAGGTTCAAGCGATTCTCCTGCCTCAGCCTCCCAAGTAGCTGGGATTACAGGCACCTGCCACCATGCCCAGCTAATTTTTGTATTTGTAGGAGAGACAGGGTTTCACCATGTGGGTCAGGCTGGTCTCAAGTTCCTGACCTCAAGTGATCTGCCTGCCTTGGTCTCCCAAAGTGCTGGGATTGCAGGCATGAGCCATCACGCCCGGTCTATTCATCTTTTTAAAGGAGGCTCATTAGTCACAGGACGCCATAACTTCTAAGGGGCAGGTATTGGTGTCCAACCATAGATGAGGAAACAGAGGCTCAGAGAGGCAAGTTCACACAGCTGGGCCAAGCCAGGAACAGATCACCCCAAACCAAAAAGTTTGAATTTAGAGCCCTCACTTTAGGCCTGGAGGGTTATAAAGAAGGCTTTCCTCAAGCGCTAAAGCTGTGTGCTCGTAATGGCTGGAATTTCCCAGGGCCTGGGAAGAGAATTCCAGGGGATCCTGGACTTATATGAGAAATAATCATCTGTATTTTCACAAATCTCCAACTGAAATTTAGCATTTTCTTCTATTATGAATGTAGGCAACAAACCACAGGAATGTTAGCCATACCTGGGACTTTGTTAGCAATGGAAATCACTGATATTTTCATAGCATATCTCAAAATATCACTTACATTCATTGCTTTTTCCAAGTTAGGGTAGTTATTAAGCCTGTGCTGGATTTTATTATCTGCCTTAGTAAAGGAGCTGACATTTTTCTATATCATAATCAATTTTTTTTTTTTTTTTTTTGAGACGGAGTCTCACTCTGTCACCCAGGCTGGAGTGCAGTGGTGCAATCTCGGCTCACTGTAGCCACCTCCTCCCAGGTTCAAGTGATTCTCCTGCCTCAGCTTCCTTGGATTACAGGTGCCCACCACCACGCCAGGCTAATTTCTGTATTTTTAGTAGAGACGGGGTTTCACCATGTTGGCCAGGCTGGTCTTGAACTCCTGACCTCAAGTGATCCACCCACCTCGGTCTCCCAGTGTAAGCCACTGCACCTGGCCAATTTTTAAAAAACATATTGAAAGTCAGAAGTGGTGGCTCGTGCCTGTAATCCCAACACTTTGGGAGGCTGAGACTGGAGGTTTGCTTGAGGCCGGGAGTTTGAGACCAACCTGGGCAACAAAGTGAGACCCCCATCTCCACAAAAAATATAAAAATTAGCCAGGCATGGTGGTGTGTGCCTGTAGTCCCAACTACTCGGGAGCCTGAGGTGAGAGGATCACTTGAGCCCAGGAGTTCAAGGCTGCCATAAGCCATGACTGTGCCATTGCACTCTTGCTGGGTGACAGAGTGAGACCCTGTCTCAAAAAATATAGATAGATTATAGATCAATAGATAGATAACTGTATATCAATATAAATATTTTCCTTTGTAATTACATCGCATATAATTTCTGTAAATATACATTTATATAATATATACTATATATACACATATGTAATTTTATGTATTTTAAAACATTATTTGGCTCATCATTTGCAATAGCCAAAAGGTGGAAGCAACACAAGTATCTGTCAAGGGATAAATGGGTAAACAAAATGTGGTATATGCATACAATGGAATATTACTCATCCTTAAAAAGGAAGAAAATTCCAACACATGCTACAACATTCATGAACCTTGAGGACGAGATGCCAAGTGAAGTAGGCCAGTCGCAAAAGGATAAAGACTGCATAATTCCACTGAAATGAGGTGTCCAGAGTAGTCAAATTCATAGAGACAGGAAGTACAATGGTGGTTCCCAGGGGCTAGAAGGTAGGGAGAATGGGGAGTTATTGTTTAATGGGTACAGAGTTTCAATTTTGCAAGATAAAAATAATTCTGTGGATGGATGGTGGTGAAGGTAGCAAAACAGTCTGAATGTACTTAATGCCACTGAACTGTATGCTTAAAAATAGTTAAGATGGTACATTTTATGTTATTTGTATTTACTACAATTTTAAAAACAGGACTATTTTTTGGCAAAGGGATCCACAGACTTCGTGAGACTGCCAAAGGGGTCTGTGGCATGAAAAAAAAAAAAGGTTAAGAATGATGCTCTTACAACGATAATGAAAATTATACATTTAATGATACAAGAGGATCCACCTCCCCATCTCCCATACTCTAGCCACAAAAATTCCATGGTTCCATGCTACTTGTAAAATGAAAGGAGTCAGGGGACACACTTTTATCATTTAGTAGCGGGGTACCTTGCGCAAGCCACATAAACCTCTTTGAGCTCCCGTCGTTTCAAAATGGAGGTGTTATCCCTGCCCCTCCTCCCTCATGGGGCTGTTGGGAAGCTCAGGGGAGGCAGCAGCAGCTGTGACCATCCTCAATGTCTTTGGTCCTTGCCCCTCCTCACTGACCCCTCTCGCCTTCGTGAAATGCCTCCTCTCCTCAGGCTGCAGAACACTTTCTGCGTCCTGCCCTTGCAAGAAGGCTTTTTTGACCGTTCTGGTTGAAGCCAGGGCTCAAAAGTCCACCTTCATTTAGTGGGTGATCTCTCACGGTCGATAGACTCCTCCCTGGACCAGCAACCAAGAGCAAGGGCTTTGTAGTTATACTAAGAGCAAGGGCTTTATAGTATAGAGTCTGGATATCAATCTTGGCTTCAGCACTGACCAGAAGCTGTGTGTCCTGAATGGAGAGCAAGCTCCTTAACCTCCCTGAGCCTCAATTTCTTCATCTATAAAATGGCCTGATAATAGCTATGTAATTATAATTGTCACAATACAGTGAGATCATGAACAGCACATAGTAGATATTTAATCAGTGGGATTCAGTACTTTTATTATTATAGTTGTTATTCTTGGACAATAAACACCTTCAGGCAATGGATGGAAAATCTGTATGCCCTACAAAAACTTAGACATACTAATAATTACAAAGCTCACAGGCACATCATAAATACTGGACACATGGATGAAGACAGGGAAATATAGTTGACTAATTACTGGTCCTAGATTATCACTATCAGAGTCCACAAGCACCCTGCCGAGTGAATTACGCAGGTATTATGATTCTCCTTTCTCTGAGGCCACAGCCTACTGTTCTAACAGCCTGTTCAGGACTCAGCCTCTCCGAGTTCGAACGTGGATTAATTTTCTTTTTCTTTTCTTTCTTTTTTTTTTTTTTTTGAGGCAGAATCACGCTCTGTTGCCCAAGCTGGAGTGCAGTGGCGCCATCTTGGCTCACTGCAAGCTCCGCCTCCTGGGTTCACGCCATTCTCTTGCCTCAGCCTCCCGAGTAGCTGGGACTACAGGCGCCCGCCACTGCGCCCGGCTAATTTTTTGTATTTTTAGTAGAGGCGGGGTTTCACCGTGTTAACCAGGGTGGTCTCGATCTCCTGACCTCGTGATCCGCCAGCCTCGGCCTCACAAAGTGCTGGGATTACAGGCGTGAGCCACCGCGCCTGGCCCCTGGATTAATTTTCTAATCCTCAATTTGCCATCTGGAAAATAAAGATCAAACAGGAATGCCTTTAGCCGTTCCCGCCCCACCTCTCTCCCCGGCAGAACGTCAGCCTTCCTGGTCTAATCAATTAGACCTGGTCTAATTGACCCCTCAGGATCTCCTCTGATGTGTCCCGGGTTCCCTCCCCAGGGTGCCAGACCAGGGCGCACCCTCCGGAGGCGCAGGGCTGGGATGCGCCAAGCAGATCAGGAGCTCCCAGATAGGCGGGGTCAGGAACCGCCTCCCTCTTTAATCTCTGAGAATCACCCCCGCTTCCACAACTTCAGGTCCACCCACCCAGCAGGGTCCCGCAGCTGCAGCTGGGAAGGTAATTAGCAGCCACCATAATTGGGGCTAGACTGCTGAGGTCCTGGGGAGCGACCCTTGCAAAGGTGCTAGCCCATCCGGCCTCTGCTAACCTGGATCCGCCTGCTCAGCCCATGCATGGAACAGGGGAGGTATCTCAGGAGGCCGCCCCAACAGCATTGGCCCATTTTGTCAGTGACTGCCCCAGCATATCTGCGCCTTAGTCATTCTGTGACCTATCCCTCCCTCCCATCACTAAACCATCACTCTAACTCCTTTGTGCATGCATGCATTCTTTGTGCCTTCGCTCTGCACCATTTAGCCATTGTTTTCATCATTTCATCATATCCCATTTTAAAGGAGCTTGCAAAGATCATGACGATTGTATAATATAACCAATATTAGTTGAGGCACTTACACTGTGCTAAGCACCTTATTCTCTCTCTCTCGCTCTCTCTCTCTGTCTCTCTCTTTTGAGACAAGTTCTCACTCTGTTGCACAGGCTGCAGTGCAGTGGCCCAACACGGCTCACCGCAGCCTCTGCCTTTTGGGCCCAAGCAATCCTCCCACCTCAGTTTCCCAAGTAGCTAGAACTATGGGCACGCACCACCACGCTGGGTGAATTTTTTTTTTTTAATAGAGTTTCTGTCTTGTCATCCAGGCTGGAGTGCAGACAGGCATGTGCCACCACACCCGGCTAATTTTTGTATTTTTAGTAGAGGCGGAGTTTCACCACGTTGGCCAGGCTGGTCTCAAACTCCTGACCTCAGGTGATCCACCCTCTTTGGCCTCCCAAAGTGCTGGGATTACAGGCATGAGCCACCCTGCTGGCCTTCATTGTCACTTGTTTCTGATGAACCAAGAATTATTATTATCACTACTATTGTTATCCCAAGAGAAATGAGGGATAGCGAAGGCAACATGCCGGAAGTTTCACAGCTAGTGAGAGGCAGAGCCCCAGGTGATCTGTCTCCAGGCCCAATTCTTCACCTCTCCACTATACTGCTCCCTAAATGGGCATAAAATGCAGCTACAGTAAATGCTTCAAAGTTGAGCAAATCATAAAAGCAACCAGAAACAGCATAAAGCCCTCCCTCAACCCCACACATTCTAGTCCTATGGGTACAATCTTGGACAAGTCACAGCATCTTTCAACCTCAGCTTCCCCACTTGTAACAGAGATGCCCACCTTGCAGGGTTATTGTTAGGATTAAACATGATGAGGATGCAAAGTGTCTGGCACATAGTAGTACTTAATAAATAACAGCTCTCTCTCTCAATTCTAAATTGGAACCTCCTGGCATTGGCAGTACTGGGAAAGAGCTTGCTTTAGGGTGAATGGCACATATTCCTATCTGATTGAACTTGGGTATCATGTGCAGAAAGCTAGAGGCAGAAGGAAGAAGAGCAACAGTCTCTGCTGGCCTTGGTCCAGAGGTGCTTTTCAGACACTGCGAATTGGATGGAAGAGACATTGGGCCCGATGGGAGGCACATTCCTGTCCTCCTGACACCCTATTTTGTATGTCTAGTGATTCATGTTCACATGTACAGAGCAGAGAATGAGAAGGTGAACTGCTAACAGACAGATGTTCTCTTGGCCTAGAGAAGGGAGTACAGGAAAAGGAGGGTGGAGAGGAAGAGTGGGCACTGGGAAACATGAGCAGAGCCAAGTCTCAAACAAAGGCTCATTGAATTTGTTCACCTTTGTGATTTCTTCAAACCACCTCGCTTTTTATATAGGCTGCCATATTGCACTGTGCCCATTGACTTGTCAGCCCTACCAAAGCCAAGTCCGGGCCCTCTCCATCATATTTCATATTCACTCCACTATGCCCAGTTCAGGATCTTACATGCTAAGGACATTTACTGCCCAAGGGTGGATAGTTTGGCCTGTGACCTCTCTTTCTCCTTCCTCCTTTTTCATGACTCTATAAAGAATTATGATTGCCTTCAATAAGTTAAAGCATTCTTCAGCCAAGAACCCCCTTGCACATGGCCTCCCACAGACCATTATGGGGGTCAACCTTCACACACGATGCCATGTGCCATGGAGGAGACTTGAGTGGAGGCTGTAGGGTTGGGTTCTGGAAAGGGAGCATATAAATGTAGGTTGAGTAGGCACATACCTGAAGGCCCTTTGAGTGACAGCCTAGTAATAATCAATCATCAAGCCACATGCCTCTCAAAGTGTGGCCTCAAGCTCCCTGCATTCAAATGACAAGGAGTGTTGGTTAAAATGCTGCTCCCCCAACCCCCACCTCTGCCCCAGACACACTGATGGAATTCTCCATGGGTGGGACCCCATGTTGTCCATTTTAAAGCAGCTCCATCCCAAGACTCTGATGAATTCTAATGTTTGAGAACCACTGTCTTAGACCTTAGCAGATTCACTCTAGAATCACCTTCCACTGGCACCCTGGCAAACTGAATGTCCACATTTCCAAAATGGGTCATTTCCTGATGAAGATGCCCAAACCTCCCACACTGCAATGGAACCCCCCGCCATGTTCCTGTCATCACCTCCACTTAACCATTGAATTTCCCTGCTATCTTCTCATACCTAACCTGATTATCATGTAAACCTCAAACCAAACTTAGTATTTTAGGAATAAGACCTAGAAATGAAAATTTCCAAGGAGGGGGGAAAAAGAAAAACCACTCTGTAATCATAGTTTCCTACAAGAGGGAATATAAAAGTGGATCTAAAAGGGTCCTTTCATCTCAACTCTCTATAAATGTTTAAAATAGGGTTGGTGATAATTAATGTTTCTATAAGTATATGCTTAAGAAGTCATCACAATCAGCCTTTGTCGGTTCAGAGTTGGCAGCCTGGGCGCACTGCATTTCGAAGGGAATGTTTGAGGGTCATTTCACGTTGCCTCACTCCTGGCAATTCGAGAGCTGCTATAATTCTGCCAAAGAACATAGAGGGTTTCCCAGTCAAGTTCCATCCTGATTTTGATTATTGTTTATCTCCAGTCCCTGTCTGAATAGTCGTAGTAAAATAGAGGAAGTTTTACTCCTGAATCCGAGGTCAGCTTGTAATGAACCATGGTTTCAATTGCATGAACAGCTGCTTCTTTTATAAGCAAGGAGGGTTCACTTACAGTTCAGGGTAACACAGAAATAATTTAAAGAACAAGGACGCTTCTATTCATTTCTTTATTTTTTTATATATTTTTGAAACATTTTGACATTTGAGTGGCTGTAGAATGTGGATTATTGACTAGACTCAACAGGAAAAAAAGAGCCAATAAAGTTTAAAAAAAAAAGAAATACAATATTTTTTGACCCACTTCCTACCCCAATCATTATAGAAAAGTTTAATTTGTATAAGAAGACTTCAAATAATTGGTCACATTTTTTTTAAAAAGCTTTGCTGGACGTTTAAAAATTTTTATAGCAAATACCTTCAAAAAGTTCCAAAAAATAGTGAAAAAATAAAAAACACTACAGTGTGAATAGAAAACTGGCTCTTAGTTTAAAAATAAGTTAAAAGAGTATCTCTCCCCATTACTACCAGTGGGATAGAAAATGAAATATTTTAGGTTTGCATTTTTATGTTGCAAGTATGCCTGGCACTTAGCCAATAATAGTATGGAACATATTATTGCATCCTGGATCTGAAGGGACCTTGCAGATCACACAGCCCAGCCTCCCACCGGCAGGAGGAATTACTGCTGCCCCATACTTGAGACCTGGTCACAGAGCCTTGTGACTAAATAGTCACAAGATGTCAGGAACAGCATCTTCCAGTGTGGTCCAGTTCTGCTCATCATTATCTCTTCAAGTTGGCATTATCTCTCAAAATTAAAAATATATGTACCTTTGAACCCAGCAATTCCATTTCTAGAAATTCATCCAACTGATAGACTTGCTCAAGAGCAAAATGGCATTAAGTAGAAAGTTATGCATTGCAGCCCCACTCGGAAATAACCTAAATAGAAGACCAGTGAAAGAAATTATGGTACATCCCTGCACTGGGATATTCTAATAAGAAGAGCCCACATAGAATGAATGCTGCTATGTGCCAGGCCCTGTTCTAAGTGTTTTGGAAGTATACATTTATTTAATCTTCATGGTCACTATTATACTATTGTGTAATAAGGAAACTGAGGGAAGGAGAGATTTAGCAGCTTGCTCAAAAGTTTATAGCTAGTACATGATGGATCTGGGATTTCATTTGTTTGTTCAGTCATTCCATAAATACCTATTGTGTGCTTACTGCAATATGCCCTACAGGGCAAAGGAACAGAGTTTTTGCTGTCACAGAGCTCGCTTTCTAATGCGGGAGATGAAAACAAACAACTAAGCTGGGCATGGTGGCTTGTGCCTGTGGTCCCCACTACTCAGGAGGCTGAGGCAGGAGGATTGCTTGGGCTCAGGAAGTGGAGGCTGCAGTGAGCCATGATTGCACCACTGCACTCCAGCCTGGGTAGGAGAGTGAGAGGAGGAGGAGGAGGAGAAGTAGAAGAAGGAGAAGGAGAGGAAGAAGAAGAAGAAGGAGAAGGAGAAGAAGAAGAAGAAAAAGGAGGAGGAGGAAAAGAAGAAGGAGGAGAAGGAAGAGGAGGAGGAGGAGGAGACACAACTAAACAAGCACACATATCATGCCAAGTTATGCTAAGAAGAAATAGAAGGGAAGCAGGTAGAGGGTGATGTAAGAGAGCCATTTGAGATGAGGTGGACTTTTTGTTTCAGGTCTGAATAAAGCAAAGGAACATGCTGTGAGCCAACCAAGGACAGCCTGACTCCAGAAGATACATTCTTCCGAAATAAGACATAAAGCCTTTTGTCCAGTAACACGATCAAGGCTACTCTGCATACAGGTTTGGAAAGTTCTCCAAACATATCGGGTTTGTGAAACAATGTGTGGAACAGCGTGCAGAGAGCACAGTCACTTCTGCATGTGCACACACATCCTGCTTATAAACACGTAGACTCTCTGTAAGGACACACAAGAACCAGCAAGCAGTGGCTGTCTTCAAGGTGGGAAACTGGGAGGCTGGGTAAAGGGAGTGAGGCTGAGTTTTACTATATGTCTTTTTGTACTTTCTTCTTCTTTTTTTTTTTTTGAGACAGAGTCTTGCTCTGTGGCCTAGGCTGGAGTGCAGTGGCACAATCTCGGCTCCCTGCAGCCTCCGCCTCGTGGGTTCAAGCAACTCTCCTGCCTCAGCCTCCCAAGTAGCTGGGATTACAGGCGTGTGCACCACACCCGGCTAATTTTTGTATTTTCAGTAACAACGGGGTTTCACCATGTTGGCCAGACTGGTCTTGAACCTCTGACCTCAAGTGATCCACCCGCCATGGCCTCCCAAAGTGTTGGGATTACAGGCATGAGCCACCTCTCCTAGCCAGTCTTTTTGTACATTTTGTATTAAGATTTTATTATGAATTATTTGATAATGACAAAAGGATATTTGCAACATATATGCAAATTATGTAGTCTAATTTTTAAAAATCAAGAATGCCAATGCACCTCTACCCCCGACACACACAGACAGAACCTCACAGCTATTACTAGATCATTTTCAGCTCTATAGAGGCTACTTCTGGGCAAATGTCCGCCAACAGGAGAATGGATAAACTGTAATATTTTCATATGATGAAATTGTGCACAGTAATAAAAATGAAAAACTATAGATATATGCCACAACATGGACAAATCGTTGAAACTTAAAGTGGAATGAAAAAAAGTAAGTTGTAGAAGACTGTATATAGCATAATATAGTTTTTATTAACTCAAAATCAAGTCAGATGAAATAATATATTGTTTAAGAATATATCTGTATAATTATTTTTAAAAGATAATTTAAAAATTTTCTTTCTCAAACCCATCCTTTCGTGTCCCCTCTCCCTACTGCACTTCCTCCTCCGTAAATACCCCCTTCCTGAATTGTATGTCTATTATTCTGTCGCTACTTTTTATAACAACTATATTGAGATATAATTCACATATTATACAATGTACCCATTTAAAGTGTACAATTTAATGGTTTTTAGTGTATTTGTAGTTGTGCAACTGTCATCACAATTTTTGAATATTTTCATTACCCCTCCGAAACACTCTGTCCTCCAAGTCTGTCCCTTATCCACCCAGGCAACTGGCAACCTACTTTCTGTCTCTATGGAATTATTTATTCTGAAATGGCATATACTGTAAGTGGAATCATGTAATATGCAGTCCTTTGTGACTGGCTTCTTTCATTTAGTAAAATACTTTCAAGTTTCCTCCATGTTGTAGCATGTCTCGGCACGTTGTTTCTCTTTATTGCCAAATAACATTCCATTGTATGGATAACCCCATTTTATTTATTCCTTGAAAGACAGTTGTTGTTGTTGTTGTTTCTTTTTTGGAGACGGAGTCTTGCTCTGTCACCCAGGCTGGAGTGCGGTGGCAAGATGTCGGCTCACTGCAACCTCTGCCTCCCAGGTTCAAGCGATTCTTGTGCCTCAGCCTCCAGAGTAGCTGGGATTACAGGTGCACGCCACCACACCCAGCTAATGTTTGCATTTTTAGTAGAGACGGGGTTTCACCATGTTGGCCAGGCTGATCTCGAACTCTTGACCTCAGGTGATCTGCCCACCTCGGCCTCCCAAAGTGCTGGGATTACAGGCATGAGCCACTGTGTTAGGCCGATAGTTGTTTTTTTTTAAGTCTTTTGACTATAACAAATAATGCTGTCTTTTGCTATCTTTTAAAAATAATTATACAGATATATTCTTAAACAATATATTATTTCATCTGACTTGATTTTGAGTTAATAAAAACTATATCATGCTATATACAGTCTTCTACAACTTACTTCTTTTCATTCAACTTTAAGTTTCAACGATTTGTCCATGTTGTGGCATATATCTATAGTTTTTCATTTTTATTACTGTGTACAATTTCATCATATGAAAATATTACAGTTTATCCATTCTCCTGTTGGCGGACATTTGCTCATTTCCAGTTTGGCACACACAGTCTTTCCCGGAACATTCTTGTACACACCTCCTGGTGCGTGTGCACAAGGGTCTCTCTGGCATGTATACCACCAGATGGATGGCTGGGTTACAGAATATAGAAACGGTCACTTTTCCAAGTGACTACACCACCAGCTGTTTGTAAAGATTTCTTGATCCACATCCTCACTTGGTATTAACACCTTTTAGATTGCATACCATATGCTTATAATGCCTCTTCAAAAAATAAGGCAATTTTTTAAAATTCTCTCTTATTCAGAAGTGAGGTCTGCTTTCCTGGAATCCAAAGAACTGAACTTCACTCTATTCTTTGGAGCTATACAGAGCAAATCTAAATCCCACTGTCTAATGCCAAACCTCCAGACATTTGAAGACAATTATCATATTTGCCCAATCTTGTCTTCTTCAATGCACCTAGATAAGTCAAAGTGAGAAGATACAGGAGAAGTTGGAATTGGGTGGACCCCCTTCTTTGATTAGATGTGGAGCAGAATTGCAAAGTGTGTTCCTGGTTCCTCAGGAGGCTGATAGGACCTATGCTGAAAAAGAGGTTCTGTGGACAGTAAACCTAAGAATGCTGAACTAAATGAAGTGAAGGCATCTTCTTGGCTGTAGAACTTCTCAGAGCCTTTAACACAGTAGCTCACATTATGGATTTTTGAGAGAGGTCATCCAATTTAACAGAGTACCTTTTGGTGAAACACAGGCCAAGCTGGTCATAAGAAAAAGTGAATACCTGGTCTTTGATTCCCTTGACCTATTTTCATTCACTTTTACTCTTTTTAATCATCAGTATACTATGTCTTTCTCCTCCCCAGCCCTGCCCTTACCACCAAAAATATTTCTCATTAAAAAATTATCAATAATTTAGAACTTTAGTGTAAATTTTGATTCAAGTCCTGTCCTTCCCAGGGGTTTTTAGCTCTCAACCTTAGAATAGAAGCTTTGAACCCAGATTAAAAGAGAATTCTAGAAAGAAGAGATCACCTCAAAGGAAGTATCAAAGTGCTTTCCTTTTCTCCTGATTTCTGCTCATTGTTGTGGTCAGAAAATGCAGTTCTGAATGGTAAAACCAAGTGAAATACTGCACGGTGATGTGTTTTGTCAATGGTCATGGACAAGTATTCTGACGGTAACAACTATAGTTGGTTTAATTACAGCTAACATTTAAACTTTACAGACTACATCATATTTAACCCTCTTCACAACCCTAAGAAATAGATATAATTTCCGTGTTACAGATGAGGAAAGTGAGGCTCACCCGATTATGCAGCTCTGGAACTTTCTGTCTGACCCCAAAGTCTGCACTGTCAAATCTTTGCTCACCCACCTTCACTGTCAGCATGGGTCTTGCTGATCACCAGCTCTACAAAACCTGCTGCATGTCACCCCACTTGATCAAAGGACAGCAGCCTTCCAAGTGGCCCTCCTGTTTTTCCTGGAATACTAAGTATTCCATCTCATCAGCCTACTTGGGCTTCCAGGATGAAATTCTCAGCTAACCTCTCTCTGACAAGAAGAGTATTTTGAGCTTAAAGTTCAGCCATTTATACTTTTCCAGGATCCACTATCCTCTCTGGATTGATTAAACCAAAATCTCACTATCTATTCTTAGCTCACCCCTTGATCCCATTCTAGGCAGAAATCTGCCAACAATCTACCATAATCTTCGCCTGAAAATTGCCCAAATGGAGGCCATTCCTTTAACTTCCACCAAGGGTCCACCTGGGCCCAAGCTTACCCCGAGCTCAGATATTGGGATTTGATGTGAATTCAAAAGTAGTCAAGGATAACAGGAAGACCGGGCACAGTGGCTCACACCTGTAACCCCAGCACTTTGAGAGGCTGAGGCGGGAGGATCACTTGAGGTCAGGAGTTCGAGACCAGCCTGATCAACATGGTGAAATCCTGTCTCTACTAAAAATATAAAAATTAACCAGGCATGGTGGTGGACACCTGTGATCCCACCTACTCAGGAGGCTGAGACAGAAGGATCACTTGAACCCAGGAGGCAGAGGTTGCAGTAAGCCAAGATTGAGCCACTGCACTCTAGCCTGAGTGACAGATCAAGACTTCATCTCAAAAACAAACAAACAAACAAAGAAAACAAAAAACCCAGAATAACAGGGAACACAAACCAGACAATCCTCTCCTACTCTGTCCCAATTTTGCTTTTCTTTTGTTTACAGATACCAGGAGTTTAAAAAAAGACTGGGGCCAGGTGCGGTGGCTCATGCCTATAATCCCAGCACTTTGGGAGGCTGAGACGGGTGGATCACCTGAGGTCAGGAGTTCAAGACCAGCCTGACCAACATGGTGAAACCCCATCTCTACTAAGAATACCAAAAAATTTTGCCAGGTATGGTGGCGCACGCCTTTAGTCCCAGCTACTCAAGAGGCTGAGGCAGGAGAATCACTAGAATCTGGGAGGTGGAGGTTGCAGTGAGCTTAGAGGGTGCCATTGCACTCCAGCCTGTGCAACAAGAGCGAAACTCCATCTCAAAAAAAAAAAAAAAAAAACTGGGCTCCTGGGTCCAGTTCTGGCTTCATTTGGGAGTACCCTATCTCCTGACTTTTCCCAGGACACAATAGGTACATAGTTAAACACACATGGGATTCAGGATCAACCCCATGTTCTGATCTGATTTTTAAAAGTACCACCACAATACTAAAACAGTCTCAGGGTGCTTGTCTGCAAACACTGCCTTCTGGAGGAATCTGCCTCATTGACACGTGCTGCTGCATAAAAATGACCTCAGGCTGGGCACGGTGGCTAATGCCTGTAATCCCAGCACTTTGGGAGACCGAGGTGAGTGGATCATGAGGCCAGGAGTTCAAGACCAGCCTGGCCAACATGGTGAAACCCCGTCTCTACTAAAAATACAAAAAAATTAGTCAGACATGGTGGCAGGTGCTTGTAATCCCAGTTACTTGGGAGGCTGTGGCAGAGAATTGCTTGAACCTGGGAGGAGGAGCTTGCAGTGAGCCGAGATCGCGCCATTGCACTATAGCCTGGGCAACAGAGCGAGACTCCGTCTCAAAAAAAAAAAAATGACCCCAATTGTCATTTTAATATCATCTGACTCTGGCCACAGCCAGTAGAATAAGGAGTGACATCTGACCCAGTGAGAAGAATCAACTACAAACCAGCCAGCAGCCTACACCTTATATGGCTGGCTCCAGAAAATAAGGCACACTAGTCAGGCTTCTCTCTAGAGAAGAGCCTCCAAAGGGAAATTCCCAAGTGGTGATAGTGGTAGCAACTACCGTTGAAAAGCAAAGCAGAACTGAGGCTTGTGTGGCCATTATGGCGCATAAGCAAGATGAGATTTTGGGAGAGGAGCAATTAAATCACAGAGAAAGCCAGAGGGAGGAAAGAGGGGAAATAGGTGCACTGAGAAAAGCTGAGAAGCCATTAGAGAGAGAAAGAGAGATCCTGTTCCTGTCTGGGGTTTCCCATCTTAGTCCCTTGAGAGCTGGCTGCACTGGGCTCTGGTCCACAGCTTGTGTTGTGTTTTTCCACTGGGTTCTCATGATTAAGGCCCCTTTTCTTGAGCACACTCAACTGGGTCTCTTTTCTTTGTAACCAAAAGGATCTGACCAGAATTCCCCAGACTGTGAAGACAAGCGTTTGCTGCCTCAGGGGAGTTTGGCCCAAGGCAGACACTGCTAATCCTTTTAAATCCTGGAAGCCCCATTAAGAGATGTAAAAATTTCTAGGAAATGTAATACGTGGACTGGCTAACTTCTTTTGTTTGTTTTTATAAAGGGAACACAGACATGCAAATGAATGCAATAGTTTTAGCTAGTGTCTTATAATTCCAAAGTCTTTTTTGTTTTTTTTTTTTTGAGACGGAGTTTCACTCTTGTTGCCCAGGCTAGAGTGCAATGGCATGATCTGGGCTCACTGCAACCTCCGCCTCCAGGGTTCAAGCAATTCTCCCATCTCAGCCTCCTGAGTAGCTGGGGTTGCAGGCGCCCGCCACTACGCCTGCTAATTTTTGGTATTTTTAGTAGAGATGGGGTTTCACCTGCTGGCCAGGCTGGTCTCGAACTCCTGACCTCAGGTGATCTCTCCACCTTGGCCTCCCAAAGTGCTGGGATTACAGGCATGAGCCACCGCGCCCAGCCCCAAAGTCTTTTTTAAGAACAAGAAAACGTATTACATGTTAGGCTGTTTTCACATAACATAATTGTGTCTGATGGTTAACATTTAAAGCTGTATTTATTTAGACTATAACTACAAATTGCCAATTGAATTCATGTCTAATATTTTACTGGCTAGATAGCAATTTCCAGGATTAAAGTGCTTTTTGATTTTTAGTGTGTTTTGTTCACTGCTTTATCCCTAGTACCTAGAACAATATCTAGTACATAAATATTTGATTAAAGTATTTTAAATACCTTTTTTGTTTGTTTTTTGAGATGGAGTTTCATTCTTGTTGCCCAGGCTGGAGTGCAATGGTGCGATCTTGGCTCACCACAACCTCCGCCTCCCAGGTTCAAGTGATTCTCCTGCCTCAACCTCCCAAGTAGCTGGGATTACAGGCATGCGCCACCACACCCAGCTAATTTTGTATTTTTAGTAGAAACAGGAGTTTCTCCATGTTGGTCAGGCTGGTCTTGAACTCCTGACCTCAGGTGATCCTCCCACCTTGGCCTCCCAAAGTGCTGGGATTACAGGCGTGAGCCATGGTGCCTGGCCCTTAAATACCCATTTTTAAGTGCAGTTGCAAGCTAACAATTTTATGGTATTTTTCTGTATGAGGTTGGTTTATTTGTTTGTTTGTTTAATTTGTAGTTCACCTCAATCTGGCAAAATCTGAAAGCAAAAGAAGTCATTCCCATTATCATGAAGTCCTACTTACTGTTGACTTTTAAAGATGAACAGACACTGAAAGCATTCATTTTGGGGAAAAGACCCAAGGAAGAAATAAAGGGGAAAAAATTCCAAAACTTATTAGGTATATTTTTGCCACAAAGAGCTTGTCCTAAATTTCCTGAGTTAGCCTTCTTACTTCACTCATGCTTGATTTTTATTATCTTCACAGATACCTAAAAACAAAGTAATGTTTGAACCAAACAGAGATAAGCTGGAGAGACTAGACTCAGTCATTGGTTTAGACCCATCTCTGACACTTCCCAGACACGTGTCAAAGCTTTCTGGAGCTCACAGCTCCCCACCTCTAAAATGGCAAGAGAAGAAAACTAGACAGTGGCTAGCTAGTTTCTTTTGAGCACTAATCGTCTCTGATTCCAGACTTCTAGCATCCACAGATATATTTGGTGCTTTGGTGTATTTCTAGAACCAGACAGTTTCCTTCCCACATGGCAGAAACAAAGCTCTCAGAAGCCAGGGGAGACAGGGTTTGGGCCGTGCTGAGACCCTGCCAGCCTGGCACAGGCAGGCTCTGTCTGGAAGGCACCCAGACCACATTCCTGATCCAAATACCCAGTGTCTGTGACATTTGAAAGTACCTTTCCAACCTCAAGACTCAAGCTGTGGCTCGATTATTTAATGCACTCAGAAGCAGTTAAGTATTACTTACCTTGCAGCCTTTGAATCTTAGCAGAAGAGGTTTACCATTATATGACTAGATTGAGCAAGGAAAAGTTTCCTCCTGTTTCTTAAGTGTGTCTATATTTTAATTCTCTATTTTTAAGTGGAGATACACCTAGAGTAGGAAAGTTGCTTAAAGGTCACCTGTCCTGTGGTTTCAATACCCATTTCCAAATTAGAGGTACCTGGGCATTTTCCTAAAAATATGGATTCCAGGGCCCACTTCAGATTGACTAGGTCAGAAACTGAGGGTGTTGGACCCAGCAATCTGTGGTTTAACCAGCCCTGCAAGTGATTCTGATGAGCGGCTGGGTTTAGGATACACTGCCATGGACCTCCTTTTAGAATTATGGAAACATTTCTGTGGGAAGCAGCACTCTGTGTAATGAAGATTTGATTTCTAGAAACTCACTTTAGAGGAAGCACTTGGGATAGCATGAGAAATCCACATTCCAGGACACGTCATGAGGCTCGGTCACTCAAGGTCAGTTTCCTCACCCCACCAGGTCCCAAGAGGATGAGAGGAGTCAACCAGAGGCAACTGGTACTCGGACTCTGAACTCTTGGAAGCTCAGATCCTTTATCTGTTCCCAGGAAGTGTGCCTGTCAGAGTCTATTGACACTGACCAAGCTGTGAACCTGGGCTCAAATGGATTGTGTTGAACCATCTCTGTGATGGTTAATATTGAGTGTCAACTTGATTGGATTGAAGGGTGCAAGGTATTAATCTTGGGTGTGTCTGTGAGGGTATTGCCAAAGGACATTAACATTTGAGTCAGTGGGCTGGGGAAAAGAGACCCACCCTTAATCTGGTGGGCACAATCTAATCAGCTGCCAGTGAATATAAAGCAGGCAGAAAATCGTGAAAAGGCAAGACTGGCTTAGACTCCCAGCCTACATCTTTCTCCCATGCTGGATGTTTCCTGCCTTCAAACATCGGACTCCAGAGTTCTTCAGTTCTGAGACTCAGACTGGTTCTCCTTGCTCCTCAAGCTTGCAGACGCCTATTGTGGGACATTGTGATCATGTAAGTTAATATTTAATAAACTCATATATATATATACACATACATACATGTGTGTATACATATACACACATATATATATTAGTTCTGTTCCTTTAGGGAACCCTAATACAGATTTTGGTACCAGGAGTGGTTCTAGAGGAACAGAATTCATAATTTTTTTCTTTTTTTTTTTTTGGAGACAGAGTTTTGCTCTTTCACCCAGGCTGGAGTGAAGTGGTGCAATCTCGGCTCACTGCAACCTCTGCCCCCTGGATTCAAGCGATTCTCCTACTTCAGCTTCCCGAGTAGCTGGGATTATAGGTGCCTGCTGCCATGCCTGGCTAATTTTTGTATTTTTAGTAGAGATGAGGTTTCATCATGTTGACCAGGCTGGTCTCGAACTCCTGACCTCAGGTGATCCACCTGCCTTGGCCTCCCAAAGTGCTAGGATTACAGGTGTGAGCCACTGCACTCAGCCAGGAACAGAATATTAAGGATGGAGTTCTTTTGTTGGTTTTGGGGTTTCTGGAGTTGGCTGCTTAATATGATTAGACCCAAAAATGCTAAGGACTCTACTTCTAATAGTATGGAGAACACTGATAGTCCTTGGCATGAACTGTTTAGAGAGTTATGTAAAATAAATGCATTTGACACTCCTGATTCACTGTTCATGAGATGCAAGGAGTTCCTTAACTCTATATATAATACTTTTGACCATATGTGGAGAACCAAGGAACATAATGAAGCTGGTTGGTTGCTCCTAAGTTCACTGGACAAAGTGATGAGAGAAAATGATGAACTCAGGGATTCTGTCTTCTGGCTTCAGAAGCAGATACTGAGCCTCAAATCTTCTAAGATTGCCCTGAGTGAGAGTCTTATCTCCTGTAGAGAAAGAGCTGAAATTGTGGAGAAACAGACACAAGCTCTTATCATGTGAGTGGCTGACCTGCGATGAAAGGTGCATGCACCTCACCGGTGTCTACTGTTAAAGTGAGGGCATTGATTAGAAAAGAATGAGACCCTGTAACCTGGAATGGGGATGTGTGGGAGGACCCTGATGAAGCTGGGAACACTAAGTTTGTAAGCTCTGATGAAACTTTCTTGCCAGAAGGAAGAGCTTCACCATCCCCAGTAGTGGCAACATCCCCTCCCTGACCCATGCTGCCATCAGCCTTTCCACCTTTGTCTGAGAAGACAAAACTCTGCACTGTCTGAGGCAACAGTGATGGCCTCCATGGAGGCAGTTGCCAGGCAAAATAATGTTGATTCTCCTCAGGAGCCACCCTCAACACCTCTGTTTGCTTCCAGACCTATAACTAGACTAAAGTCCTGGCAGGCACCTAGAGGTGAGGTTGAGAGCATGATCCATGAGGAGGTTCACTACTCTTAAAAAGAACTGCTTGAGTTCTCTAATTTATATAAACAGAAATCTGGAGAACAGTCACGGGAATGGATATTAAGGGTATGGGATAATGGTGGAAGGAACATAGAGTTGGATCAGGCTGAATTTATTGATTTGGACCCACTAAGTAGGGACTCTGCATTTAATGTTGCAGCTTGGGGAATTAAAAAAGGTTCTAATCGTTTATTTGCTTGGTTAGCTGAAATATGGATTAAAAGATGGCCCACTGTGAGCAAGCTGGAAATGCCTGATCTTTCTTGGTTTAATGTAGAGGAAGGGATCTAAAGGCTTAGGGAGAGTGGGATGGTGGAGTGGATTAGTCACTTTAGACCTACTCATCCCAGGTAGGAGGGTCCAGAAGATATACCCTTGACCAATGCCTTGTGAAATAGATTTGTGAGGCAAGTACCTACATGTTTGAAGAGCCCTATAATTTCTCTTCTCTGTATGTCAGATCTAACAGTAGGAACCATAGTCACTCAACTACAAAATTTAAATACGATGGGAATAATTTGATCCCGACGTGGCAGGGGCCAAGTGGCAGCAGTCAACCGTCAAAGGCAAGGTGGGTGTAGCTACCATAATGAACAGCAGAGACAAAGCACCAATCAGAATAGTCTGACTCATGTAGAGCTCTGGCATTGGCTAATTAATCATAGTGTTCCTAGAAATGAAGTTGATAGGAAGCCTACTGCATTCATACTTAATTTATACAAGCAGAAAACTTCTAGCTTGAATGGACAAAAGACTAATTTGAATTACAAAAACGGAGAATCATGGTCCCTCAATCAATTTCCAGACTTGAGCCAGTTTATAGACCCAGAACTCCTTGAATGAAGGGGAGGCTGGATCCCCTTGAGGAAGGGCCTCACTACATTACCGACAATTTGTGCAGTGAACCTTTCTCCCATCTTTCCCCAAAGACACCTCTGGCCTTTTACTGGGGTAACTGTGCATTGGGAAAAGGGAAATGATCAGACATTTCAGAGATTATGGAACACTGCCTCTGAGCTGATGTTGACTCCAGGGGACCCAAAACATCACTGTGATCCTCCAATTAAAGTAGGGACTTATGGAGGTCAGGTAATTAATGGAGTTTTAGCTCAGGTCTGACTTACAGTGGGTCCCCACAGTCATCCTGTAGTAATTTCCCCAATGCCAGAATGCATAATTGGCATAGACACACTTAGCAGCTGGCAGAATCCCTACACTGGCTTCCCTAACTGGTAGGGTGATGGCTATTATGGTGGGAGAGGCCAAGTGGAAGCCATTAGAGCTGTCTCTACCTAAAGAAATAGTAAATCAAAAACAATATCACATCCCTGGGGGGATTGTGGAGATTAGTGCCACCATCAGGGACGTGAAAGATGCAGGGGTGGTGATTCCTACCACATCCCCATTCAACTCTCCCATTTGGCCTGCCTCAAACTGACCGAGCTGTGAACCAGATGGATCTTAGAGAATGACAGTGGATTATCACAAGCTTAATCAAGTGGTGACTCCAATTGCAGCTCCTGTACCAGATGTGGTTTCATTTCTTGAGCAAATTAACACATCTCCTGGTACCTGGTATGCAGCCATTGACTTGGCAAATGCCTTTTTCTCCATTCCCGTCCATAAGGCCCACCAGAAGCAATTTGCCTTCAGCTGGCAAGGCCAGCAATATACCTTTACTTTCCTACCTCAGGGGTATATCAACTCTGGCTTTGTGTCATAATCTTATTTGGAGAGACCTTGATCGCTTTTCACTTCTACAAGATATCACACTGGTCCATTACATTGATGACATTATGCTGATTGGATCCAGTGATCAAGAAGTAGCAAACACACTGGACTTATTGGTGAGACATTTCCATGCCAGAGGATGGGAAATAAATATGACTAAAATTCAGGGAACTTCTACCTCAGTGAAATTTCTAGGGGTCCAGTGGTGTGGGGTCTGTCAAAATATCCCTTCTAAAGTGAAGGATAAGTTGCTGTGTTTGGCCCCTCCTACAACCAAGAAAGAGGCAGAACACCTAGTGGGCCTATTTGGATTTTGGAGGCAACACATTCCTCATCTGGGTGTGTTACTCTGACCCATTTATTGAGTGACCCAAAAGGCTGCCAGTTTGAGTGGGGTCCAGAACAGGAGAAGGCTCTGTAACAAGTCCAGGCTGCTGTGCAAGCTGCTCTGCCACTTGGGCTATATGACCCAGCAGATCCAATGGTGCTTGAGGTGTCAGTGGCAGATAGGGATGCTGTTTGGTGCCTTTGGCAGGCCCCCATAGGTGAATCACAGTGCAGGCCTCTAGGATTTTGGAGCAGGGCCTTGCCATCTTCTGTAGATAACTACTCTCCTTTTGAGAGACAGATCTTGGCTTGTTACTGGACTTTGATGGAAACAACGTTTGACTATGGGTCATCAAGTCACCATGTAACCTGAACTGCCTGTCATGAACTGGGTGCTTTCTGACCCATTTAGCCATCAAGTGGGTCATGCACAGCCTTCCACCATCAAATGGAAGTGGTATATACGTGATGAGGCTTGAGCAGGTCCTGAAGGCACAAGTAAGTTACATGAGGAAGTGGCTCAAATGCCCATGGTCTCCACACCTGCCGCCCTGCCTTCTCCTCCCCAGCCTGCACCAATGGCCTCATGGGGAGTTCCCTGTGATCATTTGACAGAGGAAGAGAAGACTAGGGCCTGGGTCACAGGTGGTTCTGCACAATATACAGGCACCACTCGAACGTAGACAGCTGCAGCACTATAGCCCCTTTCTAGGACATCCCTGAAGGAGACCAGTGAAGGGAAATCTTCCCAGTGGGCAGAACTTCTAGCAGTGCACCTGGCTGCACACTTTGCATGAAAGGAGAAATGGCTAGATGTGCGATTATATACTGATTCATGGGCTGTAGCCAATGGTTTGGCTGGATGGTCAGGGACTTGGAAGAAGCATGATTGGAAAATTGGTCACAAAGAAATTTGGGGAAGAAGTACGTATGTGGATAGACCTCTCTGAGTGATCAAAAACTGTGAAGATATTTGTATCCCACATCAGTGCTCACCAACGGGTGACCTCAGCAGAAGAGGATTTTCTGTGGACACCACTCAGCCTCTTTCCCTAGCCACTCCTGTCATTGCCCAATGCCCATGAACAAAGTGGCTGTCGTGGCAAGGACGGAGGTTACTCATGGGATCAGCAACACGGACTTACACTCACGAATGCTGACCTGGCTATGGCCACTGCTGAGTGCCCAATTTGCCAGCAGCAGAGACCAACAATGAGCCCTCGATATGGCACCATTCCTCAGGGTGATCAGCCAGCTACCTTGTGGCAGGTTGATCGTATTGGACCTCTTCCATCATGGAAAGGGCAGAGGTTTGTCCTCACTGGAATAGACACTTACTCTGGATATGGGTTTGCCTATCCTGCATGCAATGCTTCTGCCAAGACTATCATCCATGGACTCACGGAATGCCTTATTCACCTTCATGGTATTCCACACAGCATTGCCTCTGACCAAGGCACTTGCGGCTAAAGAAGTGCAGCAGTGGGCTCATACTCGTGGAATTCACTGGTCTTACCATGTTCCTCATCATCCTGAAGCAGCTGGATTGATAGAACGGTGGAATGGCCTTTCAAAGTCACAATTACAATGCCAACTAGGGGACAATGCTTTGCAGGGCTGGGGCAAAGTTCTCCAGAAGGTTGTGTATACTCTGAATCGGCATCCAATATATGGTACTGTTTTCCCCATAGCCAGGATTCATGGTACAGGAATCAAGGGGTGGAAGTGGAAGTGGCACCACTCACTGTCACCCCTAGGGATCCACTAGCAAAATTTTTGCTTCCTATTCCCATGACATTATATTCTGCTGGCCTAGAGGTCTTAGTTCCAAAGGCAGGAATGTTGCTACCAGGAGACACAACACCAATTCCACTAAACTGGAAGTTAAGATTGCCACCTGGACACTTTGGGCTCCTCCTACCTTTAAGTCAACAGGCTAAGAAGTTAGAAAACTGGAGTTACAGTGTTGGCTGGAGTGATTGACCTGGACTATCAAGATGAAATCAGTCTACTACTCTACAACGGAGGTAAGGAAGAGTATGCATGGAATACAGGAGATACATTAGGGCATCTCTTAGTAGTACCATGCCCTGTGATTAAGGTCAATGGGAAACTACAACAGCCTAATCCAGACTGGACTAAAAATGGCCCAGACCCTTCAGGAATGGTTTGGGTCACCCGACCAGGAAAAAAATCAATGACCTGCTGAGGTGCTTGCTGAAGGCAAAGGGAATACAGAATGGGTAGTAGAAGAAGGTAGTAATTAATACCAGCTACGACCACATCATCAGCTTCAGAAGCGAGGATTGTAATTGTCATGAGTATGTCCCCCTTCTTTTGTTAAAAATATGTTTTGCATATATATACTTGTGCTAAGAAAATATCTTCATTTTATTTTCTTTCTCCTTTATCATGTGACATAAGATTTATTGACTTCACATTAGCATTTAAGTATTGTTAACTTTATGTAATAGTTTTTGGGTTGGGGATTGGTGCGTTTCCAGTTGTATGAAGGATAGTTGTTTTATGTTAGGCATAATTATGACCTTATTATTGTCTTTACTTAAAGATTATGTATGATCTCAGGAGATGTGTATGGGTTCAAGTTGACAAGGGGTGGGCTTGTGATGGTTAATACTGAGTGTCAACTTGATTGGATTGGATGCAAAGTATTAATCCTGGGTGTGTCTGTGAGGGTGTTGCCAAAGGAGATTGACATTTGAGTCAGTGGGCTGGGGAAAACAGACCCACCCTTAATCTGGTGGGCACAACCTAATCAGCTGCCAGTGAATATAAAGCAGGCAGAAAAACATGAAAAGGTGAGACTGGCCTAGCCGCCCAGCCTACATCTTTCTCCCATGCTGGATGTTTCCTGCCTTTAAACATCAGACTCCAAGTTCTTCAGTTGAGACTCAGATTGGCTCTCCTTGCTCCTCAAGCTCGCAGAGAGCCTGTTGTGGGACCTTATGTTTGTGTACGTTAATACTCAATAAACTCCCCTTCATGTGTATATATATCCTATTAATTCTGTCCCCCTAGGGAACCCTGACTAATACAATCTCCATGTATTTTTTTTTTGGCTATAAGCTTACTTTTTCCAAAACTTTTTATTTAAAAAATTCTCAAGCCTACAGAAAAGTTGAAAAAAATATAGTGCAACCCGTATCTCTATCTATATCTATATCTTTATCTATATCTATATCTATAGATATATATATTTTTTGAGACAGGGTCTCACTCTGTCACCCAGGCTGGAATGCAGTGGCACAATCTTGCCTCACTGCAACCTCTGCCTCCTGGGTTCAAGCAATTCTCCTGCCTCAGCCCCCCGAGTAGCTGGGACTACAGGTGTGTACCACCATACCCAGCTAATTTTCTGTATTTTTAGTAGAGACAGGGTTTCACCATGTTGGCCAGGCTGGTCTCGAACTCCTGACTTCAGGTGATCCACCTACCTCAGCCTCCCAAAGTGCTGGGATTACAGGTGTGAGATATGGCGCCCGGCCCGTATCTATATATTCTTTATCTAGAAAATTCGGTTAACATTTTATCATATTCGTATGGGGTTGTTTCCTCTCTTACTCCATTCTCTTCATATAAATGTTTTCTACTCCTCTCCCCAATCATTTGAGAGTAAGTTGCATGTCTCACTTACATGTGATGTCTGCATCACAACACTTCGTAGCTAAGTATTTCCCAAGAACAGGAATATTTTCCTATCTAAACACAATATAACTAGCACACTCAGGAAATTTAATCTCAATATAATACTATTATCTAATCTGGGGTTCATATTCGAATGTCCTATATTGTCCCCAAAATGCCCTTTGTAGCTTTTTAAAAAGACATTAATGACCCAATCTAGAAACACACTTTGCCTCTAGTTGTCATAACAACTTTTTTCTCTCTTTCACTATAGTGATATTTTTAAGCATTCACTCAGGTTATTTTGTAGGATGTTCTTCAACTTTGGGTTTGTCTGATTGTTTTTTCCTAAGTAGGTTCAAGTTAAACAGTTGGGCAGGAATATTAGAGAGATCTTTCTCCAATGTGTATCTTAGATGTATCTTTCTCAGTGCATGACATCAGGAGGCACATGTGGCCACTTTGTCTCATTTTAAGTGATGTTAGGTTTGATCATTTGGCATACAAGTATTTTTTTCCCTTCTAATAAGTGGACATCAATGAAGTGATATATTGAGGCTGTGAATATCCTTTTCCCTTGGTGCTTCTCAGTGGTTGAGCATCCCTTGATGAACCTTTACTTGCCTCTGTTATTGAAATGGGTGGTTGGAAATGATGACTTTTAAAATGTCATTGTTCTTTTTACATTTATTTGGTGGCATTATTCTATAAAAAAAGATATTTTCCATCTCACTCTACACTTATTATTATTTTTAGTGTCTCAATGGACTCATTGATTTGTTTTTGATGTGTTATTATTTATAATTTTCACTGTTCTTCTTAATGTTCCAATTGACCCAAATTTAACCAATGTGAGCTCCTTCAAGATGGCTCCTATGTCTTTTTGACATCTCATCAGTTTTTGAACACTTCCTTTACTTTCTAGCATAAGGAGATATTCCAGATTCACCTTGTATTTTCCCCTACCCAGCCCTTAAGTTATCCATTTCTTCAAGGAGCCCTGGCTCCATTTAGAGCTCACTACTACTGGACTGTCATTGTTTCTAGGCCTTTGGAGTAAACAGAGCTAGGAAATATATATCTGTGTATATATAATATAATATGTATACATTTATTAGATTTATAATATATAGAACATATATTATGAATATATATTTTAAAAGTATGCATTTGTACTGATACTTTTGATTCCAATCCAACACCAAAGTTTTTTTCTCTTTTCTTCATTCCATATTCATGTCTCCCTTCCCCTAGAGTAAAATCTTTTTTTCCCAAATATGAATATATATATATAAATGAATATATATTTATTCATTGACTACAATATACTCAAAATAGTTTAATAATTACTTCCCCACAATCACCACTGACCACAAACTGCCTAAGGTAAAGATTTTTTCAGTTTTGTAATCTTTGGACTACATCCCACCAAGTTTGTGCAGTTAGAGTACTTTGTCCAAAAGTTTCTTGGATTAGTTCTTTGTTTTCCTCTGTGTGGTTATATTATCAAATTGACCTACGGTTATATTCCACTAAGCTTTTAATAAATATTGAGGACAAGCTCAAGGTCATAGTCACTGATAGAACCTAGAAGGCAATGATCTATGTTGCGAATTCAGGGCAAACTCATGCTTTTAGTCACTGATGGGGAGCAGAACCCACATCCAGACCAGGACCCTTCCTCTTCCACATGACATGAAACTAAGAGGCAGGATAGAGGCAGGAGGCAGAGAAATTCTAGGCAGACAGAGGCAGGTCCTGTCCCACCTTCAAGCCAAAAAGCCTGAAACCCACCACCGAAAGTGAGAACTTCTATTTCTGTTTGCCCGTTCTCTCCCTATTGGTTCTTTCTGAATAGTGCCTTTTAACCAATCAAATGTTGTCTTTTCCAAAACTACCTATAACCCACCCCACCCCCCCACCATCCTGTGCCTATAAAGACCCCAGACTCAATAGGGAGCGAGGAGAGATGGCTTGACTTGAGAGAGGCAGCCTGACTTCAGGTAAGGCTACCTGTCCTTCCTGTCCCCTTTCCAGCTCCCCTCTCTGCTCAATAAAATTCTCTACCTTCACCATCCTTCAATTCATCCCCATGACCTCATTTTTCCTGGACACCAGACAAGAGATCGGGACCCACCGAGTGTAGGTATCCAGAGAGTCTGTCACACTAGCCCTTTGCCCTCACTGGCAGAGGGCAGTCGCCCCATGTGACAAGGCAAGGAGCCAACTGAGCTGCTAACACGCAGCTGACCACGGACAGCAGAGCTAAGAGAGCACTGTAACACTCCCTCTGGGGCACCAGGGTAGCAGGCACCCCCACCTGGGTATCGCCATGGGCCCTACATGAAGCTTGCTCCTGCCAGCATCTGGAATGGCCAGCTGGATCCTGCACTTTTTCACTCATGCCTGGTCTGGTCACAGGCCCTGCATGAAGCTTGCTTCTGCTGGTGCCTGGAGCAGCTGGTGCCCAGAGCAACCGAATGGATCCCACACTTGCTCACTCATGTACTCCCTCCTGCAAAGGGTTGACTTTGGTGGGCTGAGTAAACAGGGCACGCCTGTCGTGAGTCCGTCGAAGGGGCCAAGAAAAATCCTGCATCAAAACTATCAGAAAATGAGCACACACATATGTGCAGAGCTAATGTCAAGCAAAGTTCAGAATGTTAAGGATCTAGGTTTGTCTCATTTTTTTTTTTTTTTTTTTTTTTTTTTTTTTTTTTTTTTTTTGAGATGGAGTCTCACTCTATCGCCCAGGCTGGAGTGCAGTGGCATGATCTCAGCTCACTGCAACCTCTGCTGCCCAGGTTCAAGTGATTCTCCTGCCTCAGCCTCCTGAGTAGCTGGGATTACAGGAGCCCACCACCACGCCCGGCTAATTTTTGTATTTTTAGTAGAGACAGGGTTTCACCATCTTGGCCAGGCTGGTCTTGAACTCCTGACCTCGTGATTCACCTGCCTCAGCCTCCCAAAGTGCTGGGATTACAGGGGTGAGCCACTGTGCCTGGCCTGTCTCATTGTTTTAATGCTTCCTTGATTTATGAAAAGAAAGTTGTGTATGGAGAACACCACAGACAGAAACAAAGGGAGATGAGGTAGGAATTAAAAGAGAGAGAGAGGCTTGGCGTGATGGCTGATGCCTGTAATCCCAGCACTTTGGGAGGCCGAGGCGGGCAGATCACGAGGTCAGGAGATCGAGACCATCCTGGCTAACACGGTGAAACCCCACCTCCACTAAAAATACAAAAAATTAGCCGGGTGTGGTGGCACACACCTGTAGTACCAACTACTCCGGAGGCTGAGGCAGGAGAATTGCTTGAACCCAGGAGGCAGAGGTTACAGTGAGGCAAGATTGTGCCACTGCACTCCAGCCTTGGTGACAGAGTGAGACTCTCTTAAAAAAAAAAAAAAAAGAGAGAGAGAGAGAGAAAGAAAGCCAGAGGAGAGAGAAAGAAAACCAGACAGAAAAACTGGCATCTGCATAGAATGGGGACCATGCAGTGTCCTGCAAAGCCCAAACTGTATCAGTCTTGGCTAACCCTTCCCTGAATTCTCCTCTTTATAGAGGGGGTGAGTTTGAATTGGAGGATTTGCCCTCCTGTCTGGTCTAGTCAGACAGCTGGGAGACCCTCAGCAAGCTCTAATGCTCCACAATTCCAGAAATTGGCCAAGCCTCTATTCCTAGCCAGAGAGACCTCAGCAGCTACTGTGGGTGTCAGGACAGAGTCTGTGTGATCAAGGTGCCATCGGGTGGTGCTGGTGTCTTTGTGTCAACAAGATAAGCCTTTCTCCTGATTCTTCTGGGTGCAAGTTAGCTGAAACTAGGATCTTCACTTTCATGGGTCATGCCATGGACAAGGAAAAAGGAGAGCTGAGTTCATCCTTTCTGATGTCTGTTTTATGCTGTCATGGCACAAAGGAAGACAGAAAGCCCCACATCTGACTTGGGAGTTGAAATCCAGGTGAGGGATGAGGATAAACAGGTGCCGAGGGCCTGCTGTTTATACAGGTGTGCCAATTCTCCGACCACCTTGGTACTGCCCTCCCATTGACGAGCCCACTAGTGGAGGGCCCAGCATCCACTCTGTACACCATGGTGGGCTGCAGTTTCATGGGAGAGCTCCATCTACTGGAAGAGCCCTCTACCCCATCTGTTCTCTAGAAAGTGGTTAATACACATTCCCCCTAAAGTAAAAACCTAGATGTCATTTAAAGTGTGATCCCTCCAAGAGAAACGTAAGTTCCAACAACAGATCTAAAGGCAATTGATGTTGGAGCAATAATGATGGAAATCTGGGTGGCCTTTTCCAAATACCAGTACAGGTGACATTGAGGGGCAGCAGCTCTTCAGAACTCACTTCAGATCATGACCCTGACCACTCATAAGGGTGCCTCTGAATGGAATAACAAGATTTGGGTGATGCTTGGAGGATTCTGTTTTCTCCTAATTAATTTATTCTTTTTGAGTTACCATAAAACTTGAAGGCCTAAGTAAATTCAGGGCACCCTAAAATGCACTTCAACAACAACCTGGCCAAAATCTCACAATATTCTCTGTAAGCTATTCCATTCAATTGCAGTGTCAAATTGAAGCATTGGTGGGGCCCAGGCAAAGTATGATAATATCACAGCTCCTCCCTCTACCCTATACTTGCTTTTTCACAGACAGTGAAACGTTGGCATCATTCTTCAGGAGACACATAAGGGAAGGTGACTGAGCACAGGTGTGGAGCCAGAGGCTCAAGGTATGGTGGAGCTGTGGCTGGCACTAGCTTCTGAGCTTTCCCGGTTTCCTTAACCATGACCAGGAGGCCCAGAGAGCCACAGGTCTGAGAGAAGAGTGAGAGGAAGCAAGGTTCCAGAAGCACCATCTCTGCGAAAATATGGCATTGAGGACTTGCAAACAGATTTACTAATGGGAAAAACTATGCTGAGAAACACTTTTGGTGTATCAGAGGACATGGGAAGATTTAGCTTAAGGTTCAAAGAAATCTTAGCAAAGAAAAGAAAAAGAGCAATAATTAGCCTCAGGAAACTAAAAAGTTATACAAGAAAATAAATGTCATGATAGTACACTACTTGGCTCAGCATTAAACAAGATTAACTGTGTGTTGCTTTGATTGATTGATTGATTGATTGAATGTGTGTGGAGATGGAGTCTCATTATATTGCCCATGCTGGTCTCCAGCTTCTGTGGTCAAGCAATCCTCCCACCTCAGCCTCCAAAAATGCTGGGCTCCCAAGCATGAGCCACCACCCCTGGCCTTTTTTGTTTGTTGTAATTGTAAGCTTGTTAGCAATATTTGACTTTTAAAACTGTGTTCAAATATTATTTTGATTGAAAGTTTCTTTGAAAAGTGTTTATTTTTTTTTAGGATCTTCTGCTAGAGAAAGTAGATTGGGCCTGAGTTCAGTGTGGCATTGGCAAAAAGTTAGATCTTGATGCCCAGTGGTTATGTTCTCCTAGCTCTTTTCTCTAAAAGATTCGAGTTCAGAGGAAAGTCAGAGGCTTGAGATGTGGCATCAGATTGTGTCCTCTTGGGGGAATGGGAACATCTGAAAGTCACCCATAGCTCAGGGCACTTCAAAAGCATCAGACATACTTGTGAGCTGGTCATTTCACTGGCAGGGCAGCCTGGGACTGAGAGTCAGTGGGCAGGCTCCAGTGCTGGCTCCACCACCGACAGGTTGACCTCAAACAGTTTATTCCACACATCTCACACTTTATCCTGGGCTTCAGTTTGTTCAGCTCCAAAACTGATAGGGCAGGGAAAGGGCACAAGAAAATTATCTACTGGTTGTTACATCCAGTCATGAAAGTTGATCCAGTACTTCCCACATCCCTGCTGGTCACAGGAGTTAAGCCTTGAACCAAAGCCCAAAAAGTTCTATACTCATGTGGTATTTAGCTTAGCAGGGGGATGGACAGGAAACCAGGAAGCACATACATAAATGACTACAAATCTTGGAGATAAAACTGATGACAAGCAGGTTGGGGGGAGCTTATTAGATGGGCTGGTCAGGGAAAGCCTCTCTGAGGAGGTAACTTTTGAGTTGAGATTTGCATGATGATAAAAGGCATTACAGGGTTTATCCAAAGTGCCATGGGAAGAGAGGGTTCAAAGGAGCACAGAAGGGCTTTAAGTGGGAATGTGTGATATGGGCTGATTTGTGTGTTAAAAACACGCCCTGGCTGCTGTGGGAGGACGAGAGGGGAAGCAGGGAGATATCTAAGAGGCTGCTGCTGTAGTCCAAGCCAGTATGAGGGCGGTTGGAGAAGAGTAAATAGATTTGAGCTATAATTGGGAGTTCTAGAGTATTTCTGCAGTTCTTCCAGCTGAGGTGATAGTGTAACCACCTTCAATCTGGCTCAAGACAAGTCTAGTCATCTTACCTTGGAAGGACCAGGCCATCAAGCCATAAGCAGCGATTTAATGGTGACTCCTCCTAAGGAAACTGCCAGGCCAAGCAGAGCCTTTGTGCACTTTTTGAAAGGACATCCTTTTCTCCAGGGAAATATAGGTCTATGCCAGGGCTCGTCATGGTTTGGCTGGTGAGGATGATCTCGCCCTGGGCTGGGTGCCTTTGTGCAGCCGGCCAGAGGGTAGGTAGCAGCTCTGTCTTCTAGGTGGGAAAGGACCTACCTTCAAAGCTGGAACAACAGAGACTTCCCAGACTTGTGGCAGTGCTAGGGACTGGGAGGAGGGACGGGCTCTGGTTAGAGCCCCCTTTAAAAATCCTTGATAGCTATGGGTGATCTCTAATCAAAACTATCCCCCCCACACACCCAAATTTAGCTTCCTTTCAGAGGGTGGCACGTCTCTCCATCACCACCACTCCCAACCTGAGTACCCGATGGAATCCCATTGCCTCATTTCACGAATGGGTAAACTGAGGCCAGGGAGAGCGGCCGCTGCTTGCCTGAGGCTGTGGCTGTCGAGGGTTGGGGCAGCTCTGAACCCCGGGTTGTTCGCCTCCCCAGGTGGAGCCCATCGCGATCCCTGGGCTCCGAGGGAGCCGCCTGGCCACCCAGCACATCGGGTGTCCTTGACTGGCCGCCTGGGCAGGCGAGAGGAATACGGGCTGCGCTTGGAGGGGATGCTCAAGTACCTCGGGAGGAGAAGCTTTCTGTTTTGCGGGAGAGGAAATAGAAGCCCTTGGAAGAAGAGACCTCATCCCAGAAAATAAAAGCTTAGGACAGGCTGTAAGGCGTCCCCTGGCGGCGCCTGCCTGCTCTCCGCGTCCCGCGGCCTCTGCGCCCCTGATGGAGCCGGGCCCACCCCGCGCCGCCGCCCTCACTTCCTTGCGAGGATCTGGAATTCCGGGGAGCCCCAGCCTGGCCCCCCGAGCCCAGGACCTCATTGACGGCCAGGAATTCAATAGCAACGGGCCGGGGGAAAGAAAGGAGGGAGCAGAGGGGCTAGAGAGAGAGAGGAAAGGACTGGAGGAGGAGAAGAAATAAAGGAGGCAAAGAAGCAAAGGTCGGAGAGCGGCACACTCTGACATTCATGAACTTCCAGGAAACCGTCTGGGATCTAGACTCCTCCCCCCAACCCCGGATGTTTCTGGTCTGTCCTTGATTGGCCCCATCTATGTTTGTCTTAGTCCCTTTTCTGTTGCTTATAACAGAATACCTGAAACTAGGTAATTTGTAAAGAAAAGAAATTTATTCCTAATAGTTATGCAGGCTTAGAAATCAGGGGTGGAGGGGCTGCTTGTGCGAGGACCTTCCTGCTGGTGGGGACCCTGCAGGGTCCTGAGACTGCACAGGAATCACGTGGCGAGGCGGCTGGGCAGGCTAGTCCCGGCTCAGGACTTCCGCTTCTAATGAAGCTACCAGTCCCGCTCCCATGATAACCCATTAAGTCATTAACCCACGAATGGATTATGACAGGAGCCCTCGTGACCCAATCACCTCTTAAAGGCCTCACCTCTCAATATTGCCACACTGGAGATTAAATTTCTCTCTCTCTCTCTTTCTCTCTCTTTCTCTCTCTCTCTCGTGTGTGTGTGTGTGTGTGTGTGTGTGTATTTGTGTGTGTGTCTGTGTGTCTTTTAAGTTCAACTTCTATTTTAGAGTAAGTGTGTGTGTGTCTTTTAAGTTCAACTTCTATTTTAGAGTCAGGGGTACCTGTGCAGGTTTGTTATATGGGTATAGCTCATGATGCAGAGGTTTGGGGTATGATTGATCCCGTCACCCAGCTAGTGAGCACAGTGCACAATAGGTAGTTTTTCAATCTCTGCACTCTCTGTCCCTCCCCCATTTAGTAGTTCCCAGTGTCTATTTTTCTCATCTTTGTGTCTCTGAGTGCCCAGCATTTGGTGCCCACTTATAAGTGAGAACACACAGCATTTGATTTTCTGTTCCTGCATTATTTCACTTAGGATAATAGCTTCCAGCTGTATCCATGTTGCTGCAAAGGACATGATTTTCTTCTTTATTGTAGCTGCGTAGCATTCCATGGTATATATGTACCACATTTTCTTCATCCAATCCACTGTTGATGGACACATAAGTTGATTCCATGTCTTTGCTATAGTGAATAGTGCTGCAATGAACTTACAAATGTATGTGTCTTTTTGATAGAATAATTTATTTTATTTTGGATAGATACCAGTAATGAGAATGCTGGTTCAAATGGTAGTTCTAAGTTCTTTGAGAAATCTCCAAACTGTTTTCCATGGTGGCTTAACTGATTTACATTCCCACCAACAGTGTATAAACATTCTCTTTTCTCTGCAGCCTCACCAGCATGTTTGTGTGTGTGTGTGTGTGTGTTTACTTTTCAGTGATAGCCATTCTGACTACTATGCGGTGGTATCTCTCAGATGGTAACCACTCAGATGGTTTTGATTGCATTTTTCTGATAATTACTGATGTTGAGCATTTTTTCATGATTGTTTGGCTACTTGTATGTCCTCTTTTGAGAAGTGTCTGTTCACACCTTTTGTCCACTTTTTCTTTTTCCTATAGATGGGATCTTGCTCTGTCACTGGAGTTCAGTGGTGCAAGTATGGCTCACTGTAGCCTCAAACTCTCGACCTCAAGGGATCCTCCCGCCTCAGCCTCCTGAGTAGCTGGGATTACAGTTGTGTGCCACCACATCTAGCTAATTCTTATATTTTTGAAGAGGCAGAGTCTTGCTATGTTGCCAAGGCTGGTCTTAAACTCCTGGACTCAAGCAGTCTTCAACTCCTGGCCTCAAGGAGTCTTCCACGTCAGCTCTCCAAAGTGTTGGGATTACAGGCATGAGCCACTGTGCTCAGCCTTGCCTACTTTTTAATGGGGTTATTTGTGCTTTGTTTGTTGAATTGTTTAAGCTCCTTATAGATTCTGGATCTTAGATCTTTGCCAAATGTATAGTTTGCAAATATTTTCATGCATTCTGTAGGTTGTCTGTTGACTCTGTTGATAGTGTCTTTGCTGTGCAGAAGTTCTTTAGTTTAATTAGGTCCCACTTGCCAACTTTTGTTTTTGTTGCAGTTGCCTTTGTGGACTTAGTCATAAATTCTTTCCCAATGCCAATATCCAGAATGATGTTTCCTAGATTTTCTTTTAGGATTCTAAATAGTTTGAGGTCTTACATTTAAATATTTAATTCATCTTGAGTTACTTTTTGTGTATGGTGAGAAGTAGGGTTCAGTTTCATTCTTCTGCATATAGTTAGCCAGTTATCCCAGCATCATTTATTGAATAGGGAGCTCTTTCCCCATTGATTGTTTTTGTCAACTTTGTCAAAGGTCAGATGGCTGTAGGTTTGCAGGAGATTAAATTTCAACATGAGTTTTGGAGGAGACAAATATTCAAACCATGACAATATTCATTCATTCATTGATTCAATTCAATATCATTGAGTGCCAGGCCTTGTACCAGCTGCTGGGGTGCAGACATGAGCCAAGCAGGCCAATATCTGTCTTTGTGTAGCTTAGACAGACAGATGGTGGTCAAACAAAATCCCAATACAAAATAAACAGAGATGAGTGCTAAGGCAGAAAAGAACAGTCACTCTTGAGCACATAATAGGGGGACATGGAATCATATTTTTGACGGTCAGGGGCCTTGAGGATGAGAAAAAATTCCTTCCTTCCAACTTTTTTATTTTGAAAATTTCAAATCCATAGAAAAGTTGCAAGAATATTACAAGGAATATCTTATACCCATTATCTAGATTTACCATTTACTATTTTGTCACATTTGTTCTCTCTTAATTTTTTTCTGCACCATTTGAGAGAAAGTTGCAGACATCATGACTCTTTACCCCTAAATATTTCAGCATACATATGCTAAGAACAAGGACTTTCTCTAGAACCACAGTGTCTTGTCCAATTAATTTCAGATTAACATACTAGTTGCATCGATATTCAGACTGTTATGGGCTCAACTATGTCTACCCTAACAATTATATGTTGAAGTCCCAACCCCTAGTACCTCAGATTGTGACTATACTTGAAGATAGGGCTTTTTAAAGAATGTAATTAAGGTTAAATGAGGTCACATGGGTGGCCCTAATCCAAAATGACTAGTGTCCTTATAAGAAGAGGAAATTAGACTGGGTGCAGTGGCTCACGCCTGTAATCCCAGCACTTTGGGAGGCCAAGGCAGGTTGATCACTTGAGGTTAGGAGTTCAAGACTAGCCTGGCCAACATGGTAAAACCTCGTCTCTACTAAAAACACAAAAATTACTTGGGAGTGGTGACACACACCTGTAATCCCAGCTACTTAGGAGGCTGAGGCAGGAGAATCACTTGAACCTGGGAGGCGGAGGTTGCAGTAAGCCAAGTTCATGCCACTGCACTCCGGCCTGGGCAACAGAGTGAAACTCTGTCTCAAAAAAAAAGAAAAAAAAAAAAAAAGAGGAAATTAGGACACAGATGTGTGCAGGCATTGAGGGAAGATCATGTGAAGACTCAGTGAAAAGGTGAGAGGAGAGAGGCCTCAGATGAAACCAAACTGCTGACACTTTGATCTTGGACTTCTAGCCTCAAGAACTGTGAGAAAATACATTTCTGCTGTTTAAGCTACCCTGTCTCAGGTATTTTGTTATGGCAGTCCTAGTAGACCATGGACCACACAGTCCACAACCAAATTTTTCTAATTGTCCCAGTAATATTCTTTATACCTATTTTTTAAAATCTGGGAACCACTCAAGGATCACATGTTGCATTTCATTGTCAATCTAGTCTAGAACAGTCTAGAGTTTCCCCATAAATCTAGAACAGTCTTCCCCACATTTTTGTTTATGCTCTGCCCTGCTATTGATGTCTTTGAAGGATCTGGACCAATTTTCTTGTACAATGTCCCACAGTCTAGATTAATCTGATTGTTAGAATCCACTTTAATATTTTTGGCTAGAGTACTTCGTGGTAATGCTGAGTGGATGAGGTAGGCATTGAAAACCAGCAGTGGGCAGTCTGGGCAGAAATGTCAAACACTGCCATGCACAGAGCAGGTACTGTGGAGGAGGCACTGCTGCAGGCATCTTGGGTGTCCTGCATTCATGAAGGGAGGGCAGCGAGAGCCCGTGTATGTGCAGGGGAAGTGCAGGGCTGTAGGAGCACCAAGGGAGTCCAGGGCAGGTGGAAAAAGGAATTTAAGGATGGAAAAGGACAATTGAGGCCAGAATATAGAGATGATGAATGCCAAGTTAAGGCATCTGGTTTTGTGTCTGAGGGCTTGCAGACTCAGGGACATGTTTGTGATCAGAAAGCCCTGAGGGTTTGAATGCCTTGTCCAAATCACACAGGAGTGGCATGGCTCTAACTGGAGGCCAGGACTCTGATTCTTAGTTGTTGTCTACACACTACTGACAGTTTAGCTCACATGTTTATTGCATGGTTAGGATATTGCTTGGGAATCAGTGAGGTCAAGCCCTGAGAAGAGAAAACATAAGACACAGAGTCTGAGGAAAAGAGGTTGGTGGGGGCCGGGAGCAGTGGCTCACGCTGTAATCCCAGCATTTTGGGAGGCCAAGGCAGGCAGATCACTTGAAGTCAGGAGTTGGAGACCAGCCTGACCAACATGGTGAAACCCCACCTCTGGTAACAAAAATAAAAAAATAAAATAAAATAAAATAAATGGCTGGTGGAGTCAGGAAGTCTGTCGATCTCCAGAGCCAAAGTCTAAACTGAGATGCAGTCTATGAAGTATACCATAAGTGCCAAATAACCATTTGCTTTTTTCCTTCCTTTTGTTCTTTTGCAAACTATATTCTCATTGGCTAGTTCATTTCACCTAAATAACACACCTATCCACTGATTGATTAGATGTTCTCATTTGACAGATTTGAAAACCTGAGGCCTGGAGAAGTTCAGAAACTGCACAAAAAAGAGTTAGTGATGGGGCCAGGTGGCATTGCAGATCTCCAAAGCACCCGTGTCTCTTGACATTTCAAATTCCATGACATTCCCTTATCTCTCCCTAATTTGCTGTATGAAAATGGGGTTGAGCAAAAAGATGAAGCAAACAGGAGTCAGGCTCTAGGTTTCCAAAGAGTCTTTTTTGAAGACAGCAAGTCCCCTTGCTTTTCAAACCCATTCGTGAGCACCACAGCAGCCGTGCCAGTGAGGTCCCAGGTTTGGACAATGAGTCTGGCTGAGCACAGGCCTGGAAGGACAAACCAGGGCTCAGTGTGTCATGTGGTAGTCACTGGGTTCTGAGACACATGGGCACCCAGAACCCCTTCCCACAGAGCCAGGGCCAGGGTGACAATGGGCCACTTAGCCAACAGCAGCCTGAGGGAAGAGAAATGATCCCATGGCCGCTGGCCCTGATGGAGGACCAGGCACCTCTGACAGATCCTGTGATACCCTTCGGGGGCTAGGCTCTGTAGGTGGGTCCTGAGGCCCTGAGACTATTGCAGGCAGCCAGGCAGTTCAGGCCTCTGCCAGGGGGAAAGGCTGTGGTGACCACAAAGGCAAGCCCCAGCATCTCAGAGCCAGCCCAGGCCACACACTGTGCTGACCACGACTGAGGTGTTGCATACCTGGTTACATCTCCAGGGTCTAGGATGGACCTTCCAGGAGAGGATACAGAAGGAACACAGGATATCAGACTCGAATCACCTGCTTGGTCAGGTACCCCTGTCACCAACAAAACAAGCCACTTAGTCACAGATTCCCCCAGCTCATTCCCACACTCCCTTTCTTCTTGGAGAGGAGGGACTGCAGCAAGTTTACATCAACCAGGACTTATTGAGGGAACACAGTACCAGCCTCCACCAGTTACTGAGTGAGACCCAATCCCGACATATCGTAATCACAGCACTAAATCTGAAGCTGTCATAATCACAGCACTAAAATGGAGGTCAGTCACACTGAGACTTTGAGGGGTGTGTTGATGGGGAGAAAAGACAAGAGACAAATAATCCCAATATAGTGCCTGGCTCCCAGCAAGAGTTCTGTAAGCTTGAAATGGAATACAGAGAGGAAAAGAAGGGACAGGAGAAGGAGGGAAAGAGGGGGAAGTGAGGAAGGAAGAAGGGAAGGAAAGGGAAGGGAAATTACTAGGTGATAGTGATCTAATTGCAATTTCTTGCAATGCTTTAGGTGTCGACAGGAAACGCTGTGTTCTGATGTAAAATGGCCACACAACACCATACTCTACAAGCGCACATAACTGCAGGCACACTGCTATACGCACAACTGCCCATAGCCACTTCCACCTGGGTAGACAGCCTCACACTATAGTCTCAACTCCCCAATTCTCCACTGGTCTACAGGACTTGTTTAAAAGCACCCCTCCACTCCTGTCCACTCCCCACTCACCCAGGCACTAGGAAGGCCCCCCCACCCCACAGCCTTCATAGCCCACAGCCACTACCACTCCATACTCAGCTCGCACTCAGATGCGCAGCCACACCCCCGGGGGTACAGCCAGACACACAAGCAAGATGCCTTGTCCCCCCAAAGATTGGGAGAAGCTGGAAAGGACAAAAGGGAGGGAGACCAGGAAAGAAGCAGAGGAGACACTCAGCCCAAAACACTAGATGACCTATCAGCCCTGAGCCTGCTTCCCTGAATTGCCAGGAGCAAAGAGAAGAACAATTCCTTATGGGAGCAGGCGTCCTCCTCCTGGAAGAGGCCTTATATATCCAGGTTCCCGAGCAAGCAGATGTCTGAAAAAGTAATCTGACCCTCTGCGTAATCTCAAGGGACACTTCCTAGTTCTGTTATTCTCTGGTTCCTTGGAGAAGGGCAAAAATAATACATATCATCTCATGTTTGAAACACCTTACTGACACTACCATCTTGTTATAACCATGTGTGGTACTTTGAATCCATTACCTCAACTTACGCAACTTGGCTTGTCATTGCATTCTATGCAACCTTGGCTGGGAGAAAAGAGGTCTGGGTTCCAGTTCTCTGGAGGTCATTTAAACTCCTCCTGTGCCAAATTCCTCACCTCTAAAAGGAGAGGACACTCTAGGTGATGCCTGAGGCCCTTCAAGTTCTAATGTCTTAGGCTTCTACCCATCTAGAACAGTGCTTCCAATAGAAATATCATGTGAGCCACATAGATAATTTTAAATTATCTGGTCACCACCTAAAAAAGTTACAAGAAGTACACTTTGGGCAGATCACGAGGTCAGGAGTTCGAGACCAGCCTGGTGAAATCCTGTCTCTACTAAAAATACAAAAATTAGCCAGGCATGGTGGCACGTGCCTGTAGTCCCAGCTACTTGGGAGGCTGAGGCAGAAGAATCGCTTGAACCTAGGAGGCAGAGATTGCCGTGAGCCGAGATCGTGGCCACTGCACTCCAGCCTGGGTGACAGAGCAAGACTCTGTCTCAAAAAAAAAAAAAAAAAAAGAAAAGTAACAAGAAATAGGTAAAAATAATTTTGATAATAGATTTTATTTAACCCCATATATCCAAAATATCAGTATCTCAACCACTAAGCAGTGTTTTAAAAAATCTTTTGTTTTTTTGAGATGGAGTTTCACTCTTGTTGCCCAGGCTGGAGTGCAATGGTGCCATCTTGACTCACTGCAACCTCCACCTCCCAGGTTCAACGGATTCTCCTGCCTCAGCCTCCCAAGTAGCTGGGATTACAGGTACCCGCCAGCAAGCCCGGCTAATTTTTTGTATTTTTATTAGAGACGGGGTTTCACCATGTTGGCCAGGTGGTCTCGAACTCCCGACCTTGGGTGATCCACCCCCTCATTGGCCTCCCAAAGTGCTGAGATTACAGGCATGAGCCACAGGGCCCGGCCTGTTTTAAAAATTATAATGAGATATTTTACATTTTTTTTTCCTTCTACGTCTTCAAAATCCAGTGTGTATTTTATACTTACAGCACATCTCAATTAAGATGCTAAATTTTCACTGGAAATACCTGATCTGTTTTTAGATTTCATAAAATTTGCAGTTGTAAAAGGTATGACCCACATACCTAAATTGTTCCAAATACATTTAAAAATTTTTTCCAATAACTGAATCAAGCATTAGGTTTTCCGCTCTTTTTAGTTGACAAGTAATAATTGTACACATTTATGGGTACAGCATATTTCAATATGCATATTTAGTGTACAATGGCCAAATCAGTGTAATTAGCATATGAATCACCTCCAATATTTATCATTTATTTGTGTTGTGGACATTCAAAATCCTCTCTTCTAGCTTTGTGAAAACATACAATAAATGACAGTTAACCACATTTACCCCACAGTGCTGCAGGACACCAGAACCATTCCTTCTATCTAATATTGGTTTTTAAATTAAACTTGAATTAATATACAATTGTGATCTTCTCTTGCATTAGTCACATTTCAGGGACTTCACTGCTGCACGTGGCTTTCCATAGTGGAGATCGTTGCATGGGACAGTGGGGAGGGGTCCCGTAGGTGTGACCCTTCCCGCCCTGCTCACAGCCCCAACTGACTGCTAGTTCAGAGTGAGAGTGGACAGGTGTCACAGCCAATGTCAAGCCAGGCAACACCTGCTTGGCCACTTCATTGTCTGCGTACCAAGGAGAAGCCAAAGAAGGGCAGGCCTATCTGGTCCGTGGGCACAGTCCCCAGCCCCTTTCCATGGAGCTGCTGCCAACGTTTCCACAGGCAGAGGCCATGTTTCCAGCTCAGACGCAAAGGCATGGGGAGGCGGCAGGCATCTGAGCTTCCTTTTCTTACTCAAAGGAATGCCCACCAGGCAGCCAGCCAGGGCACAGCCCAGACTCTACGTGTCACTTTGGGGATTTGGGCTTTATTAGCACAAGTCAGATGCAGTGTGATAGGGGCGGTGGTAGTGGTGAGCAGGCAGTAGGGACAAAGTTCCAGGGGACGGTGGGGGAAGCATTAGCACTAGCAAACAAGGTCAAGAGAAGGGCATATCTGCTCTACCAAGGGTACAGGGAGAGTTCATAGATTTCAGAAATGTCACTTGGAAACTCACAGCACTGCTTGAGGGGAAGCATCGAAAGACACTGCCAGGACAATCCTTTTATGCCTTCTGGAACTGTGGAGAAACGTTACAACCAGCAAGGGCTTTACACTTTAATTTTTTCTTTTTAATAGAGATACGATTTTGCCATGTTGCCCAGGCTGGTCTTGAACTCTGCGCTCAAGCGATCCACCTGCCTCGACCTCCCAAAGTGCTGGGATTACAGACATGAGCCACTGCGCCTGGCCAGCTTCACGCATATTGTTATAATCTTCATGGACAAATCGAAACTCAAGTAACTTGCCTAAGGCTTTTCATCTACAAAGCTGAAATTTAAATTCAAGTCTATTTGACTCCAAAGGCTGCACCAAAGATTTAATACTAATAACATTTTTATTATTATTATTATTTCAGATGGAGTTTTGCTCTTGTTGCCCAGGCTGGAGTGCCATGGCGTGCTCTCGGCTCACTGCAACCTCCGCCTCCTGGGTTCAAGCGATTCTCCTGCCTCAGCCTCCTGAGTAGCTGGGATTACAGGCATGTGCCACCACACCTGGCTAATTTTGTATTTTTCATAGAGATAGGTTTTCTCCATGTTGGTCAGGCTGGTCTCGAACTTCCGATCTCAGATGATCCACCCACCTCGGCCTCCTAAAGTGCTGGGATTACAGGCGTGAGCCACCACGCCCCGCCAATAGTACCACTGTTAATTAGTTATTAATAATATCTAATAATAACAGGTTATGTTTATTGAATGATGCCATGTGCCTGACACCATGCCAGGTAGTTTATAGACTTGAACTAATTTATACTCACATTTCTGTGAAGTATGATTTCATACCCATCTTACAAATAAGGAAAACTGAGTTTCACAGAGGTCATGTAACTTGTCCAAGGTCTTGAAACTTCTAAGTAATAGAACAGATTCGAGCCTAACTTCCAAGCACATGAGCTTAGCCTTGATGTACTGCCTCTTATGGGAATACTTATGGTGGCAGATGCTGCTGATGTCCCACACTGTATCTTCTTGGTCCACATCTGAGCTCACTACAGCATCCCACCTCAAGTGCCTGCATCTCTGCTTCTCTGCCTGAAGGCTTTCTTGGGCACCTGGGGAGCTGTGGGGGACTTAGCACCTTTGGACATGCATTAGAGTCTGAGAGCTGCTATGACAATGTTCCATAAATGGGTTGGCTTAAAACAACAGAGATTTATTCTCTGACAGTTCTGGAGGCTAGAGGTCTGAAGGCAAGGTTGATACCTTGGTGGTTGATACCAGCAAGGCCACACTTTCTCTGAAGGCTCTTGGGGAAGGTCCTGCCTCACCTCTTCCTGGCTCTTGGGGGTTGCTGAAAGTCCCTGGCAGTCCTTGGCACGTGGCAGCATCCCTCCAATCCTGCCCCCATCTTCACATGGCTGCCTTCCTGCTGTATATCCCTGTTCTTGTGTCTCTTCTCTTCTCAAGGATACCAGTCTTATTGGATTAATGGCTGGCTCTACTCCAGGCTGACCTCAGCCTTTTTTTTTTTCTGTTGAGGCAGAGTCTCGGCTGTGTGGCCCAGGCTGGAGTGCAGTGGCACAATCTCGGCTCACTGCAGCCTCCACCTCCCGGGTTCAAGCAATTCTCCGGCCTCAGCCTCCCGAGTAGCTGGGATTACAGGCCCCGCCACCATGCCTGAGTAGTTTTTGTATTTTTAGTAGAGATGAGGTTTTGCCATATTGGCCAGGCTGGTCTGGAACTCCTGATCTCAAGTGATCCCCCTACCTCGGCCTTCCAAAGTGCTGGGATTACAGGCATGAGCCACTGTGCCCAGCCTGACTTCATCTTAATTAATTACATCTGCAACAACTTTATTTCCAAATAAGGTCACATTCTGAGGTTCCAGAAAGAACATGACTTTTGGGGGCACACTATTCAACCCAGTTCAGGGGGCAGTCTTCAGCCGACGAGGGAGGTGAGGGGGTAGCCAAATGCTCCAGCCACCCCATCCTCTGGTGGCACAATTCAAAGGCGTGTTCCACGTGAATTCCCAGAGGTTCCCCAGTGAGACTGAACCTCAGCTGCCCATAAGAGCCCTGCTCATTAATGTACCCATTATTGACTTTTCTTATTTCCCTGTCTCACTTTCCCTACTTCTTCATTTGGGCTTCCTAGGATCACCACCCAAATAAACTACATGTCCCCAGGTTTTTTTTTTGGGGGGGGGGGCAGGGAATTCAAATGCATGACCTATTTTTGGTTAAAAGTGAAAAGAGATTCTTGTCTTCTGTCCAAGTTGGTCACTTCCCTGCGCCAAAGTGAACAGTAGCCAACATGTCAGGGTGGGAGTTGTATTACAAAATCGAGGGCGATGAAGAAGCAGAAGAAGAAGAAGAAGAGAACCTTGAAGCAAGTGGAGACTATAAATATTCAGGAAGACATAGTTTGATTTTTTTGGTTGATGCCTCCAGGGCTATGTTTGAATCTCAGAGTGAAGTTTTGATTCCTTTTGACATGAGCATCCAGTGTATCCAAAGTGTGTACATCAGTAAGATCATAAGCAGTAAGAAAGATCATAAGCAGTAAGATTATAAGCAGTAAGAAAGATCATAAGTAGTGAGATCATAAGCAGTGAGATCATAAGCAGTAAGATCATAAACAGATCATAAGCAGTGAGATCATAAGCAGTGAGATCATAAGCAGTGAGATCATAAACAGATCATAAGCAGTGAGATCATAAGCAGTGAGGTCATAAACAGTGAGATCATAAGCAGTGAGATCATAAACAGATCATAAGCAATGAGATCATAAGCAGTGATTGAGATCTCTTGGCAGTGGTGTTCTATGGTACCGAGAAAGACAAAAATTCAGTGAATTTTAAAAATATTTACGTCTTACAGGAGTTGGATAATCCAAGTGCAAAACAAATTCTAGAGCTTGACCAGTTTAAGGGGCAGCAGGGACAAAAACGTTTCCAAGACCTGATGGGCCACGGATCTGACTACTCGCTCAGTGAAGTGCTGTGGGTCTGTGCCAGCCTCTTTAGTGATGTCTGGTTGAAGATGAGTCATACGAGGATCATGCTGTTGACCAGTGAAGAAAACCCCCATGGCAATGACAGTGCCAAAGCCAGCCAGGCCAGGACTGAAGCCGGTGATCTCCAAGATACAGGCATCTTCCTTGACTTGATGCACCTGAAGAAACCTGGGGGCTTTGACCTATCCTTGTTCTATAGAGATACCATCAACATAGCCGAGGATGAGGACCTCAGGGTTCACTTTGAGGAATCCAGCAAGCTAGAAGACCTGTTGCCGAAGGTTCACGCCAAGGACACCAGGAAGCAAGCACTCAGCAGGTTAAAGCTGAAGCTCAACAAAGATATAGTGATCTCTGTGGGCATTTGTAATCTGGTCCAAAAGGCTCTTAAGCCTCCTCCAGTAAAGCTCTATCAGGAAACAAATGAACCAGTGAAAACCAAGACCCTGGCCGGGTGCGTTGGCTCACGCCTGTAATCCCAGCACTTTGGGAGGCCGAGGCAGGCGGATCACCTGAGGTCGGGAGTTCAAGACCAGCCTGACCAACATGGAGAAACCCCGTCTTTACTAAAAAAAAAAGACAAAATTAGCCAGTCGTGGTGGTGCATACCTGTAGTCCCAGCTACTCAGAAGGCTGAGGCAGGAGAATCGCTTGAACCCGGGAGGCGAAGGTTGCGGTGAGCCGAGATTGTGCATTGTACTCCAGCCTGGGCAGCAAGAGCGAAACTCTGTCCAAAAAAAAAAAAGAAAAGAAAAACAGAAAAAACAAAGACCCGGACATTTAACACAAATACATGCAGTGTGCTTCTGCCTAGTGATACCAAGAGGTCTCAGATCTTTGGAAGTCATCAGATTATACTGGAAAAAGAGGAAACAGAAGAGCTAAAATGGTTTAATGATCCAGGTTTGATGCTCCTGGGTTTCAAGCCCTTGGTAATGCTGAAGAAGCACCATTACCTGAGGCCCTCCCTGTTGGTGTACCCTGAGGAGTCGCTGGTGATTGGGAGCTCAATCCTGTTCAGTGCTCTGCTCATCAAGTGTCTGGAGAAGGAGGTCATAGCATTGTGCAGATACACGCCCCACAGGAACATTCCCCCTTATTTTGTGGCTTTGGTGCCACAGGAAGAGGAGTTGGATGACTAGAAAATTCAGGTGACTCCTCCAGGTTTCCAGCTGGTCTTTTTACCCTTTGCTGATGATAAAATGAAGGTGTCCTTTATGTATGTATGTATGTATGTATGTATGTATGTATGTATGTATGTATTTATTTATTTATTTATTTTTGAGACGGAGTTTCACTCTTGTTGCCCAGGCTGGAGTACAATGGTGCGATCTCGGCTGACTGCAACCTCTGCCTTCCGGGTTCAAGCAATACTCCTGCCTCAGCCTCCCGAGTAGCTGGGATTACAGATGCCTGCCACCATGCCCAGCTAATTTTTTGTATTTTTAGTAGAGATGGGGTTTCACCATGTTGGCCAGTCTGGTCTTGAACTCCTGACCTCAGGTGATCCGCCCGCCTCTACCTCCCAAAGTGCTGGGATTATAGGCATAAGCCACCGCGCCCGGCGAATATGCCCTTTACTGAAAAGGTCATGGCAACTCCAGAGTAGATGGACAAGATGAAGGCTATCATTCAGAAGCTCCGCTTCACATACAGAAGTGACAGCTTTGAGAATCCCGTGCTGCAGCAGTAAGTACTTCAGGAACCTGGAGGCCTTGGCCTTGGATTTGATGGAGCCTGAACAAGCAGTAGATCTGACATTGCCCAAGGTTGAAGCAATGAATAAAAGACTGGGATCCCTGGTGGATGAGTTTAAGGAGCTTGTCTACCCGCCAGATTACAATCCTGAAGGGAAAGTTACCAAGAGAAAGCACAATAACGAAGGTTCTGGGAGCAAAAGGCCCAAGGTGGAGTATTGAGAAGAGAAGCTGAAGACCCACATCAGCAAGGTCATGCTGGGCAAGTTCACTGTGCCCATGCTGAAAGAGGCCTGCCGGGTGGATGGGCTGAAGAGTGTGCTAAAGAAGCAGGACCTGCTGAAAGCCCTCACCACGCACTTCCAGGACTGACCAGAGGCCGCGCGTGCAGCCGCCCTTCCACACCATTCCCAGGCTGCCTGGCCTTGTTCTCAGCCAGTTAAAATGTGTTTCTTCTGAGCTAGGAAGGACTTTAAGTTTTTGAGGCTTTCTGTTGCCATGGTGATGGTGTAGCCCTCCCACTTTGCTGTTCCTTACTTTACTGCCTGAATAAAGAGCCTTAAGTTTGTACTATTAAAAAAAAAAAGTTAAAAGAAAATGAGCCTCAGGCCTTTTGTCTGTTCAGTATGCCTTATCACAGGCAGCCAGGAGGCTTTTCTAGGGTCCTGTAATGATGGTTTTTGCTCCATGTTGGTTTAAGCAGGTTTCTGGGGGCCCACAACACCTTGGATGAGTAGGTGGGAGCCTGCTAGGGAGGGCTGGGTTGGGAAAGTGGGATATATACCTGTAGCTGGTGCTAGGCCTGTGGCTTTATGTAGAATGACTTTGCTGACTTGTGTCATTGAGGTTGACGATTTTATCAGTTATTCACAAGAAATAGTATAAACGTCAAGAAGTGTTTCTCAAACCAAGGGAATCCAATATGATAGCAACTGAGGGAAGATCTAGGGAAGGTGGAACATAGCGTGGTGATAATGTCAATTGGGAATTTCTATTATCTAATATTCATATTATGCCATATCATCTATAGCATCCACCAGCTCTGTGGTTTTGTTCACAATGGGCTCATCCATCACCTAGTTCAACATTTCTCAAATGTATCTTGCCAGATGCTCCTGAGAAAAAAGTTTCTGTGATCCAATCACGTGGATGAATGCTGATTACTATTCACTCTTTTTGAAGAGGCACAGTCCATATTAATATATTAAAAGTTTTGAAAATTTTGCTGTTGAAATTCAAATCCAGTTTAGCATTGCTTCCCATACTTATTTTGCTATGGAATCTCTTCCTCATGTAATACCTATTTAATCTATCATAGAGCTGGTATTCCACAGAATCCACTCTGGGAAACCCCAATCTATTTAACTAGTGTGGGTGCAAAAATGTCTTCTGCAGCCCACAGGACTTCCTTTGCAGAGTGTGCCAGGGCACAACTGTCCTTTTTTGTCCACACCTCACCCCCAATCTCCAACCTCCCTTCCTCCTTTTTGCTTTTTTCTCCATTTGGGTTTAGGTCACATGGATTCTTGGCTGTGGGCTAACTCCTCCACTGCCATTGCCTTGACACTTAAGTCCTCTTATCTAAGTCCTGCTTGGGGACCTTGGTCCAGCGGGGGTTCGGAGCGGCTCCCTCATCCCTATCTCTTCCAGGTACTAAAAGGGTCTGGGGACCCTCCAGGAGACAGACATCTACAAGGAAATATTCTATCACCAAGGAGCATCCACAAGCAGCCAGCATGATTCAGATCCTCCTACTTGGCTAGGGACACTGGAACTACTTTCCAAACGTGGGGTCTGTTGTGGGTTTAATTGTTTCCCCCCAAAATTTGTAGATGTAAGTCCTTACCCCAGTACCTCAGAATGTGACCTTCTTCAGAAACATAGTTGTTGCAGACATAAGTGATTAAGATGAGATCATACTGGAGTAGAGTGGGCCCCTAATCCAGTATGACTGGTGTCCTTATGAAAAGGGGGAATTTGGAGACAGGCGCGCACATGGGGAAAGCACCACATGAAGACGGGAGCAGTGCCTCCACTACCCAGGAACTACCAGAAGCCAGGAGTGTGGCTTGGAACAGATTTTTCCTTAGTGCCTCAGAGGTAGCACAGCCCCGACAGCAGCTTGGTCTCAGACTTCCAGCCCCCTGAATGTGAGAGAATCAATTTCTGTTGTGTAAGCCACTCTGTGTGTTGTACTTTGTCACTGCAGCCCTGGCACACTCGTCCATGGGGGAGAAGTCTCTGCTTCTTCTCCTCTGGATTCACCAGCAGTGGTTCCTGACCCAGCTCCCTCACAGTGGGAGGAGGTGGAGATATTGGAGCTGATGTGCAGAGCCTCCCCAGTCCCAGGCCCTCTCTTTGTTAGGACGTGATCAGTTCTCATGGCACCCTGGTGGCTGTGTGGATAGACTCAGGACCCCTCTTCTGGCAGAAGTGTTTGTGTCCACTTCTTGAGTTCCACAGTGTCTCTGACCTCTGATGATCATAGTCAGTGGGAGTGGTACTCCCAGCTTCCCTCTCAGGCCCCATGCTCAGACTGACCCCTGACCAAGCAGTGAGGATGTCACCTGGCTGGGAAAGCATCACTGACAGGGACAAGCCAAAGTCCTACCCAGAGGCAGAACGTGAGATCCCGACCCCTTTGGGACGCAGTCAAAGCTACAGGCCTTCCCCGCCACTCAATCATGCTGCTTCTTCTGCATTCTGATTTGTTGCCGTGGAGAGAAGCAGGATGCGGCCCCCTGTATCCAACACCAACAAAACCACTGTATTTGATAATTATTAATCAGATAGACAAGGGGTTTCTTAATCTTGGCACTATTGACACTTGAGCCAGATAATTCTCCTTGTAGGGGCTGTCCTGTGCACTGTAGATGTTCAGCAGCATGCCTGCCTCCTACCCACGAGATGCCAGTAGCAACCCCCGCAACCAAAAATGTCTCCAGACATTTCCAAATATCCCCTTGGGGGCAAAATCTCACACAGTTGAGACCCACTGAAATAGATCAACCTCAATACACTGATGCTACTCTGAGGTCCTTCCAATCCAAGGTCATTTCATTATTTCAATGATTTTAGGTTTTTAAAATGTATTTACTATTGCCTGATCTCAATTATACAAGAAAAACCTACAAAAAAAAAAAAGACTAGAAGAAAATGTTAATGCATGGTTGTCTCTGAACGCTGGGTAGTGAATTTGTGAGTGAATTGTCTTTCTATTTTTCTGAATGTTTCTTTTATTTGCTATAGTAAACATGTATTAGCTTCATACTTGAAAATAATCTATTTGACTAGTGACCTAGGTATTTTCATGTTAAATGCAATAATAAGACCCTATTGCACACAGGATTAAAAAACTGGTTGAGTATAACCAAAGCAAAGTGATAAAGGAGAAAGAGGCACAGTTTAAATCCTGGCACTTCTACTCACTTAACTAGCCATGGGCATGCTGTTAATATCTGCCCTGCTAGGCCGAGCCAAGGCTGAGTGTGGGAATATTTGTAAAGCATCTAGAATAGTAGGGGTTCAATACATGGTGGCTCCCACAGTTATTAGGCTCCCTTCTGGTTCAAGACTCGAGGGCCCTCTTCATCCTGTGCCTGTGGTACTGCAAAGTCCTCTCCATACAGAGTTACCAGCATGGATGTGGAAAGCCCAGGAAAGCCTTCCTGGGTAAGTGGGTCCTTTTTCCCAACCCTTCCAGACTCAGGGACTCTTCTAGAAGAAGAATAATGGCAATTATCATTTATAGTATTATTATTTTATCCCACAGTTTTCACAGATGGCCCTTCTTCTTCTCAAACACCCTATGAGGTAGGAATAATAATCCTCTTTTCAGAGATGGAAAACCAAGCTCAGAGAGGTTATGCAACTTCTCCAAGGCTGCACAGCTGGTAAGCAACAAGAGCCAGCATCAAATAGTCCAACCCCCTCCAATAAGCAATAAAATTGAAGCTCAGAGAATGAAGTGACTTGTACCCAAAGTCACCCAGGTAATAATGTCTCAAAGAAGAGCCAGGCTCATTTCCACCTTCACAGCACATGCACAGGCAGCTCCGATTTGAGGGAGAAGAGAGAGGATGCCAATTTCGCTAAACAACATCACAGTTTAGAAAATAAAATTTGGAGCCAGACAGCCCGAGTTCAAATTCTAGTTCTATCCCTTGCCCCAGCTGTGTTATTCCGAGCAAACTACTTCAAGTCTCTGAATTTTCATTTCTTCATCTCCAAGAAGAAAATAAGATATTTAATAACAAATAATCCACATACGCACTTAGAATATAATAAGCAGTAGAAAAACATTAGGTGTTAACAAATTTTGCACAATGAGCTACTAAGAAATTAGGCAGTGACTAAATCTTTTGTTCCTTTTACTGCCAAAAAGCATTTTTCCCATGATTTAAAGTAAACCACTATCACTGTGAAAAATTTGAAAAACAGGGATAAGTATAAAGGGAACAATAACAATCACCTGTAATGGCAACTAATTAAAAACAACCACAAAAAGCTCTTTACTTTGGGAAATCTCAAACATATAAAAAGGAAAAACGGATAGTATAGGGAACCTCCATATTCCCATCACTCAGCTTCTTTAAATACTAACTTTTGGCCAATCTTATTTCATTTATAGCCCCATCTGCCTCTCTCCCATTTCTACCTTCAATCTTTTGTGGCAAATCCCAGACATTATATAATTTCATTTCCAGATATTTCAGCATACATCTCTGAAATATACAGATTCTCTTTTCTTAAATTATAATTCCAATATTATACCTTTTATAATTAATAATGTTTAATATTATCATATTACCAGGTCCAAATTTCCCCTAATTGTCTCATAAATATTAGTTTGTTTGAATTGGGACCCAAATTGCATCCACATGTTGGATTGGTTCAGGTTTCTCAAATTTCTTTTAATCTATAGATTCCTCCTCCATCTCTTCTTTTCTCCTTGTAATTCATTTGTTTAGGAAATTGAATCATTTGTCCTATAGAGTTTCCATAGCCTGGATTTTGCTGATTGCATCCCTATAGTATTAGTTCACATATTCCCTGGACTGTGTGTTTCTTGTAAATTAGAAGTTCTATGTCAAGAATACATTATAGATGATATGGTGGACTTCCACTGGGACACATGTAATGTCTGTCTCTTAATCTCTCACTTTGAGAAGTGAACAGCCTTTGATGATCATAGCCCAGATCCACAAATTTCATCAGGGGTTACAAAAGAGTGGTGTTTTAAACCTATCAGTACTTTCCATGTATTAGCTAGAATGTTTCTACAAAGAAAAACTTACCTCATTGTGAGATATAGTTCACCTAGGAAAAGCAAAGTAAATGCTTATTTATTTATTTTTATTTTTTTTTTTTTGAGACAAGGTCTCACTCTCTTTCCCAGGCTGGAGTGCAGTGGTACCATCATGGCTCACTGCAGCCTCAACCTCCCAGGCTCAAGCAATCCTCCCACTTCAGCCTCCTAAGTAGCTGGGACCACAGGCGCATGCCACCATGCCCAGCTAATTTTTTTTTTTTGTAGAGACAAGCTCTCACTATGTTGCTCAGCCTGGTCTCAAGCTCCTGGGCTCAAGTGATCCTCCCGAGCCACTGAGCCCAGCAATACTTGATTTTTTGTGGCCAACTTTCAAAATAAAGATGCTTGGCATCATCCAAAGTGACCAATGAGTTTTGTTGTTGTTTTGTTTTGTTTTTGTGTCATTATCAGTTGATAGTTATATTATTAACTCAGAAACATTAAACATAGCTTACATGTTTTAGTCCACTGTAGAATAAATTATTAAAACTCAAATTATCTGAAGTTTTTCTTCTTTTTCTTTGTTATTAAGTAGTATCGGGATTAGTTGATCTTTAGAGGTCTGCTGGAATTTTCCTGAGAAACTGTTAGGGCCTGGTGCTTTTTGTTGGTGAGCTCTTCATTTCTTCTATGGTAATTGGTCTGTTAAGACTTTGTGTCTCTACTGAGACCAATTTAGGTAAGTTGCATTATTCTAGAAAATTATCCATTTCATCTAAGTTTTCAAATATTTTGCATAGAGTTGAAAAAAACAGTCTCTTATGTTTTTAGTTTGGATTTCCTCTGCTTTGATGGTCCTACCCATCTACCCACACACAGTATTTCTAATCTTGTGTGTCCATGCTTCCTCTCATTTATCTTCTTGACCAGTTTAGTTGGTGCTTTGTATATTTTGTTGATTGTTTCAGCCTTAGGTTTATTTTTAAGTTCTACTTTCTAGTTTATTAATTTTTGCTTTCATCTTTATTAATTCCTTCCTTCTAGATTATTTTGGCGCACTCTGTGGTTCTTTTCTTGCTTTTTGAATGGGGCATTTAGTTCACTTATTTTCATTTTTACTGATATAGATATTTAATGCTAAACTTTTTCCTTTATTAATTGCATTAGTTGAATAGCCTAGACTTGATTATTTGTGTTTCCATTATCATTCTTTTCCAGAAATTCTATAATTTCAAGTTGTCCTTCTATCTCTAACAGCTGCTTAGTAACATGCTTTTTCCTAATTTTCAGATACAGTAGTCTTTTCAGTTTTTTTTTTTCCTTTGGTCTCTTTGGTTTTCTAATTTTGTTTATGCTTTGGTTTTTGTGGTTTTGTTTTGTTTTTGTATTATTACCAGTTGGTATCTATATTATAATCTCAATGAACATGAACATAGTTAACATGTTTTAGTCTATTGTAGAGGAAATTATTAATCCTGTATTTGGTTAAGCATTAATAGTTTTGGTTTTTAAATTTTGTTTATAATTATTAATTTTATTGTATTGTGATCAGAGAGTATTCTCTTTGTTCTTTGAAATTTAATGAGGTTTTCCTTATGGCCCAAAGTGTAGTCATTTGAGAAGGTGTTTTTGCCACTATCGGGGTCCAGGTTTCTACATACATCTATAAGATCTACCTTATTGGTTACGTTTGTATCTCCTGCATCCTTATTGTCCACTTGATCTCTCTTGGATCGACAGACATGGATTAAAATCACCAATTATTTGGGTTTCCATTTCCCCTGCATCTTTAGTTGTTAGGTGCTTCAATGTTAATAACTTAGATATCTTCAATGTGAATTGTTACCTTTAGTATTTTAAAGTCTCCTTCTTGCCTTCTTTAGTGCTTTTTGGTTTAAATTCCATCTTGTCAGATATCAAAATTGTAACTGCTTTTAAGTTTTAATTTGCATTTGTTTTAATATCTTTTTCTTTCTTTTTTTTTTAACCTTTCAGGACCTTTTGTTTTAGGTGTTCCTCTTGTGTAGAGCAGTGTTAAATTTTGCTATATTAGCCAATGTGGAAGTCTCTTTTTTAGTAAGTAAATTAAGCCTATTTACATTTATTGATATTATTGATACGTTTGACCTTGCTCTATCATCTTATTTTATCTTATTACTCACTTCGAATATACTTTTTTATCCTTGAAACTTTTCTTCCAGCCTGTAAGCCCTGCACTGGGCAAAGTTCCATGTAACTCGCTTTTCTTTCCACCATCCTTCATGCTGTTTTTGATGCTGTTTTCTAGTTCACACCGATCATATATCCATCTTGTGATCCTAAAGCTTGGAAACCTCAGCCTGTTAAAACACTTAGAGTCAAAGCATTAGTCTGTGGCAGTGTGTTCCATCACGCATGAAGGAGTTGTTTAGAGAGACTCACCCAGGCTCGCTTGACATAGGAATGAACCCGGAGTTTGGAAATTAAAAGACAAAGGGTGTTAGGAGAGGAGAGAAATGCTTCTGGGAGCGTTTCCCCTTACTTAATGAATTACTAGGAGATTTGTGGCTACACAGCCCGTCCGGGTAAGTCTTTCAGCATGTGGACCCAGGAGTGTCATGGGCTTGCTCCACTATATCCTCGCTGCCCTTTCCGTGAACTGAGACACTTCCTGTCACCAGTTTATTTTCACTTCTCTCCTGGCAGCTGGCCACTGCAATCGGCATGCATTTGAAATCATTTGCTACTTACTTGAGAATTCACACTAGGGAGAAAGGGAAGAAAATAACCATTCCTGGGGACACCACAAAAGTCAACATTGACGAAAACTCATTTCCACTTTTTTTTTTCTTTTTTTTTGCTACCCAAATGACTGTGGATTAAGAGACCCAGAGAATGCCAAATAAACTGTAGGATAAGGAAAGAAAAGTTCAAGTCAGTTGCAGGGGTGCCTTAATGAAGCTGCAATCCCTTTGCTAGCCTCGTGCAAGCCAGTCGGCTCCGCGGTCTATCACCCTCCCTCTTGGTGTTCAGCGCCAGACTCATCCGCTCCAGGCAGAAGTTGCACATGTCGGGATTTTCTTGGGATTTTTCTGAAGAGCTTTGATTTGGTCTCAGATGTGTGGGTTTTGTTGTTTGTAAACTAGAAACATAGGAAGTTGAAACTGAGAGGAAACCTCAGAGGAAGGCAGTATCACAGCAAGAGCTTTGGTTTAAATAGTCTCGGATTCAAATCATAGCTCTGACACTGTGTGACCTCTCTGAGCCTCAGTTTCCCCATCCAAAGGATGAAAAATTTAACACAGGGTTTTTGCAAGTCTTAAATGAGTTAAGTCAGTGATCCTCAGGTCAGCAGCATCAGTATCACCTGGGAACTTGTTAGAGATGCAAATTATCAGGCCTCACCCCAGGCCCACTGAATCAGAAGCTCAAAAGGTGGGCTTTGCAACCTGTGGCTGAAAAAGCTCTCCAGGTGATTCTAATGCGTTTGATAACCACTGGTGTAACTAAAGTGTCTAGCACAGAGTTGGCAACATAGTAAGTCTTAGATAAATGGTAGCTCTTTGCATTGTCATTATTTAGAGCTCAGCTCAATCCTGTGTTTATGGCTGGATCAACAGGGGCCCAGGGAGGTAGCAGTTTGCTCAAGATCACAGTGAATTAGTTGAATTAGTGGCACAGCTGGGATTGAACCCATATCTCCTGGTTCCTTCCTGTCTCTTTCTCGCCCTCTTAAAAAAATTTACAATGATGAGCCAATGTGTCTTCTTCACAGTAAGTTTGGGAAATAGGGAAAACAGGTCAAATAAAACTAAAACTTACCTACAACCCTAACCTTCCCCTCCCAAGAGACAGCCATAGTTGACTTCTGTATGTTTTCTTCTGTATTTTTAATGCACATAGATATAGGTATACAATGTAATAGTTATATATTATACATGTATATCATACGTATTGTCATTCATATAATACATATAAGGGTGTGTGTGTGTGTTTAGTAACACAAAATTGGGATCACACTGAGTAAATTGATTTAAAAGTCAAATACTACTAGGTTTATAATTTTTAAAATAACTCCATCTCTCCCCACTCCCAATTCTTGTTCCCAGAGGTAACTACTTACTGTCTTTTCAACTATTTCTTATATTTTACTCCATTTTTATAAATAACAGCTTATTGTACTTTCATGATTTTTTCATATTATCTATTAACTCTCAACTATGGAGAATGAGGATTTAGGTACTGCCTAATTTCTTAGTAGTAGCTCATTGTGCAAAGCTTGGTAACACCTAATGTTTGCTGAGTACTCATTATATGGCAGGTATATTCTAAGTGCAAATGCAGATTATTTGTCCTTAAACATATTCTTTTCTTCTTGTAGATGAGAAAATGGAAGCCCAGAGACTTAAGTAGTTTGCTCAGAATAACATACACTATCCCCTCAAAATGCATGCAAACACTATAGTGGACATATTTTGAAGTACCTCATCTTATTTATTTATTTATTTATTTATTTATTTATTTATTTATTTTGAGATGGAGTTTTGCTCTTGTTGCCCAGGCTGGAGTGCAATGGTGCGATCTCAGTTCACCACAACCTCTGCCTCCCGGGTTCAAGCAATTCTCCTGCCTCAGCCTCCCGAGTAGCTGGGATTACAGGCATATGCCACCATGCCCGGCTAGAAGTACCTCATTTTACATTGACTCCTTTAACTCCCTCTCATCTACCCATTATGATGAGTTCCCAAAAGCCATCAAAGTCCTTACCCTAGGAATCTGGAATTGGAATGGAGAAAGAGTTAGAATTTCAGCCTGTCTGGAATTGTCATGTGTGTGCATTTGGGCTCTGTGGGTAACTCTCTGCATTTGCCCCATAGACTAAATATCAGAGAGATCTGGTATGCAGTGAGAATGACACAGAGGTCCAGAGAGAAGCAGAGATCCATGAAACAAGAAGATTTGTGCAGACTTCCCACTTCCCAACTCCAATCCCCCATGAAGCTTGGCTCATTCCTACTGTTTAATGTAGTAGAATGTCCCTGAATCTCAATAACAAGTTGTCTATCTTTGCTTTAAAAGTTCAAGTGTGTTTCTGTTTCTTGCCCCCAAACAAGCTCTAATGATGATATGATCATACATAACAGTCCCAGCTTAAGAACCCCTGCCTTAGGCACAAGAGCAGGCACAGAGTTGATAGGAAATTGGGTATATCCCCATTCACCAAGTTGCAGTATAAGGGATAATTAGATTGGAAAACAGGACCATGAGAAATGGAGAGGAGGGAAACATTTTGCAGCAGCATCGTGTGGACGGATGAGATCTCCATTCAGCGCTTAGTAGGACCAGAAATCCCAGAAGCAGTTACAGATGACTGAGACAAGGCCATGTGGAAATGTAGGATACGAGTATGGTTTGGGAGGTGTCTTGGATTCAAAAAGAGAAATTTGGAGCTGTTGCAGCTCTTGTGATCTAGCTGGTTGGGAAAAATCAGAGAATAACTCTAAGTTTCCATTTCTTGTGAATCTATTGATTCTTCCTTAAAGATCAAGCCGGCTTTGTGCAACCTAATAAAATGAGCTCATTCCTGGTCCAGTCCAAGTCAGGAGCTGCTAGCACTGAAACAACAACCCAAAAAATAATTAGACAATTTTTATCCCTCACTCCTCCCAAGTTCTCCTGACACTCTCCAAATTCCCATTCTGAGAAGGCAACTATTTTATTTATTTATTTATTTATTTATTTATTTATTTATTTATGTCTATATTATTTGTTGCATAGCAAATCACCCCAAGACTTAGTGGCTTAAAACAACTATTTATGATCTCTATAGCTTCTATAGGCCAGAAATTTGGAAGTGGCTCAGCTGGCCAGTTCTGGCTTGGGGTCTCTCATGAGGCTACAGTCAAATGTTGGCTGGGGCTGCAACATCCAAAGGCTGTACGAAGGTTGGAGAATCCAGTTCCAAGGTAGCTCACTCATGTGGTTTGCAAGTTGATGCTGGTTGTCGGCAAGAGGCCTCAGTTCCTCTCCTCACGCACTTCTCCACAGGGCTGCTTGAGTGTCCTTATGCCATGGTAGCTGGCCTTCCCGAGTGTGCATTTCAAATGTTAGAGAGAGCCAGGTGGAAACTGTAACTTTTTAATGACGGGCTTGGAAGCCACATGGCATTACTTCTGCCACATTCTATAACATTCTTTTTTTTTTTTTTTTTTTTTTTTGAGATGGAGTCTCACTCTTGTTGCCCAGGCTGCAGTGCAGTGGCGCGATCTTGGCTTACTGCAACCTTCACCTCCCAGGTTCAAGCAATTCTCTTGCCTCAGCCTCCCAAGTAGCTGGGACTACAGGCGCCCGCCACCACGCCCAGCTAATTTTTGTATTTTTAGTAGAGACGGCGTTTCACCATGTTGGCCAGGCTGGTCTCAAACTCCTGTCCTCAGGTGATCCCCCCACCTTGGCCTCCCAAGGTGTTGGGATTACAGGCGTGAGCCACCGCGCCTGGCCAACATCCTATGTTATAAGTGACTCACCAATGGCCCACATTCAAGGGGAATGGAATTAAACTCTACCTTCTGAAGGAAGGTGTGTCAAAGAATTTGAAGACTTACGTTAAAATCACCACAGTAACCAACATACCTGTTTCCATGGAAATAGAGGGAAAACTATTATGGTTCTTTAACATTTGAATACCTACAATCAGGGAGGGCTAATAGGATTCAGATGGTGTGCCAATTCCCACCTGTTCCAAGTGGCTTCCAGGGGTACTGTACTGCAAAATATTCTGAGGGCAAACCCAAGTTCAGGAAAGAGTAGTGCCATGGTTCATTTGCCATGTCTGGCATCACAAACCCTATACATCCCTACACCAGAGTAGGGAGTGCTGGCACATGAGCAGGTGCTTAGCCCTGTGATTTCTGTGGCAGGTGCTTAGCCCTGTGATAGGGACAAATATGAATAAGACACAGGCCTAGCTCTCCAATTGTTTACAATCTATTTATTGAAGACTATGATGAACATAGTGAGCTACTCACTAAATTCCAGTCCTCCCTTTGTTTCATAGTAATAAAACTATAGCTAGACACATGGGTACCCAGTGGATACATGTCCTAGTTTCCTGTAGAGTTAGCTATGGACATGTGACTAAGTTTTCTCCAAGGTAAGTAGAAGTGATAGATGCCACTTCTGCTCTGGTGCCTCAACACTGGCTACACCTAGGAGATGGTAAAGAAAAAACATGAAAGAACTAACGTCCCTGAATGACTATGTGGACTATAGACACCAGCCAATCTGAAACCTGCTTCCTAAATTTTTACATGAGAGAGAAATACATGTCTCTGTTCTTTAAGCAACTGGTCTTGGAGATCTCCTTCTTGTAGCAATTAATACAACAAAGACAAATGAGACATATAATAAACACTGCAAAGTCTTCATACAGTATAAGATAATCACACAAAAGACATCATAACCTCATGTAAGGACCAAATGAGTCATACTGAATATTGATGGTACAAATTTAATAGCAATAGAACCTAATTGTAAATAGTAACTACTCGTAGAATTGTGAAAGTTAAATGAGATAATATCTGTGAAGTGCTTTGGATAGTGTATAGAATAATGTAAATGCTCAATAAATTTCAGGATGTTGTTCATATAAATTCAGTTATAAACACTGGTGGGGTGTGTTTTGGCACAAAGTGTATATAACAAGAATCAGACATTTTTGTACTTAAACACAATTCTGTCCCGTTATTTCATTTGTTTTCTGGGGCAGGTCTATTCCTTGCCCATTAATCTGTTTATCTGATATGAAACCAGGACGATGTCTGAGGCAAGAAAGCTAATGTACAGCACAGATGTGGCCTTGGTCTCTAAGGAATTCATCGCAGTCGCAGGAGAGATGAGTGAAAGCCTGTTCTTGACATTGAAAAACTAAAACCATGGAAGGAATTTAAAGCATTAGAAGTAAAAGCAGTAATTCTGTGTCTGAGCCAAGGCAGTCTAAGTATTGGGTGTGTATTAACGTTCATGAGCGGAGCTGCTGTATAACCAGTAATTTTTTTCAGGAAGATATGCACTTAGTGGAGAAGCACACAGTGCACAAATATATGATAGCAGAGAGTGCCCCTTCCCTGCTTCTCGAAGATCCCCCAGGAAGAAGACTACAATGCAATTATCAGGAATTATATACTTGGTTCTACCTCAGCATTAGGAAGAAAGGTACCTTTTACCTTGTTCCTTCTGTGTGTTCTTTTGAGGCGGGGGACTCGGACAGTCACTGGACTAATGTGTGAGAAATCGAGAGGAAGGTTGGAGGTCACGGCCGTGGGAAATTAGATGGAATATGTGGTGAGTTCCTCCTCTCACTGAGCTTACAGTCTTATGGGAAAGACAGACGCTCACCCAGGAAAAGACAGAAGGTACAAATTATACGCCCACAGCTAACGAATGGTTAAATCTCACAGCCCGGCCTGAATGTTACAGGAGGCAGAGAAAGGCTCATGCATTGTGAACTAGATTAGACCCATTAAATATCAGAGATGGAAGGCACCAGTGGCTTGGTATTGGTTTTCTTCTTGCAGTTGGTAATAGCTTATTAGTCTAATTCCTGCTTGTATTATATAACAATGTACATTCCAGAGCCAGGTAGAGAAAAAAATTTACCATGGATCATTTTTGGTCTGGCTGATAAGAAAAGGAAGAGGGGCTTATAAGAGAAAGCAAAGAGGAACTTTTGTGTCTCTTCTGGTGCAATCCCTCAAAAAACACCCCCAACCCATCCCACACCTCCACTCCAGCCTTGGGTTGATTCTATTCTAGTTTCTATTCAAAGGGAATCAAATGAACCTATTTAATGTGTCACATGGTGTTCCAATATATTTGTTTTTACTTGTATATACCCTTTCACAGGACTTCTCTCTGGGATTTGAAACTTTCAGTGCTCCCTTCCATTCCAATGATGACTTTGTCTTTTGAAAGTCTAAGAAATATCCCTTCAGCTGGATTTGAGATGTGAGGGAGTCAAGTTGGGGTAAAAAAAAATTTTTTAGCTTAAAAAAATTCTCAGACATTTTTTGCTAAGCCATAAATCAACAGTGGTTGAATTAAAACCGATCAAGCTTGGCTTGGGTTTAGACCTCCATGAGGTCTCTGGCTAAGCTGGAAGGGGAAAAAAATAAGTTAATACTAAAAAAAAAAAAAAAAAAAAAAAAAAAAAAAAAAAAAAACTCCTGTGCATGTCCAGTTGAAAGAGCAAATTCCACTTAATGAGAATTGGCCCTTTTAATCACCACAACAAATGTATCTACATAGCATTTCTTCATGTTGGCCCCAAACCTGGTTTTCTGTTCTTTTCTTTACGCATGGACCAAGACTGATAGAGAAGAAAATGGAACTTGCTTCGAGAATCCAGAGCCCCTCTTTCAGAAACTGTGGCTCACCCAGGGAATTGGTATCTAATCTGTAATATCAACTTCAGTGAGAACATAAATTGGTTAGCTCCTTGGTCTCTGGCTTCAAGGAGCATCTTACAGACAGGGCGTCAAAATGGTCCACTCCCCAAGACAGAGTGTCTGGGCTGGATGCTGGAAGGAGTCTTCATAGCATCCTGGCCCTCTCTCTTTCTCCTCAATGGGTCAAATCTAACAGAAACATCTTTGTTTATAAGGCCAAAAACTAAGAAGAAAGTCATTAGAAAGTCACCTGTGATTTTTCAGAGGCGGCGTCTGCATAGAACCATGGTCTCGACTGTTTTGATTGCAAATCTTTTGGGCATTTCTCTGAAAAACAACATAAAAGAGATTTCCAGAGCCATTGAATTTTTGAGGATACGTATTACTTCCCAGGCACTACAAGCATTTGATTCTGTGGGTCCCCAATGTTGGAACTTGTACAACTTATGTAATGTAATCATTTTATAATTGCATGTGGGTTTTATTCATGGTTTCTTTCTTTCTATTTTTTTGTAATTTTATTATCCATGTTTAATGTTTGGGAACATATCTCAAAAGTAGCCCCACCCCTACCCCGACCTCAAGTTCTAACCATCAGTTGATCTGCCTTGCTTTATTTTTGGTTAACATAATGAGCAAAACAGTACTTTCATGGACTATTTGGACTATTTAAGTCCTGGAAAGCTAAAACTCAGAGAGATATCTTGCAAATGTTTATATAATACAGAAAAATATCTGTTAGGCTTAAAAATCTCTAGTTAATTCACTTATCAAACATAACTGTAATAACATCACATAAAGAAAATGAAAAAGTTAAAGTACCAAGAAGATATACTAGGTCTCTGACCTTGACTGTGAACTTATTGCTTTGGCTCGTTTAAGCAGAATTTCAAATGGAGAGGTCCTTAAAAGCACGTTAACACTATTTTTTATTTATTTATTTTTTTTGTGAGACGGAGTTTCACTCTTGTTGCCCAGGTGGAGTGCAATGGCGCAATCTTGGCTTACCACAACCTCCACCTCCTGGAATCAAGTGATTCTCCTGCCTCAGCCTCCAGAGTAGCTGGGATTATAGGCACATGCCACAATGCCCGGCTAATTATTTTTATTTTTAGGACAGACAGGGTTTCTCCATGTTGGTCAGGCTGGTCTCGAACTCCTGACCTCAGGTGATTCGCCTGCCTCGGCCTCCCAAAGTGTTGAGATTACAGGCATGAGCCACCATGCCCGGCCACATTAACACTATTTAGCTGCCTATAAGGTGGCTAAAAATCACAATGTCTTTGATGTACTTGCTAATTCTTTCTAGGTTCTCAGGCATCAAATCTCTGCTAACTTTCTTTTTCTGAAACAGCCTCAACAAGTCCAGAAGCAACCCTCTCTTACTCTTTTTTTTGCTGTATCTTCTCTATCCTTTGTAGCATAAGCCTATGTCCTTTTACTTCTGTAGTTTCCAATTCTCTTCCTCTACATATGTAAATGCACAGTGAATTATCATTAGGGAGAAAAAAAGCAACCAGATATGGTTTACATACATTAAATTACATACATTAAATCCACCAATTCACAAATTAAATCTATTTCAAAAATATGTTATTGGGGACTTAACATGCTTTATTTTTCCCACAGAGACTGTGTTACGCATGATATATACAGTCTACATGGCTCACAGAAGTATGTTTGTTTTTATTATCAAGCTGACATAATATTAGTTGTCCTCTAGTTTCCCATTATTACTTTGAGTTACTCCTGGAACTCCAAATTCCAACGAGAAATCCAGACACAGGAATTACATCTTTCCCAGCGCAACCCCAGAAACTAGAAGAGAACTTCCCCTCCTCAAATGCTACATCTAATACGTCAGTAGCAAAAAGAAATGTTTCTATCTGTTCTTCTTCCCCCATACCAGTTCAGAGCCAAACTAGGAAGCATTAGAGCATTGTGAATAAGAGCTGAACATGATTTCTAGCTCTGCTACACACTACCAGTGGGAGCTTCAGGAAGTTATGAAATCTCTCTGAACTTCAGTTTCTTCCCGTCTAAATGACAATGACAGTACTACTCTCTGCCCTAAAGTAAAGATAAAAATACCCACCCACTGGCTTGTTAGAATTAAATTAGATAATGTATAGAACATCTTTAATGCACTGTAAGTGCCTGATGAATAGCAGCTATGATTTTCAGCCTCCTGATCCTGAGACCATGTGGTGTTGGTGGGGAGAGATCACTTCATCCCTGAGTCAGGTGCCTACCCAGGCCCACCTGTACAGTGAAACCTTTCCCCCAATAACTGCAAGTCAAACATAGGCAGATTTCTTCCAGTTAAAACAAACAAAAAACACTGGTTATGTTTAGCAACAGGGTTTGGTAAGCCACAGCTGCCAAGCCCTGCTGCCAGTCGGGTCCAGCCACAAGCCAAACTGGCAGTAAATGCAGGACCCTTGGCCAGAATGGGGTGCTGGGGGAGAATAGGGGAATGCGACTGGTCAAACCAGTTTGACTTTCTTTAAATGAAAGAAAAATGGTGAGATTGGCACATTTGATGATGGCTGAAAAATAAACATTTAGAGCGTCTTAACCACTCTTCAAATATAGATTCCATTGCTGGGTCTATTTTAAAAATAGTTTCAAGATATTATGCAGGCCAATATTTTCCAATCTGCAGAAAGCAACCCATTAATACAGTATAAAATAAATTTAATGGGTTGCTATTGGCATTTAAAAAAATAATAATTAATTTTATAGAGACAAGGTCTCACTATGTTGCCCAGGCTGGTCTCAAACTCCTGGCCTCAATTGATCCTCCAACAGCAGCCTCTCAAAGTGCTGGGATTACAGGAGTTAGCCACCAGTTCTGGTCGCATTTTTTTAAAGAAATGGAATAGAATAGAAAATAACAGAATGCACCAAAACAAAGTAATGTTGAGTTTTGTTTCATGAAACTGGGTTGAGACATAAAATGAATTTTTATTGTGTGCTGCAGTGAAAAATTTTGAAAGCCACTGATATAGACTGTTTTGCTTATAGTTCTTAGAAAGGACAACTTTGCTAAAATGTTATCTACATTCAGCAAGAACAAGTTTTATTTTTAAAGTTCTTCACAGAATCAAAAGTACTGCCTCTGCTTAAAAAAAAAAAAATTGGGGCACCAACAACTTGAGTTCTTGTCCAGAAAAAACTATAAACTTTCTCTTAGATTCTGAGAGGCTTTGGGATTCAGTTGTCCAGACAGACTATCAAGTCAAACAAAATTGGGATTTACCAGAAAAGTAAAGCAGATGTGGTTATATAAATACTGGTCCAAATGGAGAGGATTAATTGAAATCTCATTGAAAAATGGGAGGAAATGATCCCTATGAATGAGAATGATGGGTGGGGGGGTAAGTGGGACCTTCTTCTAATGGTGTCTGGTACATAATAGGTACTCGATGAATATTTTTGAATAAATGAAAATGATCATGTTACAGGGATAACCAGCCATGACTTTCAGATTGCACTGGGGTGGGGCTGGGGGTGTCCCAACCCACAATTCTTGAGAAGTTTGACTGATAAAATGACATTTAGCAAGAGTGATGAAAAACAATGCTCTGAGTGAATACTTATTCCAGGTATGAGAGAGAGTTAGTACCTGGTGTTTGTTATTCTCTGAATTCCACCCACCCCTGCCCCACCCAATTCATTCTCTACTTTTTGAGGCCCTGTTCTGTATCCTGAGTGGCTGACCTTCACCTCTGGCTTCCAGTTGGGTTTGGTCAGCAGAGATTAGCAGGCTGGAAAAGAAAGAGGTCAAGATATTTCTTCTCTGCTCCTATTCCACTTCAACACCCTGGTTCTCATAGAGGCTGCATCCCTCCAAGACAATGGACGCCACCAGCTCCTTCCTCCATGGCCATCCAGCCCTCTCCAGCAACAATGCTTCCTTTCCTTGTCACTTCAGGCCCAGGTATGGTCATGGATCCCCTCTACTGCTAGTCTTTAGATGCCTCAGTTTCCCTTGGGAATTCCCTCAACACTGATCACTTCTCTATAATTGGTCATTTCACGAAAGTCTCCTAATTTGAACCACCTGAGGCTTATTCTGTTTCCTGGTTGGACCCTGAGAAGTCCGGTATTTAAAGCATACATGAATTAACATTTTTTTAAAATTGAAGAATGGCACCAAACTCATAAGCCAAGAATGTTTCAAAACACCATTTCTTCTATCTATAATAAATAAAAAGCATTTTAAGCTCTTAAAGTGTTGGAGTTGTTGTAAATAGTGTTTGGAAGAGAAGAGTAAGCATTTCGGTGGCTGGGCTTCTGGTTGTTTGGTTTCTGGATAAAGAGAAATATCTTGTGATGTGACATGAGGCTTGGTTAGGCCCATTGGGCTGGTTGTCCAGGAAAGTCCGGGAGTGGGATTACACAGGCCTTTAGGGTGAGAGAATTTCTTAATGGGAGAAATTTGGTGATAACTAGGGAAAGGGGAAGATGAATCTGGCTACCTTTCCCCCAGAGTTTCAGCAAGGAAGGGAAAATAAAAGAACAATCTTCTAGAAGAGTGCAGTGGGCAACGGCAGGGCTGGAAGAAGTTCCTGGAAAGAGGCTGAACGTGGTCTACGCAGAGGATTCACCAGAGCCTTTCACAGTGGTGCTTTCTGCAGTGGTGCTTGCCTCTCAGTCCCTCTCTTTTCTTTTATTCCTTTCCCCTTGGTGATATTGGCATCAGTACCATCTATCCCAGCCACCAGATGAACCCAGTCTCCCTCTTCCAGCAATAGCTTTCCTTTTCCTTTTATTTTCTTTGAGACAGGATCACACTCTGTCACTCAGGCTGGAGTACAGTGGCACTATCAGAGCTCACTGTAAGTGTAAACTCCTGGGCTCAAGCAATCCTCCCTCCTTAGCCTCTTCAGTAGCTGAGACTACAGACACACATCATCATACCTGGCTAATTTTTTTTTTAATTTTTGTAGAGGTGGGGTCTCCCTGTATTGCCCAGGCTGGTCTTGAACTCCTGGGCTCAGGGCATCCTCCCACCTTGGCCTCCCAAAGTGATTGGATTACGGGTGTGAGCCAATGTGCCTGGCCTTCTTTCACTATTATTGGACTTGTAGATTTGAGTATTTTCCAGCATTTTGTTTCTAACCCAGCATATCTAAGGTGATGGAGTGATTGGTACAATCAGAGGCCAGGTATAAACCAAAAATAACCTGGGGTTAGTGAAGGCAGGAAGTCAGAAGTCTGTCCCCAAATGCAAGAGCTCCCTGAGTGCAGGGACCACATCTATCTTGTTCATTGTTGTTCTCCAGTGCAGGGTACATAATAGATGCTCAATAAATATTTACATAGTGCAGGATGTTATCAGAAACCAACTGACAGCTTATTCAAAACATCTTTGGCCTGAGCAATGAACCTAAAGGTGAGGTGGGCAAACTCTAATGAAAAGCATATTTCCTTAAATTTAAGGGACATTGTGACTCTAACATGATATAGTTACATCTTAACTTGAAACACTTCACCAAAAATTAGAGCCTCCACTGAGGAAGTTCCTTGGACCTACAGAGGCTCGGGTGTCCCCTCCTGCCCCTCTTCCCAGATGAAAGGGAGCCCATCTGGCACAGGCTGTAAACCAGATGTGCTGCAGCAACCAGCATAAAGGTCTCCCTGTGCTCACAATTCCTGTCTAGGAAGTCAGAGAACTTTTGGGAAATGCAGAGAAATGGCCAAATTGGTTTGCCATGGAATGTACAAACCCAACTGACCCCATGATTGGATTTCATCCTCTGACCACAAGAGTGCCAGGCAAGGGAAATGACTGAAGTTTTCCCCCATCTAGGGCCCATTAAGACAAACTGATTGACTTTAAACTTTCAGGTTTTAATTTGCCTTCTACCCACATGGCCCCTCGGGAAGGTGGAAATAGCCCTTCCCCCTAAAAACCGGTTTAACTCTTTTTCACTTTGGTTTCTTTGAAGATGGTATTATATGATGGAACTTATTTTAAAATATGTATTATTTTTCTAATTGTAAATGAGGTAACATACTTATTGTAGAAAGTTCTGGAAATCCTAAGAAAATATTTAAAGTAACATTTAAAAAATCAACTGCTATCTTTCCACCCAGAGATAATCTCACAGTTGATGTTTTGGTATACTTCTTATTTGATTTTTTATGTAAATATACCTGGGTGTGGATGTGTATTTTAAAAATCAGGACCAACATTTTTTCTAGCAAAAATTACCCTGTTATAAGAAATTACCTAAAATTTATGAAATTACCCAAAATATTAGGTAAAATACAGGGAAAATTACCTAAAATATAAGAAATTACCTAAAATTTTCTAGCATAAATTAGCCTGCTATAGAAAACCCCACAGTCTTGGCCCAAAAGCTCCTTAAGCTGATAAACAACTTCAGCAAAGTCTCAGGATATAAAATCAATGTGCAAAAATCACTAGCATTCCTATTCACCAACAACAGTCAAGCCAAGAGCCAAATCAGGAACACAATCCCATTCATAATTGCCACAAAAAGAATAAAATATCTAGGAATACAGCTAATCAGGGAGGTGAAGGAGCTCTACAAGGAGAAATACAAAACACTGCTCAAATAAATCAGAGATGACACAAAGAAATGAAAAAACATTCCATGGCCATGGATAGGAAGCATCAATATTGTTAAAATGGCCATACTGCTCAAAGCAATTTATAGATTCACTGCTATTCCTATTAAACTACCAATGACATTCTTCACAGAACTAGAAAAATCTACTCTAGGCTGGGTGCAGTGGCTCACGCCTGTAATCCCAGCACTTTGAGAGGCCAAGGCACACAGATCATGAGGTCAAGAGATCAAGACCATCCTGGCCAACATGGTGAAACCCCGTCTCTACTACAAATACAAAAATTAGCTGGGTGTGGTGGCATGCACATGTAGTCCCAGTTACTTGAGAAGCTAAGGCAGGAGAATGACTTGAACCCAGGAGGCAGAGGTTGCAGTGAGCTGAGATCATGCCACTGCACTCCAGCCTGGCAATAGAGCAAGACTCCATCTCAAGAAAGAAAAAAAAAGAAAGAAAGAAAGAAAAGAAAAGAAAAAAGAAAAAACTACTCTAAAATTCATATGGAACCAAAAAAAGCCTGAATAGCCAAGGCAATCCTAAGCAAGAAGAAGAAAGCTGGAAGCATCATGCTACCTGACTTCAAACTATACTACAGGGCTATAGTAACTAAAACAGGATGGTACTAGTACAAAAACAGACACATAGACCAATGGAACAGAATAGGGAACCTAGAAGTAAGGCCGCACATCTACAACTATCTGATCTTCGACTAACCTGACAAAAACAAGCAATGGGGAAAGGACCCCCTATTCAATAAATGATGCTGGGATAAATGACTGGCCATATGCAGAAGATTGAAACTGGACCCCTTCCTTACACCATATACAAAGATTAACTCAAGATGAATTAAAGACTTAAATGTAAAACCCAAAATTATAAAAACCCTGGAAGACAACCTAAGTAATACCATTCTGGACATAGGAACAGGCAAAGATTTTATGACAAAGACACCAAAAACAATTGCAACAAAAGCAAAAATTGACAAATGATAGCTAATTAAACTAAAGAGCTTTTGCACAGCAGAAGAAACTATCAACAGAGTTAACACACAACCTACAGAATGCGAGAAAAGTTTTGTAAACTGCATCTGACAAAGGTCTAATATCTAGCATCTATAAGGAACTTAAACAAATTTATAAGAAAAAAAACCCATTAAAAAGCAGGCAGATGACACAGACAGTTTTCAAAAGAAGACATACAAACATCCAAAAAGCATATGAAAAAAAGCTCAACATCACAGATCATTAGAGAAATGCAAATCAAAACCACAATGAGATACCATCTCACACCAGTCAGAATGGCTATTATTAAAACGTCAAAAAATAACAGATGCTGGTGAAGTTGTGGAGAAAAATGAATGCTTATATACTGTTGGTGGGAGTGTAAATTAGTTCAGCCATTGTGGAATATAGTGTGGTGATTCCTCAGAGACCTAAAGACAGAAATACCATTTGACCCAGCAATCACATTAATGGGTACAGACCCAAAGGAATATAAGTTGTTCTACCAAAAAGACATATGCATGTGTATATTTATTGCAGCCCTATTCACAACAGCCAAGACATGGAATCAACCTAAATGCCCATCAATGACAGGCTGGATAAAGAAAATGTGGTACATATACATGGAATACTATGAAGCCATAAAAAAGAATGTGATCATGTCCTTTGCAGGGACATGGATGGAGCTGGAGGCCATTATCCTTAGCAAACCAAGGCAAGAATAGAAAACCAAATACCACATGTTCTCACTTATTGGTGGGAACTGAATGATGAGAACACATGGACACACAGAGGGGAGCAACCCTCTTAGAGGGTTGGGGGTGGGAGGAAGGAGAGGATCAGGAAAAATAACTAGTGGGTACTAGACTTAATACCTGGGTGATGAAATAATCTGTACAACAAACCCCCATGACACAAGTTTACTTATGTAACAAACCTGCACACATACCCCTAAACCTAAAATAAAACTTAAAATAAAAATCAGGACCAAAATTTTTCTAGCATAAATTACCCTGTTATAAGTGAACATCCTAGAACAAACTTTCTCTACATCTGTCTGTATTTCCCCATGCTTCATTTCTAAAAGGGGAATAAAGGAATCAACATTTTTGAGGCTCTTGATACATATTGTCAAATTGTCCTCCAGGAAGATTGTACCAAGTTTTGCTTTACCTGCTGGTTTGATTTTATTTAATTTTTCTTTTCTCTTCTTTCTTTTGAGACAGTCTTAGTCAACAGGCTGGAATGTAGTGGCATGATCTCTGCTCACTGCAACCCCCTCCTCCCAGGTTCAAGCAATTCTCATGCCTCAGCTCTCCCAAGTAGCTGGAATTACAGGTGTGCGCCACCACACCCAGCTAATTTTTGTATTTTTAGTAAAGACAGGGTTTCACTATGTTGGCCAGGCTGGTCTTGAACTCCTGGCCTCAAGTGATCCTCCTGCCTTGGCCTCCAATTTTATTTTTGAAGAAAGTTTGCCTCCTTCCCTCAGAGTGTTTTATGAGTTGAAATTCTAGGGCAAATTCTAGGGCAACCTGTCTGTAACAGGTGAGGGAGTCCTCCGTGCACTTACAGGTGCAGGTGAAGAGGTAGGTTAGACCATCTCAGGAGTGTTTTCCATCCAAATACCTATGATTCCATCCATGAATCAAAGACTGCTCTCAGGAATCCTCGATCTCCAGCCCTCTCATTCATTTAGGTATCCAAGGAGGGTTTTTTTTTTTTGGCACTATTAACATGTATTTTGTTTATTATAAGCTCCAATATTTAAACTGAATCAAATAAACATTCACTGAGGAAAAAGATTTGGTGTTTAGTCTGCAACAATAAAATACCCAGCTTGGAATAGGCAGATAGGACTTCACATATCTCATGAAAGGTCACAGTAAGGTGTATCCTTACTTTGGATGTGTCCAGGTTAGGCAACAAATCCAAATTTCTCAATAAGGTAAACATTTGGTAGCTTTTAGGATGGCTTAGTGTCTGATTTCCCTTTTGACATTTTATGGGGAATTTCCCACCATATGAACCTTGGAACAGTGTTTTCCTTTCTCCCCAAAGCCAAATATTGAATTTCCCAGCATCCTTTGCACTAGGGCAAGGGCATGGGGTCCAAACTGGCAGAAACAGAGTGCCCACCTCAGACACAGAATTGGGAGCTGGCAACTCATGAAGCAAGATAAAGGGAATTATTTCTGCAGCCACAGCAGTAGTAGCAACATCCAGTTTCCAAATGGCTGCAGTGGTGGCATCAGCAGCAGCCCCCCAGGGTCCAGCGCTAGTGGTACTGGTGAACAGTTCTGCAATGTGGATTTGGCTATAGTCTTTAGAGCATTTATTCTAAGCCTGTTCCTGCCCTGTTTTCCAAGCTCATCCCCTAACTTTCCCAGTGATTCTATGACCTCCCTGATATCCTTTTGATAAACTTCTTTTCTGCTTAAATCATTCTGTTGCTTGCAATCAAGAGCTCTGATATATGAATAGCCTCTTCAGTCTTAGCATGGTCATCTATAAAATGGGATTATGGGTGCTGCCTCAGAGTACTGAGAGGCGAACTGATGAAAGAGCACATGAAGGCCCCTAACCCTACATCATGTATATAGTAGAAGCTCAATACAATATATAGCGGATTGTCACACTTATTTTCCATTTTGGGCCTCTCAGTTTACCTTAACCATGGATATCAGGGTGTGTTGGGGAGAAGAAAATCAAGCCATTTTACTCACCGTTGTAAATATCACCATCATTATCTTGATTGTGGCAGTTATTCATTTATCGGGTGCCCTATTGCATGCCCGGCACTGTGCCTGGCAACATACATATCCTGCTTCCAATCCCTGTAACACTGCAAGGTACATAGCCTTCCCATTTTTCAGATAAACAATCTGACATCACAAATGGTTAACAATTTGCCTAAGTTTTCACAATGAATTTAAGCCCAATGGAGCAGAAACTGCGCAAAAGGAATTGTGCAAAAGTTTAGAGGCTTCTCAGAAAAACTAAGGAACTTGAAATGTAGCTATATTTAGACATCCAGACATAATCAGTTTAACCATTTTGACCAAATCAGAACGATTAAATGGTTTGGTTGAGGTTTCAGACTAGAAACCTTGACCCAGAATCCTGTGACTTAAGTCAAAGAGACTGAATAGTTGTGCCTCTGTTTAGACCCTGGAATTTCAATGGGTGCAGATGATGTTTATCAGAATCGTCTTGAGAATTCTTTCAAACCACACATACCTGTCCTCCCCTCCTCCCCAAAGAGAAGGGACTGAGTGGCAGTTGCTGATACAAGAAAATCCTGAGACCAGACATAGATGCCCTGCAATTTGGGGAAACAGAAGGGAATTTTTCTTTTCCCATGAAGACTCATAGCCCAGCTTTACTGTCTCTAGGCACTAGGAGAAAATGAAATTTCAAAGGTCAAAAATAAAAGTACTCATTTTGCACAATGCCACTGGAGTGACACTGCAATGACGGGAAAATGTGAACTATGTGAGGGAGGGCGAGTTTCGCATGCAGGCAGACAGGCTCTTCTCAGTGCAGGGACTCCAGAGCCCCAGGCGTCTGGAACCCACCAGGCACCTTCACCCACCCGGGGAAGCCTGGTGCCTTTGCATGTCTTAAAAGCCAGTCTATACTTTGGCTCCTGGAATGAAAAATTACACCAAAAGAAATGCCTGATTTTTATTAACTAGCCTCAAAAGGAGTCTTTCACTAATTCTGGGGAAAGTATTTTGCTTGAGTGCTATCCCACTTTGGCAAATGTGATGTGGAGGGGTTGGCTCTAAGGGGTTTTGCCCTGGGCAAATGGTTGAGCACAAACACCCTGCTGACTCCGGGGACAATTTAAAGGCGAGGGAAGAGATTTCCTTGAATCGATATGGTAGAGCCAAAATAAATGGCTACTCCTGTTCTCTTGAGAAAACATTATTATGATTTTTTTTTTCTCACAAAAGAGATCCCCGATGCAATTGACCAGGGAGAGTACTAGGAGGCCTGGTTTGGGATTCAAAGAGGCTGGGCCTAGTCCAGAAGCCTCTGAAGCCGGTTGCTCAGCCGCCATGTGCCTGGAGCAAGGGAAGGGGCGGAAGTGGCTTTGGATCTGCGCCACCCTCGCAGCATGTGAACAGGCCTGGGTTTTGACAGATTAAAGATGGCTCCTGCAGACCGGGCAGGAGTGGGTGGTATCAGGGCTTTTACCCAAAGCTCTCCGTCAACTGCAGCAAAGTGAAAACGCACATGGACAATCCTGGATCAGCAGCAAAGATTTTGGAAGGAAATGTTAGCGAAAAGCCAGAGCAGGAGACCAGAGCAATAAATCAGGCCGGGAGAAGTCTGAGTTGAAGGATGCTGCTGCCTGGCCTATCACTCCCCGGCCAGCGGAAGCACACGTGGGTCACATCCGCATTGACTCTAGCACCCTGCCAGCTTATTCTGGCTCCAAGAAAATGAGAACATCTTGGCTAAAGATGTTGGGGGCAGCGAGTGATTTTAAGTAAAAAAAAAAAAAAAAAAAAAATCTACTTGAAGGGAAACTAAAGGTCTGGGGCCTCTCACTTTAGACAAACGGGCTAACTAAAGCATGGTGGCTGGAACTAAGGTTCACAGGAGAATAAAAGCTGATGGAAAAGAGAAAAGCAGGGGAAAGAACCAGTATCCATCTTTCAGGGATGTTTTCTTGGGTACCACACTGATGATTTTTGGAAAATTAATAGTAAAATGCCAACACAAACTCCCTAGTCACTATTATAAGGTGGTTAAAAGCTCAGGATTGATTGATTAATTGATTATTTGAGACAGAGTCTTGCTCTGTCACCCAGGCTGTAGCGTAGTGGTGCAATCTCGGCTCACTACAACCTCCACCTCCCGGGTTCAAGCAATTCTCCTGCCTTAGCCTTCCAAATAACTGGGCTACTGGCGCGCAGCACCATGCCCGGCTAATTTTTGTATTTTTAGTAGAGACAGGGTTTTACCATGTTGGCCAGGCTGGTCTCAAACTCCTGACCTCAGGTGATCTGCCCGCCTTGGCCTCCCAAAGTGCTGGGATTACAGGCGTGAGCCACCGCACCTGACCCAAAAGTCCAGGATTTAGATTCAGACCTCTGAGCCTCAATTTCTTCATCCATATAACAGGTGCAATAATTCCTGTTTCATAATGCAAGGATTATCCAAAGCACAGGGCCCTGGTGTGGCAGCTGAGATCATTTGTGACCACTTCCGAAAAGTGTTTCCAGAAATCATGGCAGTTGATGGGAAAGAGGCCTCATTCTTCCAGATTTCTTTGTGAATGGCCAAGGAGAAAGCAGAGAAAAATTAGCTAATTGTGTGTTGATAAAAAAAATGATCCACGTTAAAAAGAGAGAGAGAGAGAGAATCCACTTTGTACTTCTCAGCCTCTGCCTCTTCTAATTTAACTCGCCTTGGTGCCAGAGTGACCTTTATAACCCCAGATCTCTCTGACCAGGTCTTTCCTTTGTCCAGAATTTGCACTGGTTCTTCACACTCTAAGGGAAAGTTCTTATACACTACAGCCCTAGCCTCCCATTCAAGTCTCAAACACCACCTCCTGTGGTTCTCATGCAGGGAGGAGCTGGTCCTCTCCCTCTACTGTGTCCACACCCAGGGGCTTTTGGAAATGATTGGAAGCCTGTGCTTGTCACTGCAGGAGTGCTTGATGGGGAAGGGATGTAAACTGTATCCAGTGTGATTGCAGTGTAGGCAGTCTATCACTGTCCTGGACCAAATGCCAATTGTAGCCCTGCTGAAGAACCCTGGGCCCCTGTGAAATAGAGTTCATGCCTCTGGTCTTTGTTCCTGCTGTGTCTCCTGCCTACAGTGTTCTTGCCTTCACTCCACTCCACCAAACTTGTTCTTCCTCAAAGGCCTAGTTCCAAACTGATCTCCCCTAGGAAGCCTTCTGAGAGGAGATCAGTCCATCTACAACCCCAGCAGCAGAGCTAATGGTTCATTCCTAAATACTCCTCTGAACCAGCCACTGTGGGGCCCCCATTCACACTGGATTAGTTGACACATCTACCTCCCCCTTCCCAAGGGCTGAGAGTGGTCCTCCTCATCTTTGTACCCTCAGAGCCTAGCACAGTGCTCAATACTAAGAGGAGGAAGGAATGATAACCTCCAGCTGTTCTTGTCCATGAGCACATGTCAACAAAGTCTTCAGGACAGGAGTCTATCTTCTCCAGGAAACAGCACAGGAGTCTTGCAAGATTAACTGAAATCACATTGCTACCAGCATGCTCACACTTCTTCATTAAGAGCTAGGTTGCTGAGACATCTGCTCTTCTCTTTATTTTTTTCTGTGAATTGAGTTATTTTTTCTGGGTCATTAAAAGTTGTTTAAATTGGTTAATACCTTGTTTGTTTAATAATAGATTCTACCCTGGAAGCCAAGTTCAGGAACTAGGAGGCAGGGTTGCTATTTCTTTGATAGAGATCTCCTTGGCTCCAGTGATCTTAGTGCAGACACACTCTAGGAAACAGACTCAAGTTGAACATTTGGATTCCTTGGGGAGGTGCTATCATGGTGGAGACAGACATATAAATAGCTATATATGAAGCAGAAGGTTGTTAGTGCTAAACAGGGAGAAGCACAGTGCCAGAAGAGAAGTGCTAAATAACATGTGGTGAGTGAATAGAAACCAGCAATCAGTTTGAGAATAGAGGAGGCAGCAGAGACACAAGTCATTCAAATAATGATCATCTTTGTGTTAGCTTAGAAGCTGGCCCAAATTGTGATGACATTTGATTACTGACATTAATTACTTACTAGATTCATGTCCTTCCATCCACTCTGCACAATGCTATGGGGTTAAAATTCTGAAAATGTATTTCCTGTCTTCTCCCCAACGCTTAACTTTCAATAACCTCCCATAATCTATAACCCAGACTCTTTAGCCTGGCATCTGAAGGTCTCCCTCAGCCCCCACTGTGAACCAAGTCCTCCCCCCTGCCTTCTGCCACACCCCTGCACCAACCTTCCACTTCAGGCAAAGTGGTCAACTGACTGTCCCCCAAACATGAAGAGAGGCCCTGTCACCTTTGTGAATATGATCATGCCATTTCTATTACCTAAAACATCTCCTTTCCCTCAACTCCTCCAAATCCTGCCTTTTCAAGCTTCAATTTCCCCAATACACTCACTTGCTCAATTTCCCAAAGCCAAAGCCTCCCAAATGGTGCCATTTATTTTTTCAGCCAATTTCAAAGCTATAAATTGGCAACCCTTGCATCCAATCAGTTCTGATTTGGAGGACAGATCCCATGATCCAAACATAGTTGCCTAGCACCATGGCCCTCAGCACCACCATGAGCAGGCTAATGTTCCTAAGAATGAAACAAAAGTTGAAAAAGCACATAGCAAATTGAGCCTGATTTTTCCTTTTGCTTTTCTTATCACTGACAGCTCTCAAACTATCCTGGACTTAGTCAATTTAAAAAGAGCTTTGACCGGGCGCGGTGGCTCACACCTGTAATCCCAACACTTTGAGAGGCCAAGGCAGGCGGATCACCTGAGGTCAGGAGTTTGAGACCAGCCCGACCAACACAGAGAAACCCTGTCTCTGCTAAAAATACAAAATTAGCCAGGCATGGTGGCACATGCCTGTAATCCCAACTACTCGGGAGGCTGAGGCAGGAGAATTGCTTGAACCTGGGAGGCAGAAGTTGCAGTGAGCTGAGATTGCGCCATTGCACTCCAGCCTGGACAACAAGAGCGAAACTCCATCTCAATAAAAAATAAAATAAAATAAAAAATTGGCCACGCGCAGTGGCTCATGCCTGTAATCCCAGCACTTTGGGAGGCCAAGGCGGGCGGATCACCTGAAGTCAAGAGTTTGAAACCAGCCTGACCAACATGGAGAAACCCTGTCTCTACTAAAAATACAAAATTAGCCGGGCATAGTGGCACATGCCTGTAATCCCAGCTACTCAGGAGGCTGAGGCAGGAGAATCGCTTGAACCCAGGAGGCAGAGGTTGCGGTGAGCCGAGATCACACCATTGCACTCCAGCCTGGGCAACAAGAGTGAAACTCTGTCTCAAAGAAAAAAACAAAAAACAAGAAAAGAAAAGAAAGAAAAATAAAAAGAGCTTTAATCCTTTTTACAAAGTCCTGTTGGACAGGAACCCGGGTTCGAAACCTTGTCCTGTGGTGGCTACAGGAGGGATACTGAGACCACGTGGCCAAGGATGTCACCCAGGACAGACTGGGGCTTCTCAAATCCATCCCAGAGCATGGAAGCACAGACTCAAGCAGTCTTCCTGGTGGCCTGAGGCTACCCACAAAGGTAGCCATTCCTGTCCCCACCATCCAAAGACTCAAGTGAATCCTTCTCCCCTTAAGGTAAAGTAAGGCCTAACGTCAGAGGAATTGGCTTCCAGACCATCCCTGCTACCTTCTAGACAGGTGTACCCAGTTAAGTCATTTAACCTCTGGGCCTCAGTTTCCTCAATCATAAACTACAGATCTAGCCCATACCTCAAAAGACTATTTCAGGATTAGAGCTAATACATATATACATAAGAATATTGATACAAAGAAATTGATAGGTAACTGCTAGTTAGGGTTCCCTCTAGACAGCTGTTGGGAGTCCTAAAAACTAATGCAGAGTGACATCCATATAGACAGGAAGTCACCGGGACACAGCACAAATCCATGGTGAGTGGAATGTTGGATATTTTTGCATTGAAATGATGTCTTCTCTGCTGGTCTCCACTACCCTCAACATGTGTGCGCGCACACACACACACACACACACACACACACACACACACACATTCTCTCTCTACAGTCAGCCTTGCCTAAGCTGAATGGGACCTTCTCAGCCTGACCCTCTCAGAAGCCTTGTTTCTGTCATTTTCTCATACATCTGCCTTTTATTCTAGAGTCACTGCCATGGGACTTTTGTCCCTTGAGAATCCATATCCCCTTCTCACTGTCCTACAGTTACAACCAAAGAGTGCAGACCGGACTACAGCTCCCATTTCCATTCCCAGATTTCCTCTCTTGATATGTCCCCATAGAAATCTCTCTTACTTCCCACCCGACCCCCTCTTGACAGACCCTCAGCCATCATTCCCCTGAAGTGGGTTCTCCATAAACGCTTTATGAGTGAACAAAAACTCCTGTCATTATTCACTATCTTACAAGCTCTTTAAAAGAATGCCACCAACTCCCCTCCTGTCCTGGCCTCATCAGGAGACACGCAGCGCCACTATACAGGGCAGGTCAACCAGAAACAGCCGTAAAATCTGGGCAGCCCAGTTCAGCCAGCCACAAAAGCAGCGAACCTTGTTTTTCCTTCCAGCCTCACAACCCCACCAGAAAGACAGACCACCTTTAACTAGGTCAACCAAATTTCACAGTCTTCACCCCACACTTTCCCCCTTTATCATCATGGTTCTCAGTTCTTGGTTGGAGGCATTAAATTTATTGTGATGATTTATGTCTGGAAAAAATGAAAAATCTCATCAATTCTTGACTGAACCGAAGAAGACCTTCTCGTATGGAAAAACGCACCATTCAGGACAGCAGCATAGCCTCGGACCATCTCTGCTCGGGGATTTTTCTAAAAAGAGTCCTAAGCTGGCTAGAGCTAAAATTTTGGCAACTTTGAGATGAAAGTCAGGACAGGGAGGAAACTGCTTTTGAAAAGCCAGTCTCATTTAACTCATGAAGAACCATCCGTCACAGGACTTGACCTTCTCACCCCATCCCTTCCTCTCTGCTTCCACAAATGACCAAGCGTAGCTTTCCTCTCGTGACCCTGCAGACCAACTCCTTGGTAAACAAAGAGGGATAAACAGCTGCCATATAAAAACACCTTGCTTGGACTGACTCCACTTACCCCAGATGGTCTGCCTGAAAGTTGTCCCTTTGCTTTTACACACTGCAACCTAAAATCCAATGAGAAACACGTTTCTTTGTAAGAAACGAAGCATCATACGTTGATGCAATATGAAATCTCATTCCACGGTATTGAGGATTTCACTGGGTTTAAGCTGAAAGACACCCTAACCCAAGGAGGCTTGTTATCTTGTTTGCTTTAGCCTCAACCCTAAAGCTGCAAACACAAGGCTTACAAAATGAGGGGCTCTTGAACTGAATTTGAGTGTGCGTGTATTTATTAATAGACAAGTAAGAACGCAGCATTATTCTCATTCCTGTGAAAATTTCACTCCACCTACACTTGTGTAACCAGGTCAAATCAAGCCTGAGTTATATGAGAACGTGGATTCTAACTTTAACAAATACATAAAGTCATGACCCTTTTGTTTTGATATGCTGCCTGGTCCAGACAGGCAGAAAAGCCACCGCTAAAACCAAGAGGTATACAAGACTTCACAATTTATTAAGAAGATTAGTTGGCTTTAGTTTGTCCACTAATGATTAGTCACTGAATGTGCATTCCCTTGGAAGCCTCAGAGATCAGGTAACTCAAGGAACAGTTTGGTTTAATTTTATTTCCCTCTTTCTTTTTGATACGTCACTGTGCTCTGGAAATTAAGGGCTGTTTTACCTACAACCATTCCTAACTATATTATATACAACGTGACAAGCCCACCTTAAATATTGTATGTTTATTCACTTTCCACTATATTTGTAGAACTGCCTGCTGTGAAATTACAAAGTTCATGGTTCAGCTGAACTTTTGAACTCAAGTGAGGATTTGACACAGCAAAACAATCTAAATGAACCCAACATGAAGTTTTCATAGTCGAAACTGCTTTTCAGCCTATTGTCTGGGGTAATTGGGTAGGAAAGTTCTTTATTGATGTTGTAAAAACTACCAGTTTAATAACAGGCAGAGGGAGTGGAGAGGAGATGAGTGGATGTACCTTGGAGCGTCTAAAATCACGCTTCTTTGCGAGTTCACTGAACTCTACCTGACCCTGTGAGGAAGGTCTCCCCAGGACAACCCAACAACTCTAAGGTTTGTGACCAAATGGCTGCAGCCTGCCAGCTCTCAATACCTCAGCGCAGAATGACCTTTCAAATACCACACAAAATAATAAGAATATTCATTTAAAAAATAGTAGCTGCCACGATGCATTGAATGACTACCAAGTACCAGTACCAGGTACACACTTCTTCATTAAATCTTCACAAAAATTATGCCAGGCTAGGATTACCATCTCCATTTTATAGATGAGAAAACTGAGACCAGAGACATTAAGCAATTTGTCCAAGATCACACAGCTGATATCTGTGCCTCAGTTTCCTCATCTGCAAAACAGAAGTTGGACTAAGTGATCTCAGAGTTGAGGTTTTAAGTGCTGGCTTACATGCATGCAGCAGTCAGAGAGGGAAATTCCATGTGGAAGATAGAAGAGCTTTCATTCACTGTAATCCCAACGCAACCTATGAAGTAAGTTGAGGTAGGGTAACCTCAACTTTATCGAAGAAATTGAGTTTACGTGGGTTAGTTGACTTGCCTAAGGTCACACAGCTGGCAGGAGCAGAGTTAGGATAAAATCCCAGACTCTAAAGCTTATGCTTCTTCCATCTCTTAACTGCAAAGTCAGTGTGATGTCCTTTGGGTCTCGACCTCTACATTAAAAATTTTGACTGAGTTTGAGAGTGAAGGTTGGCAGGCTAAGGGTGGGAAGGAAGGTTTGTTTGGACTAAATATCAGAGTTATTGCTTCAGAGTTTTTATTCTAAAAAACGAAAACTTCACTTCTTGGATTTGGGAGCAACTGTGTCCGAAAGCTCTCCTACAGAGTGGTGCTAACCCCTGCTATCCCTGGTCACATTGCCTTTGGTGTGACTGCTATTGAGAAAGTCAATGAAGAAAACCTGCTGGACATTAATAACTGAGAAAAAACACATAAAATGCTTAGCCTAGTTATTTAGTAAATGCTTAACAAAGCTACCTATTACTACATTTTGGTTATTCCTACTTGAAAAATAAGAACACACGGTCCTCCCACTCCACACCCTGGCCGTTATCAATGTCGAACAGGACTTCTCCCTTATAGTTTATATATGCCTAATATATACCAATATGTAGATTTGGGGTTTTAAAAAATTTGATTATTTTGTCTTTTAATTGGACACTTTATCTGTTTACATGTAGCTTAATTACTAGTTTATGTGGGTTTAAAGCTGCCATGTTATAGTTTGCATTCTGAATTGTCCTGTCTGATTTGCATTCCTTTTGTCTTCTTTCGGATTAATAAAATACTGTTTTATTATTCCACCCATGGCATTATTGGTTTGGAGATATGCACACTATATTAATTTTTAGGGGCTACCCTAGTGCATTAGTCTGTTCAGGCTGCTATAACAAAATATCATAAACTGGGTAACTATTTCTTACAGTTTGGGAGGCTGGAAAGTCCAAAACCATAGTGCTAGTGGATCTGATGACTGGTGAGGGTCTGCCTTTTGGTTCATGGATGGTACCTCTTCACATGTTTTCACGTGATGAAAGGGGTAAGAGGTCTCTCTCAGGTCACCTTCATAAGGGCACTACTTCCATTCATGATGGCTCCATCTTCGTGATCTGTTCACCTCCCACCAAAGGCCTCACCTCCTAATACCATCACATTGGTGACTAGGGGTCAACATGAATTTTGGGGGGACTCAAACATTTGGACCACAACACCTAGAGATTATAACACTCATCCTTGATTTATCAGGTTCTAGTGTTATTTGATACTTTTACTCATTTCCTAGTACTCTCTCCTCCATAATGTTATACCATGCTTTTGTATTTTAACTCTACATTTTGAGCCTCCTTAGATATTATAACTGTTTTATATGAGTAATACACATTTAGATTTACCACATTTTTGCCTTTTTTCTTATTTCTTGAATCTCTGACCTTCCATGTGGATTATTTTTCTTCTGTCTGAAGAACACTCTTTTATACTTCCTTTCATGTAATCTGCTGATGATACATTTTCTTGACTTTGGTTATCATTCTTAAATGATATGTTCCTGGCTTTAGAATAGCAGGTTGGCAATTATTTTCTTTAACTACATTAAATATATAATCCCATTGTTTTCTGCCTGCCATTGTTTCTGTTGTGAAGGCATTCATTATATTTTTTGAGAAGTTTAGTGTTAGTCTAAATGTTGCTTTCTGTCTAGCTGTTTTTTGTTTTCTGTTTTTGTTTTTCATTTTGTTGTGTTTTGTTTTTTTGAGGCAGGGTCTCACTCTGTCACTCAGGCTGGAGTGCAGTGGCACGAACACGGCTCACTATAGCCTCAACCTCCCGGGCTCAGGTGATTCTCCCACCTCAGCCTCCCAAGTAGCAGGGACTACAGGGGCCCGCCACCACGCCGGGCTAATTTTTGTATTTTTTGAAGAGATGGGGTTTTACCATGTTGCCTGGGCTGGTCTTGAACTCTTGGGCTCAAGCGATCCTCCTGTCTCGGCCTTTCAAAGTGCTAGGATAACAGGCGTAAGCCACTGAACCCAGCCTCTCTGACTGTTTTTAAGATTTCGTTTTGTGCTATGGTTTGAATGTGTCCCCCAAAGTTTATGTGTTGGAAATTTAATCCCCCATAAAATAGTGTTGAGAGGTGGGACCTTTAAGAGATGATTAGGTCATGAAGGCAATGAATGGATTAATGTCATTATCATGAGAGTGGTTTGTTGTAAAAGTGACTTTGGCAATCTCTTGCTCTCTTGCACTCTCTTGTCCTGCTTTCCACCATAGAATGACACAGCACAAAAGCCCTTGCCAGGTATGGGCTCTTCAGTCTTGGACTTTCCAGCCTCCAGAACTGTAAGAAATAAAACTATTTTCTTCATAAATTACCCAATCTCAGGTATTCTGTTACAGCAGCACAAAACTAAGACATCTTGTCTTTTGCTTTTTTTTTTTTTTTTTTGAGATGGAGTTTTGCTTCTGTTGCCCAGGTTAGAGTGCAATGGCACCATCTCAGCTCACTGCAACCTGCACCTCCCAGGTTCAAGCGATTCTCCTGTCTCAGCCTCCCAAGTAGCTGGGATTACAGGCACATGCCACCACGCCCAGCTAATTTTTGTATTTTTAGTAGAGACAGGGTTTCAGGCTGGTCTCGAACTCCTGACCTCAGGTGATCTGCCCACCTCCGCCTCCCAAAGTGCTGGGATTACAGGCATAAGCCACCGCGCCCGGCCTTGTCTTTGGTTTTTAGCAGTTTTACTGTGAAGTATCCAGGTGCATTTCTTTATATTTACCTGTTTGGGGTTAAATCTGTGACTTGATGATTTTATCAGTTTAGGAAAATTCTCAGCCTTGAATTCCAAATAATTACTTCTGCCTTGTCTCCCCGACTCTACTTCTGGGATTCCAAATACATGTATGTTAGATCCTCTCATCCTCTGTGTCTCTTACTCTCTCATCTGTATTTTCTATCCTTTCTGAATTTTTTATGTTTCATTCCAGATCTTTTTCACTGACATATCTTTTACTTCACTAATTCTCTCTTCAACAGTATCTATTCTTTATAAAACCTATCAATAGTATTAATAATTTGGGTTACTGTTTTTTTTCATTTCTAAGTTTTCTACTTGATTCTTTTTCAAATCTACCAAGTCCTTTATTATGGTTTTCAGGTCTCTGACAAAATTCTCAATCTTGTCCTTTTTTCTTTGAATATTAAGCATAGTTATTTTAAAGTCTGTGTTCAATAATTTCAATATCTAGAGTCTATACGGGACTGTTCTATTATCTGTTGTTTCTTCTGATTTATTTTGTGTTGTCTTGTCTCCATGTGTGTCTGGTTATCTTTTATTGTGTGCCACATGTTGTGTTTGTAAAACAATTTGTAAAATTATTTTGAGGGACAGGGTATTATCTTCTTCTAGAAAGGGTTTATATTTGCTTATTCCAGGTGCTTAGGGGCACTAGCAATCTAGGCTTACCCTAACCCAATTTCTTGGACTGATACCATTCAAAGCTGGGCAGAGAAAGCCTAAAGTTCACCTTTACACCTAAGGTGTAGCCTCTCAAGATCTTAACTCAAAGAGACAGTAGTGGGAGGGGTTAGCCAATCACTTTTTCAGGCCTTACATTGCAACTTTTTTTCCCTTAGCCCCATGAGACTGTTAAAAGAAGAGGTCATTCTCTCAACCACCTCTTCCAGATTCCACAAACACCCTAAGTGCCAGAATTACCTTTCTGGATTTCCTTCTTTTCTTGGATCTTGTACCAGTAGTTCTTCACTATCTCTATGTCTTTCTAATGTTTACAAACAGATTTTTTAAAAATATAGTTTGTTTAGCTTTTCTACTTATCCTCACCAGTAGGGTTGGTCCAAATTACCTATTCTATAATTATTAATAGTGAAAGTTTTTTAAAAAGTATTTTTAATGTTCTTTACATTGAGATTGTTCTTTTTCTAGATTTTTTTTACATTAAAATCCTCTTTCTTTTATAAAGTGATTATCAAAGTGAATGAAAGTTTTGTGTTTTGTTTTTAATCATATTTGACCAAAAATAATGTCAAACTAATAGCAGTTCCCAAAATCCCTTTGAAAGGTTAATAAGTCATAAAATTTATAAATTCAGGAACACCGGCCGTGCACAGTGGCTCATGCCTGTAATCCCAGCACTTTGGGAGGCCGAGTCAGGCGGGTCACGAGGTCAGGATATCAAGACCATCCTGGCTAACACAGTGAAACCCTGTCTCTACTAAAAATACAAAAAATTAGCCGGGTGTAGTGGCAGGCGCATGTAATCCCAGCTACTTGGGAGGCTGAGGCAGGAGAATGGCGTGAACCAGGGAGGCAGAGCTGCAGTGAGCGGAGATAGCGCCACTGCACTCCAGCCTGGGCGACAGAGCGAGACTCCGTCTCAAAAATAAATAAATAAATAAATAAACAAAAATAAATAAATTCAGGGACACCTACATTATTATAATAAACCTATAGAGTGGGTACTATTATTATTCTCACTTTACAGATGAGGAGACTGTTTCACAGAAGTTTTATAATATAATTTCCAGCCAGGGCCGGGTGCTGTGACTCATGCCTGTAATCCCAGCACTTTGGGAGGCCGAGGCAGGGGATTACCCGAGGTCAGGAGTTCGAGACCAGCCTGACCAACATGAAGAAAACTCCTCTCTACTAAACACACAAAATTAGCCGGGCATGATGGTGCATGCCTGTAATCCCAGTTACTCGAGAGGCTGAGGTAGGAGAATCGCTTGAACCTGGGAGGTGCAGTGAGCCAAGATCGCGCCATTGCACTCCAGCCTGAGCAACAAGAGTGAAATTCCGTCTCAAAAAAATTCTGGCCAGGAGCGGTGGCTTACGCCTGTAATCCCAGCACTTTGGGAGGCCAAGGCGGGTGGATCACCTGAGGTCAGGAGTTTGAGACCAACTTGGCCAACACGGCAAAACCCCGTCTCTGTTAAAAATACAAAAATTAGCCAAGCGTGGTGGCACACACCCGTAATCCCAGCTGCTCGGGAGGCTGGGGCACGAGAATCACTTGAACCTGGGAGGCAGAAGTCACAGTGAGCTGAGATTGCACCACTGCACTCCATTCTGGGTGACAGAGTTTTGTTTTTTGTTTTTTTTTTTTTGAGACGGAGTCTCAAAAAAAAGTTTCATAAAATAATTTCCCTAGGATTATGCAAGTAAGGGGTAAATCAGATTTTAAATCCAGGCTTTATCTTCCTTTGGCAATTGGGGGTTAATTTTTTAAGTTTTAAACTTTGGTTAAACATACACGATATGGTTTGGCTCTGTGTCTCCACCCAAATCTCATCTCAAATTGTAATCCCCATGTGTCAGAGGAGGGGTATGGGGGGAGGTGACTGAATCATGGGGGCAGACTTGCTGTCTGCTGTCTTGCTGTTCTTATAATAGTGAGTGAGTTCTCATGACATCTGATGGTTTAAAAGTGTATGACCCTTCCCCCTTCGCTCTCTCTTTCTCTCCTGTAGCCATGAGAAGACATGTCTTGCTTCCCCTTTGCCTTCTAACATGATTGTAAGTGTCCTGAGGCCTCCCCAGCCATGTGGAACTGTCAGTCGATTAAACCTCTTTTCTTCATAAATTACCCAGTTTTAGGTAGTTCTTTACAGCAATGTGAAAACGGACTAATACAATACATAAAATTTACCATTTGAAAATGTATAGTTCTGTGATATTAAGTACATTCACAGTGTTATGCAATTATCATCACCATCCCTCTCTAGAAGTTTTCCCTCTTCCCCAACTGAAACTCTGTACCAATGAAACACTAATTCTCTATTCTCACCTCCCTCCAACCCATGGTAACCACCATTTGTCTTTCTGTCTGTATGAATTTGACTACTCTAATCACCTCATGTAAGTGAAATCATATAATATTTGTCCCTTTGTGACTGGCTTCTTTAACCTAGCATAATGTCTTCAAGGTTCATCCATGTTGTAGCATGTGTCACAATTTTCTTCCTTTTTTTTTTTTTTTTGAGACGGAGTCTCGCTGTCACCTAGGCTGGAGTGTAGTGGCGCCATCTCGGCTCACTGCAGCCTCTGCCTCCCAGGTTCAAGCAATTCTTGTGCCTCAGCCTCCCAAGTAGCTGGGATTACAGGCATCCACCACAGTGCCTGGCTAATTTTTGTATTTTTAGTAGAGAAAAGATTTCACCATTTTGGCCAGGCTGGTCTCAAACTCCTGACCTCAGGAGATCCGCCTGCCTCAGCTTTCCAAAGTGCTGAGATTACCAGCCTGAGCCACTGCACCCGGTCTTTCCTTCCTTTTTAAGGCTGAATATTTTATTGTTGTATATTTCATCCCTTTGTTTATCCATGCATCAGTTGATGGACACTTGGGTTGCTTCCACCTTAACTTTTTTATTTGCAACTTATTTTATTTGCAAATTTGAGCATGTTCATTCATCTATTCATTTATTCATTCATTCAACAAATATGTATTCTTTCCTATTATAAGCTCAGGGGTTTATAGCTATGACAAGATAAACAAGGTTATTACTCTCACACAGATTTTATACTGGTGGAAGAAGCAGATGATAGACAAGCAAGTGTATAAATTATCAAAAATCATGCAGTATGATAAGTGATATGCATAGAATTAAAATAGAATGACGTTATAGTTAACAAGTTGGAGGCTACTTTCGACAGGGTGCTCAGGGAAAACATCTCTGAAAAGATAACATGTGAGCAAAAATTTGAATGTAAGAAAGGAGCCAACACCAGGCAAGGTGGCTCACGCCTGGGGTCTCAACTACTCAGAAGGCTGAAGTGGGAGGACTGCTTGAGGCCAGGAGTTTGAGACCAGCCTGGGAAAAACAGTGAGACCCTGTCCCTAAAAAAAAAAAATCAAAATAAAAAGATAAGCTGGGCATGGTGGCACATGCCTTGTAGTTCCAACCACTCAGGAGGCTGAGGCACGCTTGGGTCCTGGTGGGTGAGAGGGAGAATGGGGATCAGGTAGGAGTGGTAGGCAACGCTTTTTAAGATAGGATAGGGAGTTTTGATTTTTTTCTTAGTAGTAGTAGTAGTTTTTCTTAGTAGTATGATAAGTAGCTTTTCTTAGTAGTATGACGCCCCACCCAGATCTTCTCAGCATGCATATCTAAACAACAAAGTTTGCTTACTGCAAACACCGGTGCCTGTCTGCCTGAGGACTGCATGCAAAGCAAGCCAGAAGTTCCAGGGATCAATGCACCTGGAAGCTGCTCTCCGGTAAGGCATTGGTGGATAAACACCACCAGCACTGCTGGATAAATACAGGGAGTTGGTGGATAAATACCCTACCCTGTACCTCTGTTGGGATAACTCTGAGGCATGGCCTTACTCTCTCTCAGAGTTCCTTGGCAGGACTGAGCTCCAGTTGTAACTTGTAACTTAACACACCTTATTTGGCTTCCAGGTTTCACTTCTCTACTCCCTTGCAGGTGTTTCCTGGGATCACCTCTCAAATAAACTATTTGCCTTAAAAACCCTTATATTGGAACCTGCTTCTGAGGGAATTCAAAGCAAAAAGATAGGAGTCATTAAAGGAAATATAATTGTATTTTTAAAGAATCACTTAGGAAGTTCTGTCTGTTTCTAATTCTGTCTCTAGTTCTGTCTCTTCCTATTACAATTAGATGCCGGACAAAAAAAAATAACAGTTCAAAGTCACTAGACAGCGATAAAAAAACAGCAGAAACTGGAGGAGACAGACACTTAAGAATGGAACTGAAATGGATGAAATCTACTTTTATATAAAGTTTCACCTGAGGGCATTTCTCAGTCTGAGTGGTGCAGAACAGAAGGGTCTCAAGCAGAAAATACCAGTTTTATCAGGCTGAGGAGTCTGAGTTTGGGATTCAGGGCTGTCATAGCAGCTGAAAATTGAAGGGAGAAATTCCCAAAACAGTGAGTCACAGAAGGGGAGCATCAAATTTTCCGTAGAAATTCTCCTTCAATCCTTGACTAACCCCTGAGCTGTGCATGCGTCGGGAAGACGACAAGAAGCCCAGTGGAAAGCAACAACTGAGAGACTGAAAAAGACTGAGCAGCTATGCAGTGCTGGGAATCTGGAGTTTGAAGTTCAAGTCCCAGCAAATCACAGATAGTTGGTAAACACTCCAAGTCTTCCACTGAAATCCAGAAAGGCCATATTTAGGAGGAACTTCAATCTTTAGGAGTGAGGATCACAGCACAGTGTAAGGGCTATGTTCTAGACCTAAAGGCAAAGTCCAAATAAACCAACTCTAACAAACCTTATGCCATGCCTTCACAGGACCAAGGTGATTTGTCTGCTGGAAGTACATTAAATCACTACTCCTTAAAGAAAGAAAATAGAACACAGCAGCCATATGCAGAAGATTAAAACTAGATGCCTTCCTTATACCATATACAAAAATTAACTCGAGGTGGATTAAAGACTTAAATGTAAAACCCAAAACTATAACCCTGGAAGATAACCTAGGCAATACTGTTTAGGTCATAGTCATGGGCAAAGATTTCATGACACAGACACCAAAAGCAATTGCAACAAAAGCAAATTTGGCAAATAGGATCTCATGAAACTGAAGAGCTTCTGCATAGCAAAAGAAACTATCATCAGAATGAACAGACAACCTACAGAATGGGAGAAAATTTTTTTAAAATTATGCATCTGACAAAGGTCTAATATCCAACATCTATAAGAAACTTAAACAAATCTACAAGAAAAAAAAAAACATTAAAAAGTGGGCAAAGGACATGAACAGTTTTCAAAAGAAGACATACATGTGGCCAAAAAACTTATGAAAAAACTCTCATCACTGATCATTAGACAAATGCAAATCAAAACCACAATGAGATACCATCTCACACCAGTCAGAATGGTGATTATTAAAAGGTCAAAAACTAACAGATGCTAGTGATGTTGTGGAGAAAAACAAATGCTTATACACTGTTGATGGGAGTGTTCAACCATTGTGGAATTAGTTCAACCATTGTGGAAGACAGTGTGGTGATTCCTCTAAGACCTAAACACAGAAATATCATTCAACCCAGCAATCTCATTACTGGGTAAATACCCAAAGAAATATAAATTGTTCTACCAAAAAAAAAAAAACACATGCATGCATATGTTTATGACAGCTCTATTCACAATAACAAAGATATGAAATCAACCTAAATGCCTATCAATGATAGACTAGATAAAGAAAATGTGGTACATATACACCATGGAATACTATGCAGCCATAAAAAGGAATGAGATCATGTCCTTTGCAGGGACACAGAAGGAGCTGGAGACCATTAGCTTCAGCAAACTAACACGGGAACAGAAAACCAAATACCACATGTTCTCACTTATAGGTGGGAGCTAAGTGATGAGAACACATGGACACACAGAGGGGAACAACACGCACTGGGGCCTCTCAGAGGGTGGGAGGAAGAAGAGGATCAGGAAAAATAACTAATGGGTACTAGGCTGAATATCTGAGTGATAAAATAATCTGTACAACAAACCCCCATGACACAAGTTTACTTATGTAACAAACCAACACATGTACCCATGAACTTAAAAGTTAAAAAAAAAAAGAAAACAGAACCCAGAATATCTATGATGTACCACTGTCAAGCAAAAGTTACTAGATGTATGAAAAGGCAGAAAAATGTGATTAAGACACGAAAAGAAATACAAGCAGTCAACAGAAACAGATCCAAAGGTGACCAAATGTTATAATTAGCAGACGAAAACCTTGAAGTAACTCTGATAAATATGTTACAGAATTTTATAGGAAAAGGGGAATATAATGGGTGAGAAATAGGAAATTTCAGGAAAGATATAGAAACTCTAAAAAAGAATCAAATGAAACTCCCAAATATCAAAAATAAAGTATTTGACATAAAAAATTTATTTAAGATTCACAGTAAATTTGGCAATACAGTAAAAAGATTTGTGAACTTGACAGGTTAATAGAAATTAAACAAGGCTGGATATGGTGGCTCAGGCCTATAATTCCAGCATTTTGGGAGGCCAAGGTGGGCAGATTGCTTAAGCCAGGAGTTTGATACCAGCCTGGGCAACATGGTAAAACCCCATCTCTACAAAAAAAAAAAAAAAAAAAAAAAAATTAGCTGGGCCTGGTGGTATGCGCCTGTAGTCCCAGCTACTTGGGAGGCTGAGGTGGGAGGATGACTTGAGCCCAGGATGCGAAGGTTGCAGTGAGCTAGGATCATACTACTGTACTCCAGCCTGGGTGAGAGAGACAGACCCTGTCTCCAAAACAAAACAAAACAAAATAAAATTAGCCAGGCGTGCTGGCAGGCGCCTGTAGTCCCAGCTACTCAGGAGGCTGAGGCAGGAGAATCACTTGAACCCGGGAGGCAGAGGTTGCAGTGAGCCGAGATCACGCCATTGCACTTCAGCCTAGGCAACAAGAGCAAAAACTCCGTCTCAAAAAAAAAAGAAAGACAAAAAAGGGGAAAAAATTAAACAAATTGAATCACAGAGAGAAAAAAGATTGGAAAAAAAACAAAAAAAAAAGAGTCATGTTGACCCATCAGAAAGTATTAACTAGACTAACATACAGGTAATTGGAATCCCAAAAAGTAAGAGAAAAAAAGGAGTGGGTAGAAAAACATACAAATTTGAAGTCATACTGGCCCAAATTTTTTTCTTCTTTGATTAAAAGCATCAACCCACACACCCAAGACATCAAGGGAACCTCAGGCTGAATAAAATCAAGGAAAACCACAATTTGTGATTAAGATGAAGATGCATATTATAGACCCTAGAGCAACCAGTAAAACAATAAAACCAAAAAAAAAAGCTAAAAATTCAATATAATAGAATGAAACACTGCTTTTTTTAAAGTTAGCTCCCCAAAAGACACAAAACTAGGAACAGAGAAACAAAGAACAGACATACAAATAGAAAACAAATAGCAGGATTAGAGACTTGAACTCAATCATATCAATATTACATTAACTATAAGTAGACTAAACACTCCAATTAAAAGTTAGATATTGTTAGATCCAACTATGTGCTGTTTACAAGAAATACACATTAAACACAAATTGAAAGAAAGAAAACAATTATTGTACAAACACTAAGCATGTTCATATCAGATAGAGAATACTTCAAGACCTTTGACATGGATTATCAGAAATAAATACCAGAGATAAAGAGAATTACTTGAAATAAAGAGGGACATTTTACAATAATTAATGAAGAAAATATAACATTTTTAACTGTATATACACCTAGTAATGGAGCCTCAAAATACACAATGCAAAAATTGACAGAATTAAAGGGTGAAATAGATAAATCCACAATTATGTTTGGAGACCGTAACACTTCCTTTCTCAGTAATTGTTAGAACAAGAAGACATAATGTCAGTAAGGGTATAGATTGAAAGAACATTATTAAACAACTGGGTCCAAATGACATTTGTAGAGCACTGAACAACTGCAGAATACAAATTACTTTCAAGTACACACAGAACATTCACCAAGACAGGCCAAATGCTATGACCCAAACTTTAAATTGAATATTGAACATTTTCTGTTCTTAAAAAGTCTCCTACTACCCATCCCTATTGCTTCTCCTAACTGCACTACAATTGCCACCCCGTCTCTTCTCCAACCTCTTTTCTTTCTATTCCTTTATGATGATAATCAATTTCGTTGTCATATTTGTTTCCTTGAACTTTGCTAACTCATGCTCTCATTATCTCATCTTCTGCCTGAAGAGGCATATTGAGTTATTTTCTTGAACAAAGATGGTTTCCTCCCTGAGGAGAATTTTTCTTCCCTGTGATTAAAAAAGAAAGTTGTCCCCAACCTTCAACTAAACTTAATTTTTTTTGTGGAGGGGGCAGGGACAGGGTCTCACTCTGTCACCCAGGCTGGAGTGCCGTGGCAAAATCATGACTCACTGCAGCCTCAAACTCCTGGGCTTAGGTGATTCTCCCATCTCAGCCTCCCCAGTATCTAGGATTACAGGCGAACATCATCATGCCCAGCTAATTTTTGTATTTTTTGTAGAGACAGGGTCTTGCTATGTTGTCCAGGCTAGCCTCAAACTCCTGGCCTCAAGCAAGCCTCCCCGCCTCAGCCTCCCAAAGTGCTGGGATTACAGGCGTGAGACACCACACCCATCCTAAACTTAGTTTTATGGGCAGATTATTTCTTCATGGCAAGAGTTCTGACCAAAAGATTCCTCTTTGGAGGACTCCATGGTGATTTGAGGTTCTCTTACTCTCTCTGCCCACCTTTGGGTGTCCACCATAGCTGAGCTGAGAGGAAACACTCCCAGACTCACCAGAGTACACTCGGCTCATAATTTGCTTTCTCCCATTCCTGCCTTGAAAGCTATTGCCTTATTTCAGCCATGAGTCAGTTTCCCAGTGGCGGTCATCCACTCTATGACGATGTGCTTCCCCAGAAGAGGGAAGTGGCTGATTCCCAGGAACCAGCAGTAGCAGACAGGCTTGGCTCATAGAACAGACAGCGTGGCTCCTCCTAGGCGGAGTGGGAAGCAGAGAGGCCAAGCCACAAACAGGAGCGCCTCATCAGACACTGGGCACACACAAAAGCAAAGGCCAGGCCTCCCACATTCACACCATGTGTGGGGGCCTCCTCACACAGGGCAGCCCACGTGGGGAGCAGAGCCACCAGCAGGAGCCTCTCCATGTAAGATGTAGCCTGAGAACTCTGACCTACCCACTCCAGGAAGCTCCAACTGCCAAAGGAATAGCCTTTCCTAAGGGAACAACATGCTAATCATGCAAAGACAAGAGACTTCAATACATCTTCCTCCCTTGGAAAAGTCAAATTTTTAAAATATAGACTAAGAAGAATGGTAATTCCTATGTAATTTCCAGATATTTTGCTAAATGGTTTGTACGTATATTATTTCTAATTCTTACAATAATCTCGCATGTAAAGTGTCATTATCCTCATATTATAGACAAGGAGATTGAGGACTTGAGAAATTAAGAAACTCACCCCAAGAACACAGTTAGGACATGGTGGAGAAAAGGATAAAGTAAAAGATTTTTTGTTCTAAAACCTACATCACACTACTTTTTCAAGAATTCCCTTAGAAGCAACAAAGACTTTTGTTAAACAAACACATTCTGTAATCCTAAAAGAAACTCCTTCCGGCCACTTGTGGAACCTCCCAACTTCACAGATACTCTTGCCTAGCTCTCCTCCCATCCAGTTCTCTGTTGTCTCTTGCCCAGTTGGCTTCTGGACATAACCTTGTCTTTCTGGCCCTCTACTTGTCCAGTTTAATACTTCCTGCTGGAAAACATGAGATGTATTTTTCTAGGCTCAAACTTCTGATATCCTTCTAAGGTCTTCCTTTTCACTTCTGGTTTTTAGTCAGAAGAACATGCCTAGATATAATGTGATTTATGGGACTCTGACAATTGACAGTTAAAATACCCAGTGAAAAAATTAGCCCCTTCCATCTCTGGAGCACACGAAGAAAATGATCTTACAAAGGTCACCCATTAGAAGCCCACTACTGCAGAAGTTACCCTTATTTTTTTTTTTACTTTATTCTGTAAAGCAGTTTTAGTTTCACAGCAAAATTGTGAGCAAAGTATAGAGATTTTTTTTATATACCTACTTCCCCCACATGCATAGTGTCCCTCATTATCAGCATCCCCCACTAGAGAGGTACATTTTTACAACGGATGAACCTACATTAAAACATTATTAGCACTGGAAGTCCATCATTTACATTAAGTTTCTAGAGTTACCTTTTGAGAAAACAAGTCTTATGTCATACTCTTGCTTAAAAACCTCTACTGGGCCTCTGTAACTTAAGCCCACATTTCCCAGAGTACAGATCATTACGATCAAACCATCTTCTTCAGCCCCACCTCTCTGTTACCATCACATTGAATTTCCAGTCTTTTGTATCTTCAGGCATTTGCACTTGTTGTTTTCTCTAACAAGAAAACCCTTTCCCTGTGCCTGGAGAACTCAAGGCCCCATCAGTCTTTCCTGAGTGCTCCCATGGCTTTTTGCTCATATCCCATATCAGTGGTTCATTGTCTTTCAATTCAACAAAGGCTTCATGAGCACCAAGTGCTGGGAGAAGAGCTAGGCTTTAGACCATGAAGATGAGTGAGCCAGAGTTCCTATTCTTGAAGAGCTCTCCCAACAATGAAAGTGTATTAGTCCATTTTCATGCTGCTGATAAAGACATATCCAAGACTGGGTAATTTATAAAGAAAAAAAGGTTTAATGGACTCACAGTTCCACATGGCTGGGGAGGCCTCACAATCATGGCAGAAGGCCAAAGGCATGTCTTACATGGTGGCAGACAAGAGAGAATGAGAGCCAAGTGAAAGGGAAAACCCCTTATAGAACCATCAGATCTCATGAGACTTATTTACTACCACGAGAACAGTATGGGGGAACCACCCCATGATTCAATTCTCTCCCACCAGGTCCCTCTCACGACATGTGGGAATTATGGGAGCTACAATTCAAGATGAGATTTGGGTGGGGACACAGCCAAACCATACCAGGAAGCAATAACACCAATGCCACTATCAAAACACATTGTTTTAGTCCATTTGCATCATTATAAAGGAATACCTGGGGCTGGGTAGTTTATAAAGAAAAGAGGTTTATTTGGCTCACGGTTCTGAAGACTGTACACATAGCATAGTGCTGGCATCTGCTTCTGGTGAGGCCTCAGGAAGCTTACAGTCATGGCAGGGAATGGGAGCCAGCATGTCACATGGCAAGAGAGTGAGCAAGGTGGGGGGTGTGCCACATTCTTTTAAACAACCAGATCTCACTTAAACTCAGAGTGAGAACTCACTCATTACTGTAAGGAGAGCACCAAGACATTCATGAGGGATCCACCCCCATGATCCAAACACCTCCCACTAGGCCCCACCTCTAACATTGGGGATTACATTTCAACATGAGATTTGGAAGGGACACACATCCAAACCATGTTACTCATCTATCAGAAAAGTAAAATAAAATTTGCAAAGAAAAGAAAGGTTAACCCAGTCTGGGGAAGTCAGGAAAGCCATCATGGAGGTGGAAGACCTAAGCAAAATCTGGCTGAGTATGAATCTGTTGATAAATGGGGTAAGCAGGGAACTGGTGGGAAGAACATTTCACAAGAATATTATCACATAAAATCAACAATGTAGCATGAGTGTATTCCTTAGCATTTGTTGAAAAGAAATGAGGTTGGAGTTTGTGTTAGTTCATTTTGCACTATTATAAAGGAATATCTGAGACTGGGTAACTTATAAAGAAAAGAGGCTTTTTTTTTTTTTTGAAATGGAATCTCACTGTCACCCAGGCTGGAGTGCAGTGGCATGATCTTGGCTCACTGCAACCTCCTCCTCCTGGGTTCAAGCAATTATCCTGCCTCAGCCTCCCAAGTAGCTGGGACTACAGGCATGCACCACCACACCTGGCTAATTTTTCTATTTTTAGTAGAGTCGGGGTTTCACCATGTTGCCCAGACTGGTCTTGAACTCCTGACCTCAGGTGATCTGCCTGCCTTGGCCTCCCAAAGTGCTAAGATTATAGACATGAGCCACTGTGCCTGGCCAAGAAAAGAGGTTTAATTGGCTCACTGTTCAGCGAGCTGTACAGGAAGCATGGTGCTGGCATCTGCTTGGCTTCTGGTGAGGCCTCAGGGAGCTTTTACTCATGGCAGAAATTGAAGCAGGAGCGGGCATATCACATGGCAAGAGAAGGAGCAAGGGTGGGAAGGAGGTCTCAGACTCTTAAATAACCAGATTTCACATGAACTCATAGAGCAAGAATTCACTTATTGTGAGGGAGGCACCAGCCCATTCATAAGAGATCTGCCCCCATGACCCAAACACCTCCCACCAGGCCCCACCTTCAACACTGGGGATTACATTTTAACGTGAGACTAAAGGGGACAAATATTCAAACCATATCAGAATTGTTTCATCTATAGCGTGTATTACAGAATTCTGTGCCAGATATGTACTGAGAATAAATAGAACAAAAAATTACTATGTAAAATATAAAATGGGCCATAATATTTCTTCAACAAAGGAAAGGTGATCATAACCTGCTCTCTTGTGACCACACATCACAACTAACATTTGGAGCAAAAGCATTACAAATGAATTCTACAAATCTGAATGTAGTATTGCAGCAGACACAAAGAACAGAATTTAGTAAGGCACCTAAGGTGGTTGTAGATGTGGCGCTTTATAAGCCACATGGATCAATTTGAAAAATAAATTAATATCTTAATAAGAGAAGGTACTGTTGCCAAAAAATGAAAAAGAATATGTAAATGGCAGGCAACTTTTATCAAATTATGCAGAAAGATGAAAGTGAGCAATATTAGAAGTTGCACCTTGCCTCCAACTGACTTTATTTTTTTGAGACAGATTCTCGCTTTGTTGCCCAGACTGGAGTGCAGTGGCATGATCTCAGCTCACTGCAACCTCCACCTCCTGGGTTCAAGCAATTTTCCTGCCTCAGCCTCCTGAGTAGCTGGGACTACAGGTGACAGGCGGGCGCCACCACCCCAGGCTAATTTTTGTATTTTTAGTAGAGATGAGGTTTCTAATTTTTATATTTTTAGTAGAGACAGGGTTTTGCCATGTTGGCCAGCTTGTCTCAAACTCCTGACCTCAACCAATCTGCCCGCCTCCGCCTCCCAAAGTGCTGGATTACACTGCACCCAGCCACCTCCAACTGACTTTTTTACTCCTACTTTGCTGCTCTTGTAGCTGCACAGGTATGCAGTTAGGGATTCATTACTGAGCACAGAGAATAATACAGAGTCAGAACCAGGCTCAGAGTGTGCCCTGACAGAGATGCTAAAGCTGTATGCTTAAACAATAAGGATTTCTTTTTTCTTTTCTTTTTTTTTTTTTTTAAGATGGAGTCTCGTTCTGTCACCCAGACTGGAGTGCAGTGGCGCAATCTTGGCTCACTGCAACCTCTGCTTCCTGGGTTCTGGCAATTCTCCTGTCTCAGCCTCCTGAGTAGCTCAGATTACAGGCGTGTGCCACCATGCCCGGCTAATTTTTGTATTTTTAGTAGACACGGGGTTTCACCATATTGGCCAGGCTGGTCTCGAACTCCTGATCTCAGGTGATCCACCTGCCTCAGCCTCTCACAGTGCTGGGATTACAGGCATGAGCCTCCGTGCCTGGCCTAACCAATAAGGATTTCAACATATGAGTGATTTGGTGACAATATTCTAGTTAGACATGGGGTTTTTTTCAAAGAACACTATTTTTACTTCAGTTGTCTATCTAGAGTAGTTTTGTGAGGGTTAATAGAGCTGCCAGGGAAGTAAAAGCCATGTCCACACCCCTGCCACACAAGCCATCTCAGGTGGCACCACTGCTATCAGTCACCACCCAGCTTTTCAAAGGAATGGTCTGCACCACTGCCTCTCCTTCCCACATCTCCCCTTCAAACCAGTTTCTACTCCCTCCACTGAGACCATTTTCTTAAAGCTCACCAATAACCTTAGTGGACAAAGAAAACAGGGTTTTCAGCTTTTGTTCTCTTCAGCCTCTCCATAGAATTTACATCCTGACCACTCCCTCCTTGCTAAAACTCTTCCAATACTTCTATAATAATAAATCATGTGGTTCTTCTTAAGCCTTCCTTTTTCTTATTCTCCATTCTCCACTTCGTACACCACATATACATAAGAGTTTTCAAAGTTAAGGCTTGACTTATCTATGCTTCTTCCAGTCACCTATGCTTAAGGCTTCAACTAACACCTTTGTGCAGAGGACACTGAAAACTTCCAGCATCTTAAAGACTCCAAGCAGCTTTTTTCTGTTTCTTGTCATATTACCTTGTCTAGGATTTATAGTCCAATGCTGGTAATAGAGATGATATTGACATCCTTGCTTATTCCTAACTATAGTGAGAAGAATTCTAATGCTTTCTCACTTAGACTTATTAATACAGGTTTCTAGTCAATACTCTTTTATCAGGTTGAGGAAGTTATCTTCTGTTCCCATTATGCTAAAAATGTAATGTTTGTTTGCTTGTTTTGGGCCGTGTGTGTGTGTGTATGTGTGTGTGTGTGTGTGTGTGTGTGTGTGTGTGTCTGTGTGAGAGAAAGAGAGATAAAGTACACATAACATAAAATTTATCACTGGTAACATTTAGTATATGTATAATATTTTGCAATCATCACCACTATCTAGTTTCAGAAAATTTGCATCACCCAAAAAGGAAATCCTGCATCCATGAAGCAATCTTCCCCACTCCCCCTAATCCCAGCCTCTGGCAACCATTAATCTGCTTTATATCTATACATTTTATATTCTAGAAATGTAATCATACAACACATGGTTTTGGTGTCTGGCTTCTTTCCCGTAGCATAATATTGTCAAGGTTCGCCCATACTGTAGCGTGTATCAGTACTTCACTCCTTTTTATGGCCGAGTAATATTCTGTTATCTGGATATGCCACATTTTGTTTATCCATTTGTCAGTTGATGAACATTTAAATTGTGTCCATCTTTCGACTATTGTGAACAGTGCTGCTGTGAAGATTCGTGTATAAGTTTTTGTTTGAACATCTGTTTTCAGTTCTTTCAGTTGTATACCCAAGAATGGAATTGTTGGGTCTATGCTAATCCTATGTTTAACTTATGGAAGAAATGTCAAAGTGTTTTTCACAGCCTCTGCACCATTTTACATTCTCACTACCAATGTTAAAGAGGTCCAACTTCTCTACATACTTGCCCATGCTTGTTTTCTTTTTTTTTTTTTAATGATAACTATCTTAGTGGGTATGAAGTAATACCTTGTGGTTATGGCTTGAATTTTCTGAATGACTACTGATGTTGAGCATCATTCCATATACTTGTTGGCCACTTGTATATCTTTTTTGTAGAAATGTCTATCCAATTTAGTTGCCTATTTTGTTGTTGTTGTTCATTTACAAGAGTTATTTGTATATTATGGATACTAGTCCTTTGTCAAATATGTGATTTCCACATATTTTCTCCTATTTTGTGGGTATTATTTTCACTTTGTTGATAATGTTCTTTGAGGAACAAAAGTTTTTAATTTTAATGAAGTCTAATTTATCTATTTTTTTCTTACCTTGTTTGTGCTTTTGGTGTCATATCTAAGAAACCATTGCCAAATCAAGGTCATAAAGATTTACCCATATGTTTTTCTGTAAGAGATTTCTGGCTTTCATTTAGGCCTCTTATCCATTTTAATTTTGTGTATGGTATAAAATAAGGGTCCAACTTACTTATTTTTTATAGGGTCTCACTAGGTGGTCCAGGCTGATCTTGAACTCCTGGCCTCAAGCAATTCTACTGCCTCAGCTTCCCAAAGTGCTTGGATTACAGGTATGAGCCACTGCACCTGGCCAAACTGTATTCTTTTGTATGTGGACATCCAGTTGTTTCAGCACTGTTTGTCAAATAGTAGTCTCTTTCCCCATTGGATGGTCTTGATACCCTTGTAATAATAAATTGACCATAGATTTTGGGTTTGTTTCTGGACTTTCGTTATTAACTGAATGTTTGTATAACCCCAAAATTCATATGTTGAAGCCCTAACCCTCAATGCAATGGTATTGGAGATGGGCCTTTAGGAGGTGTCTTAGTCCATATTGTGCTACTATAATGGAATACTTGAGACTAGGTAATTTACAATAAACAGAAATTTATTGGCTCATGGTTCTGGAGGCTGGAAAGTCCAAGATCAGGGAGCCAACATCTTGTGAGGGCCTTCTTGCTGTATCATCTCATGGCAGAAGGCAATGAACAAGAGAGAGCAAGAGAGAGAGCAAGATTTCAAACTTGCAGCTTCAAGCCCTTTTCTAATCTGCATTAATTCATTCATGAAAGTGGAGTCCACATAACCTAAACACCTCCCAGTTAGGCTCCACCTCCCAACACTGTTGCATTGGGGTTAAGTTTTCAATACATGGTTTTTGGAAGACACATTCAAACCATAGCAGGAGGTAATTAGGTTTAGATTAAGTCATAATTGCAAGGCCCCCATGATGGGATTAGCAGACTTATCAGAAGGAAGAGAGTTCTCTCAGCCCTCCTCTCCAAAGGGCATGTTCCAAGAAAAGGCCACGTGAAGACATAGCAAAAAGACAGCCATCTGCAAGCCAAGAAGAGAGTCTTCCCCAGGAACTGAATCAGCCAGCACCTTTATCTTAGACTTCCAGCCTTCAAAACTATGAGAAATAAATTTTTGCTGTTCAAACCACCTAGTCTATGGTATTTTATTATGACAACCCAAGCTGACTAAGACACCTTTCAATTCTATTCCATTGATCTGTATTTCTATCCTTATGCCAGGACCACACTGTTTTGATTACTGTAACTTTATAGTAAGTTTTGAAATTAGGAAGTGTGAACCCTCCGACTTTGTTCATCTTTTTCAAAATTATTTTGACTATTTGGAGTCCCTTGCAATTTCTTGTGAATTTTAGGACTAGCTTTCCCATTTCTGCAAAAAAAGACATTGGTATTTTGATAATGATTGCATTGAATCTGTAGATGTCTTTGAGTGGTATTGCCATTTCAACCATATTAAGCCTTCTAATCCATAACACAGGGTGTCTTTTTAATTATTTAGGTCTTTTCTAATTTCTTTTGGTAACGTTTTATAGCTTATAGTATATAATTCTTGCACCTATTTGGCTAAATTCATTCCTAGGTATTTTATTCTTATTTGTTTGTTTCTAACTATATAAAAAAGTATTAATTTTATTAAATAGTTTTCTCAGCCTGTGATCCCCCATGATTATTTTCCTTTAATTTGTTAATATAGTGAATTATATTGATAAATTTCCTAAAATTGAACCATCCTTGTAACCCTGGTATAAACCTTAGTTGATCACAATGTATTGTGCTTTTTGTATATTGCTGAACAGAGGAGGGAAAGAATAGAGAAGCCCAAACTTAAAAAAAAAAAAACCAAAACTCAAACTTTACTTCTTAGCCTGCCTTGCTGAGTAGTCATTTGACACAGTTCTGGCCAACAAGACAAAAGCAACAGTTACTTTGTGGGGCTTCCAGGAAAAACTCTTTCAAAAGGAACTTATGTGGAGGGTCTAAGCCCCTCTCCCAGAAAAGCACAACTGGTTTGCATGGTGACTCACCTTGGGGTGATGAAGGCCCCAAAGTGCTGTGCTGGCCAACACATCTGAAAGGGATTTTGGAGAAAGAGCCCATTTTTTAACTTAATTCTTGGGTAAGGAATCTAATAAATGAGGTGACTAAACACCATTGGAATTTAAAGCTCTGGAAAAACACTCTCATCTGCCAGACCTATCCATCCCTATTTAATACCCTCAACACTGAGTAGGAGACCTCTTCTGTCATTGTGAGATGGGAGGCAATAATAGGGTGACAAAGCAGAGGGTGGGTTTTATGGACTCAGCTAGACCTGGGTTCAAGTCTTAGCTCTGCAAGTTCTGACTTGACCTCTCTGAGCCTCATTTCCCCACCAACTAAGTGGTGATAATGAGAGTTCCAACCCTGTAGGACTATTTGGGGTAAAGAATGAAATGAACTATTGCATGTAAAATACATGGCACAGTACTCACATATGAGCTGTTGTTATGCTTATTATCATTAGTATAATTTATGTATCAGTTTAAGTAGAATACAATAATGATTATGTTTTTAAAACAATGATGTGCTTTTGGAAAGTCCTCCATTTGAGTTACTTGAGGAGGTAGCATCATGTGTTACCACCCAAGGAAGTCATTGTAGCACCTGGTGACTGTTAGAGCCTCAGGAAAAGGAGCTAGAAGCTCTGGGTGAAACTGTCTGCCTTTAATGCAGAACCAACTTCTGTTACATGGTAGGGAAGCATAGACCAAGTAAGCAGAATCAAGAGTGGGGTCAAGCTGCAAGGAGTGGGGAGAGAGAGGCGAGCCTCCAGGGAGACAAGATGACCAGCCAGACAAAATGGCCTCCTCCCTGTCTGGGTGCTCAGGAGGTGGCCCAACGGCTGGCACACAGCAATAGATAGAGGGCAGGAACACTGGCCTGCCTCGGAGACAGATGCATCCATCATCCTCAGGCAAGCAAGCAGTTTTTAGTGGAAGGTGGTGACTAGAAGTCAGCAAGCAGTTTTCGGTTCTAAAAGGATTTCAAAGCCTGGACAGCCCAAGAAGCAGCAGAGCATGACCTGAAGCCTACACAGAGTGTCTGAGCTTGGGAAGATCAGCCGGAAGATCAGCCTTCTGAAGAGGCCAGGTGTCTTGCTCTAGAGCCTTGGCTGGGAGTGGGGTTGGGGCAGGGATGACTAGGCCACGTGAGAAGAGGAAATGCCTGAATACAGGGCCTTCTCCAGTGCATGGAGGATATTAGCGCTCTGCCTGGACCTGCTCGGATTGCTGCACCATCTTGGGGCATACTGGCTCCTACTGGCCTTTTCTTCACAACAGCTCCTGCACCTCTTTTAATGGAGGGCTCCCTTCTGGCTGTCAGAATCCTTTTCCCTGGGAATTTGTCTCTTTGGGGGCAGCCCTTAACCAATGACAATCGCCCCCTGATCAGGACCATCTGAGATGTGACCTGCATGCCTCAGTGCTACCCCGGAGGATGGAAACAAAGTGGCCTTATGTGGGACTGTGCTTGATAGTGCACCCCTGGTTAGCTTTTTCCCCTGCCTGCCTCATTCCCCACTGCCCTCTGGTTTTTCCTGGGAATACTTATAAACAAATCACTTGGCAAGAATCCTCCACATCTCAGGGTCTGTACCTGGGGAACTGTGCTTCGCAGCAATGGTATCTACCACCATGCCTTGCACAGGTGCATGTTAAATATTTGGAGAGAGAGACAGACAGAGGCAGAGGGACATTCTAGCATGACCTGAGCCACTTCTGTCCATAGACAAGAACCCAGGCCTGGCCAGGACAGCATATGGTAAGAAAAAAAGGGCTCACCCTAGAAAAATCATTGTAACCTGGGGGCAGAAAAAGACAACACTTTGTCCTGTGGGTAGAATTTCCTCTTCATTTCCTTTAGTGAACGCCTCCACAAACCACAATGGGTTGGGTATGAAGTCTCTTTGACTCAGACCTGAAGGAAGTTCAATGTCAGGTCAAAAAACAGGGAAAGGGAGGTGAGAGAACATGCCCAGAGAGCAGGTTAGAGAAAGGTGGAGGCCACAGATCATTGCCATCCAGGCTTCTCTGGACAGCCAAGACAGGTGGCACTGAGACCAGTGCCCCAAGGATGGTAAATGTCCTGCCCCCTCCCAATCTCTTCTTTACATTTCTTCTAGAATGACATTTCTAGAATGGAACCAGGGAGGGTATCACAGAGAAGGTGGCATTGTGCTATGTCATTGTGGTAGGTAAAATAATGACCCCCCAAATATGTCTGTATCCTAATCCCTAGAACCTGTGAATATGGTACCTTATATGGCAAAAGGAACTTTGCAGATGCAATTAAGTTGAGGACGTTAAAATGGGGGAATTATCGGGGAAGGCCCAATGTAATCACAAAAGTTCATTTGAGAGGTGGGAGGATCAGAGGGAGAAGATGTCACAACAGAAGCAGTGGTCAGAATGATGTGGCCATGAGCCAAGGAATGCAGCAGGCCTCTAGAAGCTGGAAAGGGCAAGGAACAGATTCTCCTTAGAGCCTCCAGAAGGAATGCGGCTCTACAGACACTTTGATATTAGCCCCCAAGATACCCGTTTTTGACTTCTGCCCTCCACAACTATAAGATAACACATTTATGTCATTTAAGCCACTAAGCATGTGGCAATTTGTTATGGCAGCAGTAGGAAACTAATACAGTCATTAAGAATGAAGAAGAGTCTTCCAGAAGAAACACGGAGAAGACTTTTTTTTTTTTTTTTTGGTGACAGAGTCTCACTGTGCTACACAGGCTGGAGTACAGTGACATGATATTGGCTCACTGCAACCTCTGCCTACCATGTTCAAGCGATTCTCCTGCCTCAGCCTCCCAAATAGCTGGAAGTACAGGTGCCCACCACCACACCTGGCTAATTTTTGTATTTTTAGTAGAGACAGGGGTCTCACCATGTTGGCCAGGCTGGTCTTGAACTCCTGACCTCAGGTGATCCACCTGTCTCAGCCTCCCAAAGTGCTGGGATTACAGGTGTGAGCCACTGCACCCGGCTACAAGATATTCTTGAGAAGAAATAGAAAGGCCATGACAGGTGTGGCAAAACACAGTGGGTGGGGGAAGCTGCTGGCAAACGGTAGTGGATGCTGTCGGTTGCCTATCTAGCATCAGTGCCCCCTACTGCCTTCTTAGCCAAATCCCAAGTTTTCTCAGGTACCTCTTACCCCACAAAGCCACATGCCTCAGGGGAAGCTGGCACCACTCCCCACTCTGGGATGGGAGGAGACCCATTGGCCTGAGAGTGACACCAGCCAGTGGGTATGAGCCCAGTTCTGGCCAGTGAGAGGAAGGGGAGTCACCAAAGGCAGGGGCTCTGAGGAAGGCTTTCTTCTCTCCTCTTCATCTGGACATTGTTGGTCTGGCTGTGTGTCTGGAATCCCTCTAGCCATCTTATACCCAAGTGGAGGAAGAAATCAGCACCCAAAGGAGAGCAGAACGGACAGGTGGAAAGAATCATGGATGTCAATGAGTCCTTAAAACAAGCAACTTGAAGTCTTCCCTTTTAGTGGACTTTCTGTATTGTGAGATCGTACATTTTCCTATGATCTGAACCGCAGTTTCTGTTACTTGCAGCCCAAAGCATCCTAACTGATATTGCTGATTTAAAAGGTCAAGGCCAGGTTACAAAAGACCTTGAAGGCCATGGTGAGGGATGAGCAATGCAGGCACCTGTCATCAGGGGTTAGACATTTTTAACAGGGGAGTGACCTAACTTGTGTTTGGAACAAATGACTGTTAGTACACAGAAGATAAAAGGGGATTGGAACAGACTGGATTGAGGGGAGAGAACAGAAAGCTACCATAACAGTGCGGGTGAGGTGGGCTGAACCAAGGGATGGCTTGGAGGTGGGGAGGAAAAGAGATGAGATTCAGGTCCCATCAAAGAGCTTGGAACCTGAGAGAATACAGAGCATGAGAAGTTGAGATGACTACAGAATTTTTAAAAATGTACTCATTACTGTAATCCCAAGAATAAAGTATCTTAAATGCTTTTTAATGTCTACACCTATAATAAAGGGGAGCCTCAAGCCTCTTTCCCCTCCATTTCAGCTGGGCTGGAGCCTGTATTTAAAGTACGTCAAAAGAAACAGTGATTGAAGTCAACACAGACGTTAAGAGTAAGATTAACACCCAGAAAAGCTGCAGGGCCCATAACCTTCCCCCAGAGGGGAGCTGACATGTTCTCTTTTTTTATTCTTTTGTCTCTTGGGCATGTACCAAATCGTGCCCCAACTGAAACATCTGGAAGTGCACCAGGGACTCTCTAACAAAGGACAACCCTGGGAGCGAACTTGGCAATGACATTAGCACTTCTGCAGTAGACACACCAGTGTCACTTTTCAATTTAAAAAGCAAAACAAAACAAACAAACAAACAAAACCACTCCATTTCAGATTTTTGCCCCAGGTCAGAGATTCCTTTCTCAGGTAAAAATGCCATCATAGGCATGGAGTCAAGACTGTGAAAAGGAGACCCACGCTCACATATTCCAAATGGCACCTGACTTCTGGCTCCCCGTTTGTAAGAAAATACCACAAGCTGTTGAGAAATGATGAATAGTCCTAAAACTGTAAAGCGAAGAGTGATCAGCACCACCACAATTTGAAGTATGAAGACTCTATCTGTAGACAATCTGCACGTTTAACATCATAAAAGATGTCCGATGAAAGATTTCTGCTCCAGAAGAAGCTAAGGCTTTGCCTTGCCTTCCGTTTGACTCCCATTCAGCCCCTATATTTATATAGGTGAATATATTACAGTTAGAGATTTTCAGGTTATATTTCACAGATGACATTTTTAATCTGCCTCAAAAATGTAAACATAGCAAGGGTGTTCTGCAGACACACTGCCTGGAGCAACTGTCAAATGGAAAATTCAGTGGAAAGTTTAGCCTGTCTCCAGTTTAACTAAGTTGAGGAATGCTGCAAAAACAGGTGTTGTCTGACACAAGTAATAATTATCTTTCACCTGGATGGATGTTAGTTTAATCTGTTCCTTACACGGTAGCTTGGTCTCAGCTGACTGAATTTAGTGCCAAAAAAGCAGATGAGAGGGTGAGTGTGGCTGGTATGTGACACTAGTTACAAGACAAGGCTTTGGGGAAGTTTTGATTGATTTTCCTAAGGGGGCTTAATCATTTCTCCTGTTTGCCCAATAAATATTTAAATCTAGATGGATATCATGGTACTCTGTTAAGGTGCTAACATTTTCATTAATGGATTTTAAGAGAGTTTCATTGAGAGCACGATTCGATTCAATGACTTTCACAGAGAAGGGAAAATGAGTTACTAGAACATTTCCTAAGACATGAACAGACCCTATATATTAATGTTTCAGGATAAATTACTCAGCCAGAGGGACTGCAATGTTAGCTGGGGAAAAGTAGAAGAAAGGCCTCCCAAATGCTGATCTTAAGCCTTATTCAAAGTCTTTCAAACTGAAAGGCATATAACTTGAAACATTACTCATGTATCTAGCAGCCCCAAAGAAGCCTGTCTGTGCCAAGGATAAAGCCGCATTGTCACTTTATGCTGCTTTCTTTTTTATCTTCTGGAAATTTTTTTTAAGCTAATGACAGGCAATTTGATAAGATGCTGCTTTTGGCAGTCTTTTGGACACCGTCATTTCAGAAGGGAAAGTGGTCTATCATCCCCAAATGGCAGGAATATGTATTATAGATAATATTCAGAACAAAGCCTGTGAAACTCACCATACTCAATTCATGAAATATTGAAGTTCCTACCATGAAAATCAGTAGAGTGTAGTGAGGAGGCTGGGACCCTGGACTGTTTGGATCCTGACTTCTTTACCCACCAGCTGAGTGGCCTTGAGCAAGGCACTTACCTTTTCTATGCCTCAGTTTCCTCATCTGTGAAATGGGGATGATGTATTTCTTACTTCACGGGATTTCACTGTAGTTGTAGTAAACATCACAAAACCCCGTGGGGAATAAAATGATGAATGAGATGCCCACATGCATGTGCGCACCTTCTCAAAGAACTTAACAACAAAACAGGGCAGGCAGAGATCCATGAACCATTGCAGAATATGAATGGGATAATGACCAAGGGTAATAGATAAACAAAGAATTCTAGGAGCAAGGAATGACTTAATCCAACATGAGCTGGGCTTTAGAAATTAAGTAGGATCTCAGTGGGAAGGAGATATCCGCAGGTAGAGGGAGTTAACTGCTGTGATGGAGAAGTAGAGAGAGTAATCTCCCAGCTGAAAGATCACTGTGAAAGGAAGCAAGCAGGCTTTGTCCTACCATACAACCCTGCACCAAATGCAAAACGCTGGGAATATTCAGGGCTCTTTAGAAACACTGTTCCACCTCAATCACCCCAGAATAGGCTGTTTCAACAAGCCACATCAGAGCCATCAGTTTGATGCAGACAAATCAAGCATGAATTTTATTACAAACTAGCGTCTTCTCTGGGTCCAGTCCCAGAATCAGAGGCCACAGGGACCAGGGAGCTGGTGAGAGAGCTGGCGGGGAGCAGATCCTGTGTGTGTGTGTGTGTGTGTGTGTGTGTGTGTGTGTGTTACTTGGATCTCCCATGTTTTTACCCACCAGTGAGTACCACGGTCCCATTGATAGCCATACCCCAGGCTGCCCAGGCTTTTCCCACATTTCACTTCCAACTCTTCTCTTCAGGAGGTCTGTCTCCTGGACAGCTCTCACACAATAATGGCTAACATTTACTGAGCACCTACTTTGTGCTGGGCACTGTTCTTGGCTGTCAGCAATCCAGGAGATGGGTACTATTTTTTTTTATTTTTATTTTTTATTTTTTTTGAGATGGAGCCTCATTCTTGTCACCCAGGCTGGAGTGCAGTAGCACAATCTTGGCTCACTACAACCTCCACCTCCTCGGTTCAAGCAATTCTCCTGCCTCAGCCTCCCAAGTAGCTGGGATTACAGGCGCCCGCCACCACCTCTGGGTAATTTTTGTATTTTCAGTAGAGACGGGGTTTCATCATGTTGGCCAGGCTGGTCTCAAACTCCTGACCTCAGGTGATCCACCCACCTTGGCCTCCCAAAGTGCTGGGATTACAGGCATGAGCCACTGCACCATAATAAAAGGTACTATTATTATGCCCTTTCCACAGAGGTAAGAACTTGTGTTACATGAGCCTGACCATGTAAAATGGAGCTTGACAGCCCTTCACTCAGGGCCACACCAGCTCATTGCCCTGTGATTGCCGGGCCACTATTTTTCTATCTTCCACTGGGTATTGCCTGAACTGCCACCACCCTCTCCTGACCACCCATCTCCAGGGACCTTCTCCTGTTTCCTGGGCTCTCCACAACAGAGACATTGGGCTCCAAGTGACAGTTCTTACTTTGCTACCCCAGCCCTTTTCCAGAGCACCGTTTGCGGGAGGGAGAAACAGCGAGGGAACAGGCATGGAAATGGAGGCCATGCACACCTGGAAACCTGGGAATCCTCTCAGCCCTGCTGTTTAATCTGACTGTGATGCAAGAATTTTCTTCTCAGTCACTTTGCATGCCAGGGACCCCCAGCCAATGATGCCCCACCCGGGCTTTGCTTGGTCACGCTAAGGTGCCCCAGCTTGCCTGTGTTGTAGCTTGTACCCACGTTCAGTGGTTCCCAAGCTCTTGTACTGTGCCCAAGAAGAATGAGGATGCACTGTACATTGAAAGGTGAGGAGGGGGGAGAAGAATTTTATTGAGCAATGAAACAGCTTTTAGCAGAGAGGGGACACAGGGGTGGTCCCCCTACCCAAAGGCAGGAAAGTTCCCCTCGTATGGCTGGGCCCAGGGCCTCTTATGGACTTAGAATGAGGAATGCTTGCTGATGGGTTTGGGAGTGTGCAAAAAAGGTTAAAGCAAAAACACCACTCAAAGGTGGGCACGATAGTATAGAAAACCAATTAGGAAAGGGTAGGTATATGTGAAATAGATGAAGGGTAGGGAACAATCAGAGGAAAGTGTGCCAGACAGGAAGGCAAGTTCTTAATCCGGTCTAAGGATTTAACTTGTAGTTTGGCTTTCAGGCTTTTTAAACTGTCTTTGGCTTGGAAGTGAGGTTTCACTGGGGACCCACCCCTATCTGCCTAGGCATTTGGCTGCCTTCTGATGCTCTCCACTGTCTTTGCCAAGCTTCTTTACTGCAGGTGACTTTCTCTCCAGAGACTCCATGGTCCTCCTTCCAGTCTGGCCCCCTTTGGAAAGCTTTTTCCAGGCTCTCAGACAGGATTTAACATGACCAAACCTAAGTGGTGAGCCAAGTTCAAGTCTCTCCTCAGGTCCCAAGTAAATAAGATGGAGTTGAGCCCCTAGTGTTCAGTTCTCCTAAATATGGTCCACGAAAGAAAAGAAGTTTCCATAGCATTTTATCATAAGAGCCCCTTGTGCCCTGCACATACAGAAGCCCTCAGGAGATGGTTTTCTCTATATCAGTCCCAAGCACCATATTCCACGTTGAAACAGCCACAGTCCCTACAATTCTGAGACCTCTCCAGAGGCCTAGATCTGTGCTGATGTCACTGATAGACTCCCCTACAAAGAAAGCCCTACCTCACCCCATAGCATAGTGTATACCTACCTTCCTCATTACACAGATACCTGGAATGCTGCTTTTACTCTAGAACCAGGACAAGATGGCCCAGTACAATCAGGACTTATTAATATGTAATGGCTAAATCAGCTAATGTTCACTGATAAGTGCATGGTCATATTAAAACTTCACTGTTCTGAATGTTATAGTGTCTCCCATTCATTAGGCATTTCTCATGCCTAGCAGTTTAGTCTATCCCATTAATTCTTCCAACAACAATAATATGTTGGAGCTATTATTTTATCCACTTTTCAATGGGAAAATCAGGGCTTAGGGAGGTAAAATCACATGCTCCAAGTTGCACAACCAGCAACTTCCCTATGCCAGAGGTTTCAAACCATGAAGCGAATAGCTAGCAGAGCCTGAATAAGAGCCCAGAGCAATCTAACTGCAAAGCTCACCACCAAAGAAAAAAGTGTCTTCCTACCAGAAATGTCCCAAAAAAGATGGTTTTGCTCTCCCTAGATGGAGCCAGGAGAGGCTATAGGTCCACAGCAGTCCCCTCACCCCCTATATGGGAAGGAGGCCATCAGCAGGGCTAGAGCAGAGAGGGACTACATTTCAGGAACTATCAGCCCAGGTCAGCAGCCAATTTGCAGACCCAAAATCCAGACGTGGAAGGACAAAGAGCTCCACAAGCCCCACCCATGTCAGCTTGGCCAAAGCCCTGGAGCCAGAGTGATATTAACCCACAGCTGGAGTGAAATTATTTATTTTGGGAAACCAAAGGCTCAGGAAGAAATGACATGATCAGACCTTGGTGAAGTATTATCCAACCTTGGTGAAGTATTATCCGAAGTCAAAAAGCAGGACTATATCCCATCCTACCGTGACCACAGTGCACCAGCCGCAAAGCCTACAAATGCTTCTCCACCTACCCCCTTCCTAAACCCTTAAGAAGACCAGCCCTCTGACAATGATGACTGAAGAGAGTCTCAAAGGTCCCTCCCTGGATTCCCTTGTTTCCTCTCCAGTCTCTTTTCTCCCTCTACCTCATGAACACCTGGGTCTTCCTACCACCTTGGTCCTCCCCTCAGGGTCTTGGTTCCATTTGGAGGGGCAGGGCATCCTTGAAGTCCTGCAGACCCCTAGGGGGCACCAGATCTTTCCTGCACGCCACAGTAAACATCTACAATACAGACAATGCTTTTATAGCTCAGAGTGGCCATAACTCAGACGCATGGTTCTTCTTAGAAAGTCTTTTTCTATACCGCAAAGCATGGAGAGGGAAAGGAAAAAAGGAGATAAGGGGGAAGAAAAACCCAACCTACTATTCACTTATCACCCTGGTAACCATGTAAGTGTCTCAGTGCTCCTAGAAATGGTGCCCAACATGGTACCTGACACATAATAAACACTCGATAATGTGTTGAATTGAATTAAAATTTATACATTAAATTTCTATTTTTAAAGCTCAGAACCTAAGGAGTGCCAACAAAACAAGCACCTTGAATGTTCGTCTGTACATCTACACTAGGAACTTATATAGTACATGAACTACTTTGTGACAAATCCAATGTAATGGCCCAGAAATAAAGGCAGTCGATTTTCAAGAAAATGGCAATGGCTCATCAGAAATCTGAAAACCTAATGGGTCTCTCCTTCATGATCTCTTCCAACGTACTGTGAAAGCTGGATTCCTGAGGATTCAACCCCGGGTCAAATGCAGGTGGCTCTCCTTCCAGGAAGCCTCTTCTGGTGTGGTTATAATCCACGGACAAATCTAAGGACAGACCCAAACCCAAAAGGTCTACAGTGGGAAGATAGGAAGAAGAACACACACTAAATCCAGTGAAGCTAGACTAGAACTGTGATAATTTAAATGTGTGTTCCTACATAATACAGACACACACACACACACACACACACACACACACATATATTCTTTCTTTTCTTTTCTTTTTTTTTTTTTTTTTGAGACAGAGTCTCGCTCTGTCGCCCAGGCTGGAGTGCAGTGGCGCAATCTCGGCTCACTGCAAGCTCCGCCTCCCAGCTTCACGCCATTCTCCTGCCTCAGCCTCCCGAGTAGCTGGGACTATAGGTGCCCGCCACCACGCCCAGCTAATTTTTTGTATTTTTAGTAGAGACGGGGTTTCACCGTGTTAGCCAAGATGGTCTCGATCTCCTGACCTCATGGTCCGTCTGCCTCGGCCTCCCAAAGTGCTGGGATTACAGGCGTGAGCCACCGCACCCGGCCCATACATTCTTTTTTTAATGGCAGGGAATGAGTAAATCCCAGCATTCTGGAAGTTTGCTTTGACAACTGTAAGAAATATGGAGACAGAGATGAAAACTGACTGGAAGTCATAGCAATGAAGTTTTTGCAACTCAACATTTACTTGACTGAAACATATATTTTTGAGTGTTTACTACATTCCCAGTCTAGGACTGAAGATGTAAAGATGAAGGTAACATTATCCCTGCCCCTGAAAATCTTACAACCCAGTCAACTATTACTTCCTTTTTTCAGACTTCCATTTGCAGTCTTTTAACCATTGACACTCACATTTTAAAGGTTACACAGCCCTAGAACAAGCAATTAAATATCACAGTCAGTCTTCATTACTTAGTAGCCATAGAAAGTTATGCAAAGCAAGAATGAAAAGACAGGCACAATCATTTATTGAACACTTATTGGGTGCCAGCCACTATACTAAGAGCTTCACCATGCATTATCCCCTTAGTGCATAACAACCATGTGAAGTAGGCATTATTATTCAGTTTTATAGATGAGAGAACAGAGGGGGAGAGAGGCGAGAGAAATTGCCAAGGTCATGCAACTAGTAAATGATAGAGCTGGGATTTGGACCCAGATTCATCTAACACAAGAGAAACAAATCCTTAACTTCTAATCTGTGTTACCTCCTAGGGTGGCATAGTGGTTATTGGGGGCATCTCAGAAATCATGTCTCATTTGATTCTAATATGGTGGCCCCAAGAATAGAATGAGAAAATGCAGATTGATGGAAGCATTCAAATGTCAAAAAGGATCATGGTTCCAATCAACTGATAAAGAAAGAGTTTAGAAGGCCTCTTAGGCAACATGGGAACGACCGAATGAGGTAAGTAGATGAGTAGATGAAAGAATGTGGCTGGGGAAGGGAATGACAATTGGAGTAAATGGTGCATATGGCTGGAGCAGAAAGGGAGAAATTGGGTCAGAATGGAGAGTTGGGGCTGGGTGTGGTGGCTCATGCCTGTAATCCTATCACTTTGGGAGGCCAAGGCCGGTGGATCACCTGAGTTCAGGAGTTTGAGACCAGCCTGGCCAACATGTTGAAACCCCATCTCTATTAGAAATACAAAAATTAGCCAGGCATGGTCGTGGGTGCCTCTAATCCCAGCTACTCAGGAGGCTGAGAGAAGAGAATTGCTTAAATCTGGGAAGCAGAGGTTGCAGTGAGGTGAGATCAGCCACTGCAATCCAGCCTGGGCAAAAGAGTGAAAATCAATCTCAAAAAAAAAAGAATGGAAAGTTGGGGCAGACTGAACTAAGGAATCTTTCTCATAGTCCATATAGAGCCTGAGCCCAAAAGTGGTATAAACGAATCTGTGAATGCAATTGAATGGAGGTGGCGGGGGGAACAATGGCAGGATGGATGGGAGAGGCCATGCCAATTCCAGAGTCAGAGGAGGCTTTGAGTTTATAATCTGGAATGGAATGAGAAGACCTGAACAGTTCACAGACATTTCTCATTGCATCTGAACTGCTGGTACTGGGAATGGCATGAATGGAAGAAAGGCTGGAAGGCAAGAGGCCAGAGCAGGGGTGGGGAGGGAAGAAGAAGGAAAAAGACTTTAGCTGGATTTAGGGGCTGACTGGGTGAGAATGGAAGTCAAAGAGTCTGGGCATCTTGAACAATGGTGTTGTCACTAACAGAACAGGGAATCCTGAAAGGAAGAACAGGTTTGTTGATTGTTTGGGATGTGTGTGTTTGTTGAGGTGGGGTGATGAAGAAAGAGATGAGTTTTATGTTTACACATGTTAACGTGATAAAACCACCATTTGTAAATATTCCACATAAGCCTGAAGCCTGGAAGATGTCTAAAGTTTAGAATGTGCATTTGGGAATCATCTACTTCAAGAGGATCAAGTTGTCCTCTGTGCCTACCTAAAGCAAAAAATAAATAAATAAATAAAACAGAACTTGAAGCCTTTCTAACTGTGCTTTTTTTTTCAAAGGGGTAGACTTCCAGAGGTGGAAGTGGCTGGAACACGTATCATCCTTGACTGTCCACTTGGCAAATTTTGAATTTGGCACTCTGTACACATTATTGCCTTCTATTGCTTTCCCACAACCCTGTAAGGAAGGGGTTATTTCCTCATTTTTATAAGACTCAGAGAGGTTGATTAGATTTCACAATGTATACATAGCAGAACTAAGATTAGAAGTCAAATGGGTTTCCGAGATCCAGAGTTGCTTGCTGTTGCAGTTATAGTGCTAGTTCAGTGGCATTAGCTCAAAGGTCAAGGTCAGGATGGTCCTCTGAACCATTAGCCACCGAGCACAGATCCACTCTGAGACCCTGGAATATGGTTACCAGCTTTCCTGCTTGTGATGCTAAGCCATATTCCAGAAGCTCTTGCGAAATTCTTCTGCCACAGGTATTTGGCCCTAGTAAGATGTCCACAGCCCATTCGACCCCTCAGAGCTGATTACAAGGATATTAACAGAAATTGCTGCCTTTGATAGTAGTATTTAGATTTTTTTTTAATCTTAAAATAGGCTGGATGTGGTGACTCACGCCTGTAATCCCAACACTTTGGGAGGCTGAGGCAGGAGGATCACTTGAGCTCAGGAGTTCAAGACCAGCCTGGGCAACCAACCTAGTGAGAACTCATCTCTACTAAAAACACAAAAAATTACCTAGGCATGGTGGCATGTATCTGTAGTCCCAACTACTTCAGAGGTTGAGGCAGGAGGATCACTTGAGTTCACGAGTTCCAGGCTGCAGTGAGCTATGATAGCGCCACTGCACTCCAGCCTGGGGAACAGAGTGAGACCCTGTCTCAAACACACACACACACAAAAAAAAATCTTAAGATAGTTGAATAAAGGTATTAGTCAACAGACAAAAGAATTAGACAAACCCACTTATGAAATATGTTTGCAATTGCCCTTGGGACATTGTCCAAGGAGATTCTCAGAGCGGCAAGGCGGCTCTGAAAGCCATTTCCTGAGAAGTGTATAAAGAATTTCCCTTTTTTATACATGTACATAGCATGTAAGGACTGAGATTCTTTTATGTTAATTAAAAATGCCAAGTTTGATTTTATAACACATACTTCACTCAAAGACAATCATTCTATAAAATAGAGCCGCCAATAATTGGACCCTTCCACAGCCTGGCAACTTTTCTTTCCCCTTAGGAAGGAGCCATCTCCTAGAAATGCAGACAGCTTGTCCCCAGACACAGGGAGTCATCACCAGCCTCTAATAACTGCTTGTCTTGCCAGGAAGACGGGCAAGCCAGGGCAAGCCCACGGCCTGCAGCATCCGTGTCCGATTCACTCTCCTCAGTAAGCAAACTTTCTTACCCTCAGAGTAGGGCAGGGTGAGGCAGAGCCATTTCATAGGCTCCAACTCAGCAGGAGTCCTTCTTGGATGCTATCTTCCATACGTGGGGCACAACAAGTTCTTTGCAAGAGCACCAGTCACCCCAGCTCATTCATATTTACCGTATTCCCATATTGCCCACACGTGTCCAAACTGCACCCCCACGCCCCTCCTAGCCAGCCACTGCATGCACAAGCTACTTCAAACTGACCTGTCCAGGAATCCTGCTTCCATGGTTGGAGTTGGAATGGAGTCTGGAACCTAACTCTGAAGTCATGAAAGATTATTCCTGACAGTTTTAAAGTGAGTGTGAGTTGTCTTTGAGAGCAGAGTTGGATCCATTTGTTCATCCAACAATGAGCTATGGCTTTTTTCCAGGGTGGGAAGATGTTTGTTTTGTTTGTTGTTTATTTCTTGTGGCTTATATACTCAAACAGGATTGAGTTTTGAAAAAGCAAGTTCCCCAACTTTAAGATATTTTAAGATTGTTAGGATTTTATAGCTAAGTGAAGCCTTATGTGAACGACTCTGGCCTCCTCATAGCTGGATAATCTACTGGACAGCAGCCTCCATTCGAGGAATGAGAGCTAAAGAGAAAACTTGGCAAGCTTCCTTTTCTGAGGAAGAAGAGTGGTGGGCTCACAGAAATTACTGGTCTGTCTTTTCCAATGTAAGCCAAGCTATAAAAACATCCATCTGCCTGGCATGGTGGCTCACGCCTGTAATCCCAGCACTTTGGGAGGCCAAGGCAGGCAGATCACTTGAGGTCAGGAGTTGAGACAAGCCTGGCCAACATGGCAAAACCCCATCTCTACTAAAATACAAAAACTAGCCGGGCATGGTGGTGGGCGCCTGTAATCCCAGCTACTCGGGAGGCTGAGGCACAAGAATCCCTTGAACCTGGGAGGCGGAGGTCGCAGCAAGCCAAGATTACACCACTGCACTCCAGCCTGGGTGATAGAGCAAGACTCGGTCTCAGAAAAACAAACAAACAAACAAACAAACCATCCATCCTAGCAAAATGGATCCACATGGACTTATTGGCAATATGGATTAAGGATGATTTTTTTCTTGTTACTTAGGACACTGTGGAAACCCCTTTTCTGACTCTTTTTCGCATGTGTTCTGAAAGGTAAGGACACTGTCTCTTGAGTGCTTAGCACTCAGTAGTAGCAACTCTCACTCTACAGAAGAGGAAACAGGCTCAGTGCTAGCCTAATAGCTACAATGAGCAATATTAGGATTCAGATCCATTCCAGTAGCAAATTCTCACTAATTTGTTTCCCTCCCTAGGAAATGGTTCTAAGAGGAAAGGCTCTGAGCTCAGCCAATCCTAGCCTATGTCTCAGTGACTACAAGGAAAGTTTAAAATGTTAGACAAAAACCTTCCTTAAATAAGCAAACAAGCTTCTGAGAAAATAAGAGTACTTCACCACTTGAGGCCAGGATTGAAGCAGGAGATCAGAGCTAAATTAACTATTGCCACCACTGCACACCCGGGGACATCTATGGATCTTCAGGTATCTCATATGGAGTGAAGAGCCAGACCACACTGTATAGGGCCAAGATTCAAGTAGAGTATGCCCTGAGAAAAAGATGAACTAGAAGAAAACCCACCCAGCAATTTCAGACAGCAAAGAAAATAGTAGAGGTAAAAATAGCAAAAACAGTATAAAGTCTCAGTAAAATTTCCCTGAGACTTTATAACACAAATTTGGCCACATAGAGAGATTTGGGGCCATAAACTGCAGTACTCATATGGATAAAAAAAAGCTCAAGGAGAATTTCATTTAAAATAAAGAATTTCATTCCAGGCACAGTGGCTCATGCCTATAATCTCAGCAGTTTGGGAGGCCAAGGCAGGAGGATCACTTGAGGATAAGAGTTCAAGACCAGCCTGGGCAACATAGCAAAACCCTATATCTACAAAAACTTTTAAATTTTTAAAAAAATTTTTTAAATGTTAGAAAAATATTCTAAGGAAATCACCAAGGATTTATCCAAAGATTAAACTATAAAGATATTGATCACAGTGTTATTCATAAAATTAACTGTAAACAAATTAAGCATCAAACAACAGATTAGTTAATAATAATCATCATCATACTAATGTTTATTGGCCACTTCCAGTGCCTGGCACTGTGAACTTGGCACAACAGCCACTCTCTTTATAGGCTCCACTTAACAAACTCACTGGTTGACCACCGATCATTAGTTCTGCAAGTCGTGCCATCTAATGATCACAGTGAGCTGAACACCTCAGCCTAGCTGGCCTCTCCCGAGTAGACTCGTGCATCCTGTCCTCATAAGTGAGCTCTGCGCTCTTCAAAAGTAAGATGGGCTTGTTCCTGGTATGAGAGAAACAAACAGTTGCAAAAGATTGGGGGAAATAATACATATAAGACACTGTATACTCAAGGTTTTTTGTTTGCATGGGACATACTTATACTTAAAAAAAAAAGTGTTATCTGACATTTAAATTTAACTGGGTGGGCCAGGTACTAATCCCAGCACTTTGGGAGGCTAAGACAGGTAGATCACTTGAGCCCAGGACTTTGAGCCCGGCCTGGGAACCATAGCAAACCTCCATCTACCAAAATTATTTAAAAATTAGCTGGATGCAGTGGCATTTGCCTGTAGTCCCAGCTACATGGGAGGCTGAGATGGGAGAATCACTTGAGTCCAGGAGGTGGCGGTTGCAGTAAGCTATGATCATGCCACTGCGCTCCAGCCTGGGTGACAGAGCAAGACTCTGTCTCAAAAAAAGAAAAAAAAAAAAAATTGGCCAGGTGCGGTGGCTCACGCCTGTAATCCCAGCACTTTGGGAAGCTGAGGCGGGTGGATCACAAGGTCAAGAGATCGAGACCATCCTGGCCAACATGGTGAAACCCCATCTCTACTAAAAATACAAAAATTAGCTGGGTGTGGTGGCGTGCACCTGTAGTCCCAGCTACTCAGGAGGCTGAGGCAGGAGAATCGCTTGAACCTGGGAGGCAGAGGTTGCAGTGAGCCGAGATCGTGCCACTGCACTCCAGCCTGGTGACGGAATGAGACTCCATCTCAAAAAAAAAATTAACTAGTTGTCTTGTATTTTATCTGGCAACTCTCCTGGTGATTCCTCTAGATAGTCCTTACCCAAATCTTCTTCAAATACCAGCTTCACCCACAAGAAGGTGTCTTATCACCACAGTGACTTTTGTGTCCCTACAGACCTCTGTGTGCCAAAAGAAAGACAAATATTCTCCTCCTCTAGGACAGGGGACTGGCCTATTTCTAACCAATATTGAGGGGCTACTCTAAAAGTTGGCCTGAAGAGCTGGCTCAGTGAGAGCCCTAGGTCCCCACGAAGTCCATGATGCTCCTAAGTGCTTGCGGCAGCAAGAAGGCAAGGAGAAGCACAGAAGATAGCCCTTACTCACCTGGCAGTTTTGCCCAGGATTAGCAGGTCATAACTAGGCTTGGGAAGCTGACCAGGGTTTCCCATGAACCCCTCCTGTGTTCTCCTGAGCCATTTCTCTTTATTGGGCAGTTCATCTCATACTTCCCAATCCCTTTGAAGCCCCCACTTCTGGAAAAATAACCTGTCTTCACCTGCCCATGAAGTCATGTCTACATCTTTCAAATGAGTCCAAGTCCAGTTAAAGAGGAAAAGACCTCACCCAGTCAATTCTCCCCTAGAACAGAAAGTGAGACATTGTCTGAAGGCACTAGAGTGTTGCACAGAGCACATGTGTGTGAACTTTTTCCTTGTCTTAGGGACAGTCTATTGGGATGACACATTTGGACATCCCCATGAAAGGTGAGGTTGCTGCTGCAGTGAGGAAATGGCCTGCGATGAGGTGAAAATGTGAAGGGGAGGTGCCTTACTGGAGAACCTCATACACAGTAATGGCTGTCATGAAAATGACCCCAATTTTGCCTCTTCTTGCTGGGAACAAGAGGGGAATTTCACATCTCAACATTTTGAAGGGGTATCCTTGGTGCTAGTTTGAGATGCAGGGAATTTCTAACTTTCAGAAAAACCTACAAGTTTGAGTAGATATGACATGAAGACCCAGAAACTGGAAACCACATCTTGGGATCTGGTGATTTGGAGTTTATTTAACAATGATGTTATTTGATAGTGGAAAAATTGGAAACAGTCTGCATGTCCATAATAGAGGATTACTTAAATAAATGAGGTGCCTGTGGATAGAATTCTCTGTTGCCATTAAACATGACATTGAAGGCCAGTTAATGATGTGAAAAGACATTTGATATATAATTAGGTGAAAAGTTACAAAACATGTGCAATAATAATTCACCAAAATGTGGACAGTGATAATCTTTGAGAGGTAGAGTTACCAGTTATATTCTTTTTGCAAGTATTCATCTACTTTTTTTAAACGATGAACATGGGTAGCTTTGTGGAAAGAGAAAAAGTTATTCTCTACATACTAACAATCTTTAAATACTGAAGAACTGTAAGAACCTAGAATTGTGCTTTTAATTCAGATAAAAACCAAGGAACCAAAGATCTATTTAAAATCAAACAACAGCAAGGAAAGTCAGCAGGGCTTCAAACTGTTCCCTACATAATAAACATAATATTAATATTTTATAAATTTGTAGACTCTCCATGAAGCTGATGAGGGCATACGTGAGCTACAAGATATAGAGACCATGCAATGAAAAGCTATTATCTCTTGGCTGGACGCGGTGGCTCACGCCTGTAATCCCAGCACTTTGGGAGGCCGAGGCAGGTGGATCATTTGAGGTCAGGAGTTTGAGACCAGCCTGACCAGCACGGTCTCTACTAAAATACAAAAATTAACTGAGCGTGGTGGTGGGTGCTTATAATCTCAGCTTCTTGGGAGGCTGAAGCAGGAGAATTGCTTGAGCCTAGGAGGCGGGAGGTTGCAGAGAACCAAGATTGTGCCACTACACTCCAGCCTGAGCGACAGTGAGACTCACTCTCAAAAAAAAGTAAAAATTAAAAAAAAAAATTACAAAAAAAAAAGCTATTATCTCCAGAACATTTTCTCACTCTGTGCCACACTTCAGGCTAATCTTCTAACAACCCCCATGAAGTAGGATTGTAACCAGACTTAGCTGTCAAAATCAAGGTCTTTTTTCTATGTAATTATCAGAAAAGAAAAGCTTTAAAAGCATGAAAAATGTGTGCACTTTCTTTAGTTGTTATGAGGGAAGAGAGTTAACCCAGATCTACAGTCACATGTACTAGAACCAATGCCAACAAGAATCCAAAGAAAAGTTGAGTTTGCTCAACCAGTGGATTATTTGTAGAAGAGCCAGTGGGCTAGCCAAATAAACCAGATTGGTTTTTTTAATGTTATAATGGGTTGCTTGACTTAAGTTTCCACCCCCTTCCATTCCCTATTCCCGTCCTGCACCCTCCTCCCTACCCAAGAGCAGGAGAATTCGGTGGGTATCTAATAAATGCAGTCTACACATTAGGGCAGGGATTCCATGCTCACAACCAGGTGTTTCTCCACATGACAAACAACCTTTTGATGTTTGGGGTTTTCTACATTTTCCCTGAACTGAACTGATATTCCGTCTCATTGAATTAAGTCAAGCCTGTTTGGATACCTTGTCCTTGAACAATAAGGCAAAATAGAAATATACTGATCCATGATGGCTGGGGTCTGCGAGCTCCCTTCTCCATTACCTAGACAAAAGTCGTGCAATCTTGACCTCTAAATCTAAAGGTATTTACCACCGAGACCATCAAATGTGCTATATGTGAGACTTTTATCTAGTGAAACGATCCCAGCCCAGATCTCACTAGCAATGCAGCAGCGAGGTCTATTTAGAAAGAACATAAACAAGCCAAAGACATGAATGAGGAAGCCGGTGCCTTCCCCACACAGGACTCCTTCACATTAATCCGGGAGAGGGTATGTTTCAGGAGCCCAGCTTCAAGGGAGTAAGAAAACCCGAGGCTTCATTCCATAATTCTTACTCGCTGCTAAAGCCATGAGGCCAGGATGTGTGTTTAAAGCCTCTTTAATTCAAAGACCTGTTATCTTTACTTGACCTTATTTCCTGTCATTGGCGAGAATCAAGCTGCTTCTATTCCCCCTAATAGCCATATAGTATAACCCTTGCTGGGAACAACCGCTGTGTGTACCTTCTTTTGTGGCAGGCCGCAATCTTGGGAAGTAATGTGTCTGTTTTGAAAAGAGTCATTTACAGCCTGCTGTTTGACCTAAGGGATCCAGGAGCCCACCCTTTTCTGGCCTCATACACTGTATTTCCTTCCTGGGTTTTTCGCAGGTTTAATGCAGCACAGGTGGTGGTATGTTTCCAAACCAGGTGTCTGAGGCTAAAGACATCCACTAAAATATTTGGGTTTTTTTTTTTTCTTTTTGACTTGGAATTTTAGCACTGTGAGCTACTGAGACTTGGTAATGGCATGACTTGATTTTTTTTTTTAATTGCATTTTGGACTATCCTTTTCACAGTTTTTCCTCCCTGCAGTTTAACATTCCCTAGAGATGCTATAAAATCCCTATGGTTTACTTACTAACACTTTTCAATATAGTGTTGAGGCCACACACACAAGCTGACCACTCGCCAGTTGATTAGAGGTAGGGCCAGGACTGCAACAAGCTGACCAGGCCACAGAAGGGCAGGATGCAGGGAAACGCCTGGGCAGGTGGGCGGCTGCAGACAGGGCAGGACCTGACACTGACAAAGAAACAGATTCAGAATGGTTAAGTAATTTGCCCAAAGTCACACAGCTCCTAAGTGGTAGAGCTGGGTTCAAACCCACACTCTTTAACCACTGATAATACCATACCATTTGGGGGTAAATACATCTGTGCACCCAAAATATTTTAACACAGGCAATCCAGACATGTCAATGATGGAAAGTTGTTACAGATGGTCACTGACATGACCCTACAAAGGATTCCTCACTTGGCCTAATTTCATTAAAGTTCCGACTTTTCCATAAAATCTACTCTCATACCCTATTCTGTGAGACAAGTCTACTACAGAAACAAGTTTCTCATGGCTGACAATGATCTTTTGATAGAAAGTACTGGAATTGGTTCTACACCCGTTTCTCTCACTCATTAGCTTGAGAACCTTGGCAAAGTCATTTAGCTTCTCTGAGGGAAATAGGATGACCACATGTTCCAGGTTGCCCAGAACAGTTTACTAGTTTACATGTGTTCATTCCACTGTAAGGGTTAATGGCGCCCCTTTTTACTCTCTAAACTATTCTGGTCTGGATAAGTTATATGGTCACTCTAAGTAGAGTGTTCATCTTTTGAGACTATTTCCCATTCTTTTGATATCAGCACCTCAATGTTTCTTGAGGAATCCTCCTGCCCCATATGGCTTAGGCAGCTGAAGATGGCCAATTAAGTTTCCGAATTCCCCCAGCCATGGTAACTGTTTCAGAGATGAGCACATGATCTACACCTGGCCAGTGAAGGTGGGCGTGCAGGACTTTTATAGGAACTACCAAGGAAGAGGCCCTCTCTTTCCAGTGAGGTTGTTGGGCTGTGGGATGTAAGCCTGGGGCTGGTTGTTGGCCATGACATGAGGAACGTCTGCCAGAGAAGAAAGCCGTGCAGACCGTGGAGGAATGGAGAAGGGGAAAGGACCAGCATGATGGTACTGCTTGAACTCATGGCCAGAAGCCGGTTATATGGAGGGACTTCCTAGTTAAATGTACTAATAACTTCTCTGTTATGCACAAACAAGTTTGAATTGGGTTCTGTCACTTGCAACTGAAGGAGGGCTGTCTAAAAAGGGAGATTGGAATAGAGTATTTCAGCTCTGGCATGTCATACCTCCATTGAAAGATAAATTAACACACACAGAGAAACGTACATAGAGCTCCAACCCCACTGGGGAAACTGAGGCATTACTCACCCAGGTCCTTCATGGTTTGGTGATGCTTAGAAGAACATCAGACGTTATCTAATCCAGTGGTTTTGACTGGTCCATGGAGACCTAGGTTCTAGAGAAGTGTCTCAGTGACTGCCCTAGAGGGTGAGACGTGAACGTGAAAGTTAGGGTCAGAGAGTGAGAGCAGGCAGGACCTAATGGCTCTCCCCTATTTCACCCAGGGAAGCTCGCCTGTTAGCTGTTTTATATATTAGGATTCAGGGCAAGAGTTCATGCAGGGGACGTAAAGGTTCCATTGCTCAAAGAAGATTGGAAAAACACTCATTTAGTCAATACCTAGGATTTTAAGAAGAGGACTCCAAAGCCCAGAGGTAGTAAGGGACACCCCTTCCCTCAAGGTCATACATAGTTGACTTGAGAGGGAAAACCTGAAACCTGTCTGGTTCTCTTTGACATCACAATGTCTTCTTTGGTACAATTTTTTTTTTTTTTTTTTTTGAAATGGAGTTTCACTCTTGTTGCCTAGGCTGGAGTGCAATGGCGCCATCTTGGCTCACTGCAACCTCCGCCTCCCAGGTTCAAGTGATTCTCCTGCCTCAGCCTCCCAAGTATCTGGGATTAGAGGTGCACACTACCACACCCGGCTAATTTTTTGTATTTTTAGTAGAGACAGGTTTTCACCATGTTGGCTGATCTCAAACTCTTGACCTCAGGTGATCCACCCACCTCGGCCTTCCAAAGTGCTGGGATTACAGGCGTCAGCCACTGCGCCCGGTGAATTTTTTTTAAAAAAAAGCTTTTACTTAATGGTATTATGAGGACAAATAGAGTTATATTTATATCATAAGCAATACATATTTATATACTATATAAAATAATACAAATAAAATTTTGTATCTGTTTCCTTGCTTGGTGTCTGTGTCCCTCCTTAGCTCTAAGCCTCAGGTGCTACCACCTTAAACACAATGGGAGCACAACAAAAATGTGTTTAAAAAAGTAAGAAAATAACTAAGTCACAGAGGAGCATGCGAAGCAGGACCCGGGGATGAAATCATCAAAATCCAGACTGCAGAAAATGCTCAGGACAAACATGCTTCCTCAACAAATCTCAAGGGAAAAAAAAAAAAAGAATAAATCTGCAGATTAAGAGAGATCTGAGGAATAGATGAACCATATGCAATATGGGATCTGAGTCAAACCAAAGGTTAAACTTAGAGATAATCAGGGAAGTTTCAAAGACTATCTGGATGTTGGATAATATTGTCGTTGTTTTAAGGGTAATAGTGATATCGTGGTTGTGTTTAGAATAAAAGAGTCTTCATCTTTTAGAAATACACACTGAAATATTAAGGGCTGATGGCTGAAATGATGTGATCTTGCAAATTTTGTGCAAATAACCTGGGGGTGAAAAGGGAGGTGGGAAGCAGAGTTGAAAGATTGACCTAAAGTTGATCCTTGTTGAAGTTGGAGAGAGTCTATATGGAAATTCATTGTACTACTTTGCTACTTGCAATTTTCTATAATAAAAATTTAGAAGGAATAAAGGGAGGCAAGGAAAGGAGAGAAAGGAAAAGAAGGAAGGCCCCTTTTTTCTTTTCTTTTCTTTTCTTTTTTTTTTTTGAGACAGAGTTACGCTCTTGTTGCCCAGGCTGGGGTGCAATGGCACGATCTCGGCTCACTGCAACCTCCGCCTCCCGGGTTCAAGTGATTCTCCTGACTCAGCCTCCTGAGTAGCTGGGATTACAGGTATGCACCACCATGCCCAGCTGATTTTGTATTTTTAGTAGAGATGGGTTTTCTCCATGTTGGTCAGGCTGGTCTCAAACTCCTGACCTCAGGTGATCCACCTGCCTCGGCCTCCCAAAGTGCTGGGAGCCATCGCACCTGGCCGGAAGACCCTTTCTTTGGAGCCAGACTTGGATTCCCATCTTGGCTCTTCCATTTACCAGCTGTAAGGATCAAGGCGTAGCTGGACAAGCCGCAGACAAAATCCCTCAGACACCAAGTTAAAGAAGGAAGGGCTTTATTCGGCCGGGAGCTTCAGCAAGACTCAGGTCTCCAAAAATGGAGCTCCCCGAGTGAGTAATTCCTGTCCCTTTTAAGGGCTTGCAACTCTAAGGGGGTCCGCGTGAGAGGGTCATGATCGATTGAGCAAGCAGGGGATACGTGACTGGGGGCTGCATGCACCGGTAATCAGAACAGAACAGAACAGAACAGGACAGGGATTTTCACAATGCTTTTCCATACAATGTCTGGAATCTATAGATAACATAACCGGTTAGGTCAGGGGTTGATCTTTAACTAGGCCCAGGGTGCGGCGCCGGGCTGACTGCCTGTGGATTTCATTTCTGCCTTTAATTTTTACTTCTTCTTTCTTTGGAGGCAGAAACTGGGCATAAGACAATATGAGGGGTAGTCTCCTCCCTTAAAGGTTACTATTTATCTTCAGTTTCCTTCACTGCAATGGTACTAAAAATACTACTTGTCTCCTAGAGAGGTTGTGAGAATCAAATGAAGTCATATACGCAAAGTGTGTCTGGTAAATTGTATGCAATAAAGGGTAACTGTTATTGTTAAGATCAAATGTTAAACATACTGCCCTCATATCCAAGTAAAATTGGTGCCAGAAAAATTACACTTTAGGCCAGGCGCAGTGGCTCTCGCATGTAATCCCAGTGCTTTGGGAGGCCCAGGCAGGTGGATCACATGAGCTCAGGAGTTCAAGACCAGCCTGAGCAACATGGCAAAACCTTGTCTCTAAAAAAAATACAAAAACTAGCCAGGTATGGTGGTGCATGCATGTAGTCCCAGCTACTTGGGAGGGTGAAGCATGAAAATCACTTGCACTCAGGAGGTGGAGGTCGCAGTGAGCTGAAATAGCACCACTGAACTCCAGCCTGGGTGATAGAGCCAGACCTTGTCTCAAAAACACAAAATTACACTTTAATAAAAATAATAACTAAGATTGTGGAGTGCTGTTTTACCTGTAATAACTGTCCTCCTCTCCTCCCTATTCATTGATTTTTTTCCATCCTCATACTCAAAGTGAAACCTCTTTAAACAAAACTTAAAAATTTTAGTAAATGGTAACATAATAAATGACAAAAACTAATAAAAATAATTTTTTAAATAAAGCTAAATAAGTTTATCTCATCTTATATGACCAAATTTGGAAAATAATGGTAAATGTGCTCTAATTCTTAGAACAAGCAATAAATGAATTAGTTTCAGGGGTTTTGGTGCAATTTTCTGCCAACATTACATGACAGTACAATAGCAATACCTTCACTTCAGGTTTTATTCTATAGCATGATCATAAAAATAGTCATTTTCACAAAAATATTACAAGATATCACCCATTTCCTGAAGCCTTTCCTATTCAAGTCATTCTGTTTTGAAGCATCCTGCTGCCATTCTTTTCTTCAATTGGTAGTGGACTAATTTAGTGATATCCACATTTTCAATAGCTTTTTCAGAAACCATAGGACTTTTCCAACATCACCCTTTAGAATGTTTCATGAAATCCTGTATTCTTGCATGATTTTTTTGATGTGTTGTTAGCTTGGAAAAATGTCGATGTTAAGTCAGGTGGAAGGAAACAGAGCTATTCAAAGGTGTACTAATTTTATAACGTGTTAGTTATTCAGGAATTCTGCATCCCTAAGCAACCTACCAATTGTTGGAACTGGAATACAAGGCACAACCAAGCTGTATTGTGCCAGTGCTGCCCCCTGGTGACAGATATGAAGAACTGGTCCTCCCTTCACTTCTTTCTCCTGGAGAGGCTCCCCACCCAGGCTGTGTTCTCCCTTTTTTCCTGCCACCACTTCCCCTTCTATAACCAGAACCAGGATTTGTCTTTCATATGAAACCTCTGACTATTTTCTTTCTTTTCTTTTGCTCACAAACCTCTGAAAACTCTTCCTCTTACCTGCCTCCAACTTCACTCTCCATCTAGGTCGCAAAAACAACCTCAACAGAAGCTGATGAACATCAGGCTAGCTCCAGGAGTTCGCCTGTCTGTGTCACAGAACAGAAAAGCCATATGTTCAAAGTGAAGTTAGAATGAAAAGCATTGCTATCAACCTGGGGGGTCCTGGAAGGTGCCCAGAAGTTCTCTTCAGAACTCTGTGCCTCTTTCTTAACCTTTAAGAAAAACTTTCTCAAATACCAGCATTCATAATCAGTCACAAACAATTTCTTTGTTAATCTTTTTATTGCTGCTCTGACAGGGAAGAAACCTTTGTCCAGGTCATAGGGGTGGCCCTCCTAAGAGACTGTGCTGGAACTGTTGGGGCCCTCTTAAATGAAGGCAGCCATCTTTCCCCCCTCCAGATTGCTTCTTGGCATCCCAGTCTGCTGTGCTCTCCAGACTGCAGAGGACCCAGCGCTTACTGGCCTCCCACTCATATCCATGTTGGTTTCTCCCATCATTTGTCCTTCTCTCCTTCCTATTCATTGACTTTTCCACTCCCCAGCATAGCTGCGTCCTGGATTCAAGTTCTGGCAATACCATTTACTAGGTGTGTGTGATCACGGCATGCCACCCTTCTAGGCCTGATGTAGTTTGAATGTGTGTCCCCACCAAATCTCATGTTGTATTGTAATCCCCAATGTTGGAAGTGGGGCCTGGTGGGAGGTGTTTGGATGATGGGGGAAATCCCTCATGAATGGCTTGGGCCATCCCCTTGGTGATAGTGAGCTTTTGCTCTGAGTTCACATGAGATCTGGTCATTTAAAAGTGTATGCCATCTGCCCCCACTCTCTCTCTCGCTCCTGCTCTTGCCATATGACATGACTATTCCCCCTTCACCTTCTGCCACGATTGAGAGCTCTCTGAGGCTTCACGAGAAGCCAAGCAGATGTCAGCACCATGCTTCCTGTAAAGCCTGCAGGGCCATGAGCCCATTAAACCTCTTTTCTTTATAAATTACCCAGTCTTGGGTATTTCTTTATAGCAATGCAAGAGCGACCTAATACAAGGCTTCAGTGTTCCCATCTTTAAAATGAGAATAGCAACAGTACCAACTTCATAAGGTCACAGTGAGGGTTAAATACATTAAGAAAGAACAGGGGTGTGTGTTTGGTGGTGGAGGGGGCAGTGGTACTTGTGGTACTTAGCATCATGACTGGCACAGAGCTAGCACTCAATAAATGTTAGCCCTTGCTTTTTTAGTTCCTTTGTGTCTTACACCTAGGCTATCATGAACTTGCCAACGAACCCCGGGGGAATACTCCTTCCTTGGCTCTTCATGTGCCAGACTCATTTTCACTATTGCCAGAAGATGTGTTAAGGTAGCAGCAGAGAAGGCATGAACAGCACAGCCTTTGTGGGGGTAAGGAAACTGCAGGATTTTTCCTAAAGAAGATTTACTTTTCTTCTTCCCTATTTTCCAAGACTTGACAACCCCTTAGGTTCAGGAACTAGCAGAAGCAGTTTCACCTTGGAACACACTTTTATTTGTTACTTAAAGTAAAGGTAGACTTTTAAATTTCTTCCTTTGTTTATAAATAGGACATGATTATTGAAGAGAATTTAGAAAACCACAGAAAGTTTAAAGATGAAAAAAATCACCTGACTTCCTCCTTTCAGAGATAACCACTGATAACATTTCACAATCTCTTTTGCACACGTATATCTCTATGCTTGTTAAAAATAGACTCCTGGCTGGGCGTTGTGGCTCATGCTTGTAATCCCAGCACTTTAGGAGGCTCAGGCAGGTGGATTACTTGAGGTCAGGAATTCGAGACCAGCCTGACCAACATGGTGAAACCCCGTCTGTACTAAAAATACAAAATTAGCCAGGCATGGTGGCATGTACCTGTAGTCCCAACTACTTGGAAGGCTGAGGCAGGAGGATCACTTGAACCCAGGAGATGGAGGTTGCAGTGAGCCAAGATCATACCGTTGCACTCCGGCCTGGGCAACAGAGCAAGACTCTGTTTAAAAGAAAAAAAAAAAAAGATTTCTACCATTCTTCAGTTTTTGTTATACTTTCATGCTTTGCTTTATCACTTAACTTATATAGTGAACATTTCCCAGCATTCAATATTCATAAAAAATGACTGTACCGTAATTCATCATGTAAACGCACCATAAGTACTATATATTCTTCTATCATGTCTAATTTAAACAACCCTGGAATGAACACTTTATCAGAAATCTGTTGTCTTCAATTCTGAGTACTTCTTCAGTATTAATTTCTGGAGGGGGATTGCTGGGGTTAGAATGGATTACCCCACTTAATACTCTTTATACGTACTGCAAAACTTTTGCAGAAAGGTTGTACCAATTTACAATCCCATCGGCAAAGTCTGAGGGACCTAAAAGGCCCACCTCTAGTCTCTTGTCCTGGAGACACAGCCCATCAGCTTCTGAGTGGAGGTTGTGAAGGGCTGCTCACCAGAGCATTCAAGAGGGATTCACACTGCTTCCTGTTGCTTATTTTCAAGAGAACTTCAGGTGTATTAAAGAGGTGTCATACTTCAAATGACTCCTGTGATCTGACACTGCATTAAATTTCTCCACCGTTTTTTGTTTTTAAAGACAGGGTCTCGCTCCATCACCCAGGCCGGAGGGCAGTGGTGTAATCATAGCTCACTGTAACCTTGAACTCTTGGGTTCAAGTGATCCTGCCACCTTAGCCTCCTGAGTAGCTGGGACTACAGGCACGTGCCACCACACACAGCTAATTTTTTATTTTTTATAGAGATGGCATCTCACTATACTGACCAGGCTGGTCTCAAACTTCTGGACTCAAGTGATCCTCCCACCTCAGCCTCCCAAAGTGCTGGGATTACAGGCTTGAGCAACCGTACCCAGCCTCCACCCTCTTTTTAGTGAAACCCCCAAGGCCCTAGCACTAAAAGTGGTCGGCATGTGGAACAGCCTGAAACCCACCATCACTACCTCATTATTAGCTAACGCAGCCCCTCATGTGTTACCTGCAAACATTAATCACAAAAGTAGTTGCTTTTTACTCATTTATTTCTCATCTGTGTTCCTCACTATAATATATGTTCCACAAGGGACCACATTGTCTTATTCATCACTGTAAGCCCAGCACCTGGCCCTCTGCCCAGTATAGAGCAGATGCTCCATCAATATTTGTCGAATAATCAAATGATTCGTCTTTGTCCCTCAAAAAGCTACCTATATCACATGTGCCCCCAAGTTTACAAGAGTTTGGGGCTCACTGCAACCTCCGCCTTCCAGGTTCAAGCGATTCTCCCACCTCAGCCTCCCAAGTAGCTAGGACTACAGGCACGTGCCACCACATGCAGCTGATTTTTGTATTTTTAGTAGAGACAGGGTTTCACCATCTCTACATTACATCAGATGTAAATGTTTAATAGTAACTTAAGATATGGCCAGTTATTATATTGCCAAGCAGGATGTAAGTTTCACAGCTGGCATAGTCATTTTGTCAACAAAATCCACTGTTACTCACAATCTTCCCTATTTAGGAAGTCACTGCGAGGAGACCCCCAGCATGAGGCAATAGCTTCACAGCCATTCACTGGAGCATGTCACTGGGTTGGAGTTTGGGGCCAGCTTAGAACTCACATATTGGCCAAAGTAACACCTCTGGGATTCCAATTCTAGAGGAATATTTTAACCTGTCCAGTTGGAACCAGTTGAACTGTTCACACCCCTGTGTGGCCAGTGCAAGCTATTGAGAGAATGGATCACTGTCACTTTAAGTTTGAAGTGCCCAAATTAAATATATTTTCATGAGGGATGAGTGTATTTTCATGATGTACGTACAGTGTAGGCACCAAACTACCCAGGCTTGACTCTCAGCCTCTCTCTTACTAGTTATATGACTCTGGGTAAATTCGTTAAGCTTGCTGTGCCTCAGTTTCCTCATCTGGAAAACAGGCATACTAACCTTGTCTACCTCATATTGTTTTCAGAAGGATTCATGGACTAATACATGTAAAACACTTACATTGGTCCTCGCACAGAGGAAGGACAAATGAATATTCACCATGGTCATTACTGCTGTCCCCTGGCCATCATCCTTCCTCATGATATCACCTTCAACCCCTCCGTCCCCGGCCCTGCTCTTGCTCCTGCTCTTCCTTCTCACCTCTCAGACTGTGGTCATTCAACAATAAAGACCTATTGGACCAGCTGGATGCCAGAGACTGTGCTAAGTGCAAAGGACACAGTTTGCCCCTTCTTCTTAGAGTCCAGTACACGAAACAGACAAGAAGTCAGGCAGTTTCAAGGCAGTACGCTAAGAGCTAGGGTGTTGGTAGGCGTGGCCTGCCATGGGGACATCTGCCCCCCATGTGGCCAGAGAGGTCTTCCTGAACAGAGAAACCTGGCAGGTGAGCAGAAATGAGACAGCTGAGGGGGTGAAGAAGAGAATTCCAGAAAGAGGGAAGAGTACACAGAGGGGCCTGGAGGCAGCTCTAGACCAGCTCAGGGAATTCAAAAGAGCTCATTCTGACTGGAAAAGGAGTGAGGGAAGGTGGACGGCGTGGGGAGTTCTGAGGGGTGATGATGTTGAGCCCAGCAAGGCCAGATTATTAAGGAGTCTGAGGCCTTAACACAATCTCCCAGGTCTCCCTGTTCCAATGGGGAACACCCAAAGGATGTTGAATAGGGGAGTGATATGATTGTTTTTCCATTTCAAAACCGTTCTGGCTGCAATCTGCAGACTACATCACATGGGGTTAAGAATGGAGCCATGGAGACCAGTCAGGAGGCGTTGGATCTAGGCAGGATGGTGGCCTGATCCAGGATGTCAGCGGGAACTGGGGATGGAGAAGAACAGACAGGTCCGTGAGCTATTAGGAGGAGATGTGAGGCTGACTTGATGATGGACTAGATAGTGAGCAGTGGAGCCCTGACCCTGTCCCAGGTCCTGAGCTCTGGCACTTGGATCCTGTGATGCCACCAAGCCTGTCTTCCTATCTGCAGCCTCACCTGCCCCCAAATGCCTCTTGCCTGGCAGCCTGGCATTCTGCTTCCTTGAATACAATCCTAAACTGGTCCCCTCTGATCCCACCAGGATTGCTCATCATTGGCTTGGGCACCTCTATGCTCACCTGGGAACACAGTGGCTCCCCACCTCCCTTTTCATTCAAACACCTGACCCACCCATTGCTCCCTCCACCTGGATGTGTCTTCCCTGCTCTTCAGGACCTAGATCCTTCTCATCCTCTGCTGAACAATCGCCTCCTCAAAGCAGGCTTCCCTGGGCTCCCCCACTATGCTCTTCCTTGGAACACTGACGATTTGTCTGTGTTTGTGGAGTTTCTGCAGTTTCTGCCTGTCCCCTGCATCCCCCATAACATATACCCTTTGAATGTCAGTCCAGCAGGACACTGCTGCCTTGCTTTCCGTCGTCTCCCAGGCATCTAGTGCTATGCCTGACATGCGCTGCTGCTCCACACATCATTGTGGAATGAGTAATGAGTGAAGGAAGCACACTGTGTCCCCGACCATCAGTCAGAGCAGCTCCTTTCATAGTCCAACCTTGCCTGCCTCTCAAGCTTCATCTCCAACCTCACCCCTACACACATACACTGTGCGCACACACACACACACACACACACACACACACACATGCTTCAGGCTCTATGACGCCAATCTGCCTACAATTCCCCACTGCCAAACCTTTGCACACATGGGTTCCCTCACAGCCCTCCCATCAACCCAGTCCACCCCTATGGATCCTCCAAACCCCAGCTCAGACATGACCTTTCAGGAAGCCTTTCCTCACCAACCATCACAACTAAGTTACTCTCGTCTCTCCCTCCGCTCCCTCTGTACCCCATCATTATTGCACCTGGAGGTCACCATGAATTTGAACTCTCTGCACGTGTCTCCTAGTAGACTTGAGAGTAGATCCAATCTTTCGACTCTGGAACCACAGACCCCTCAGGGCTTCTGGGAGAATCATGCACTGTTACCAGGGTTACATTGCCCCCTCCTCTCTCTTCAGAAAGACCTGCCCACCCTCTCAAGGCCCTCATGCCAGCAGCTTTCTGCTCTCAGACACAGAGCTGACTGATTTCTCCAGCCTTGCCCTTGTCCTTCTACAGCCAGGTACAAGAGGCAAATTACAATTCTGCTTCCTCCCCTTTCATCCCCAATATTTTCTTTTTTTTTTTTTTTTTCTTTTCAAGATGGAGTCTCACTCTGTCACCCAGTCTGGAGTGCAATGGCGTGGTCTCGGCTCACTGCAACCTCCACCTCCCAGGTTTGAGCGATTCTCCTGCTTCAGCCTCCCGAGTAGCTCAGACTATAGGTGCATGCCACCACACCCGGCTAATTTTTGTATTTTTAGTAGAGATGAGGTTTCACTATGTTGGCCAGGCTGGTCTTGAACTCCTGACCTCGTGATCTGCCCACCTCAGCCTCCCAAAGTGCTGGGATTATAGGCGTGAGCCACCATGCCCAGCATCATCCCCAATATTTTCATAGAAATAAAAGTAAATGCAGGCCTGGCACAGTGCCTCATGCCTGTAATCCCAGCATTTTGGGAGACCAAGGTGGGTAGATCATTTGAGGTCAAGAATTTGAGACCAGCCTGGCCAACATGGTGAAACCTCATCTCTACTAAAAATACAAAAATTAGCTAGGTGTGGTGGCGCACGCCTGTAGTCCCAGCTACACAGGAGGCTGAGGCAGAAGAATTGTTTGAACCTGGGAGGCAGAGGTTGCAGTGGCCCAAGATTGTGCCACTGCACTCCAGCCTGGGTGACAGAGCAAGACCCCCATCTCAAAACAAAAAAATTAAATGCACAGATGGACATCCAAAACCAGAAATCAATAATGATGGCTTCTTCTGGAAGGCGAGGAACAGAAACATGGGGTCTGAGGAGGGAAGGAGACTTCACTCAACTTCCTTTGTCTCCTTTTAACCAGGAGAATGCATTAGTGCTTATTGCATTGTAATTGTAATAACAAAGTAGTTACTAAGCCAGAAATACATGAAGGGCAGAAATCCTTAAGAAGGAAGAGGTACCAGGTCAGGGCTTCGGGGAGCATGCAGAGGGGATGGGGCCACCCAGGCTGGGAAGAGGCTGCATTTGCACATCTGCCTCCTCTTCTGACCCGCCCTTCTCCACCCCAGCAGGAGGTGAACAAGCAGAGACCTCCCCACCCACAGCCAAAAAAAAAAAGTGAGCCATCAACTGCATCTTCCTGACCCAAGAGTTACAGATGGGGCAGGAGGAAAAGCTTACACACCCATAAATAACGTGTCCTGGGGACTTACTATTCCAGCACCTGGGCTCCAGGACTGCCTCAAGGAAGGGCTCAGTGAAGTATGTGCCTTTATAGGCCTTCCATGGATGCAGAAGTGCAAACAGCTATCCACACACCATACAAGGCACCCATGATGGAAACACATGCCAGGTACAGATGTGGGTGGAGAAGAGGGTAAAGCCTTTTTATCTTTTTTTTTTTATTCTTTTGAGATGAAGTCTCGCTCTTGTCCCCCAGGCTGGAGTGCAATGGTGTGATCTCGGCTCACTGCAACCTCCGCTTCCTGGGTTCAAGTGATTCTCCTGCCTCAGCCTCCCGAGTAGCTGGGATTACAGGTGCCCGCCACCACACCTGGCTAATTTTTTTTTGCATTTTTAGTAGAGATGGGGTTTCACCATATTGGCCAGGCTGGTCTCGAACTCCTGACCTCAGGTGATCCACCCACCTTGGCCTCCCAAAGTGTTGGGATTACAGGTATGAGCCACCGCGCCCAGCCGGGTAAAGCCCTTTTTTTCCTGACTGCAGCATCAACTGGCCCACCTCTGCCCACCAAGGACCCAGAGCCAGGAAGGCTCAGTTCGTGGCTACCTGAGGGCTCCAGGACACGCAGTACATTCATCAGGGCAGTGAGTCTAGTGACCACTTGGCAATCGGTACCACCCCTCCTCCCAGGAGAAAGTGGCTTCATTGTCCCAGGAGTAAGGGAGAAAAGAAATCCCTTCATGGGTTAGAAAGCAGGTTGCTTTTCTCCCCCTCTCTCCTTTATGAATCTAGTTGTTGAACCTACCTTTGGCTGTTATGTCTCTCCATAATTATGCACAAGGCAAGAGAAAGCAACAACTGTAACTTGAGACTCAGCAATTCAGTTTAACCACCCCAAATAACTGACAGCGCGGGTATAAAACATCCCGCAACAATGCTGGCCCAATGGCTATTACGGTGATTTACTCTGGACCACATGAAGTTCAGCGGCCGGGGAAGACGGCAGAGCCTTAAACAGGCTTTCATGCCTGTGTCGTAAATTCAGATGATTGCTTCAAAGGTGGTGCCAAAGTGCTGGTAACCCAAAGTCAAGGGGCCTAGGTTTTGTTTTCCAGGGCAAAGGGACACCATCAATGATGGGAGAGTTCTGCAGAGGTGACCCAGGGATGGGTTCCCCGCCACGTCTTCCCTAGCTTTGTCTCTTTGGTCTAGAAGAAGAGGCATAAAAGGTGTCAGCGGCCCCAGTGCTCGGTAAATCACTGGGTGTGAATCAGTGGGGCTGGGTGACGGCCTTAGGGGGTCCTTTCTCCTGGAGGCCAAGCCCAGAAGGCCCCATACTCGGTGACCCCATCAATGGGTCATCAGGCCTTGCTCAGTTACAGAAGAGACTTCTTCCAGGGTTAGAAAGAGGTGATGGGAGAAGAGTCCTCAATTCCCACAAAGAAATAGCCTCAACCCACTGTTTGGGTGGGAATTAAAGGAAAACGTGACATGCTGATACTGACCACTTAATAATCTCTAACATTTAATGAGCTTGGGCTTTATGCAAGGATTAGTGCTACTGGGGAAAAAAAAAGATTTTGTTTCAGAGCCAAAAAGACCAATGAGAAAAAGAAGTATATATATTATATTTGAGACAAACATTAGTCATTCATCAACAACTGCTACCATCTATTAAGAAAACACTTTACCCCAATATTTACCTGGAAAGGGAAATATTATAACTGCCATTTTGCAGGAAACAGAGGTTAAGAAACTGATTCACAATCTTACCGGTAGTTACACCTAGGTATATGAGTGCTCTTTTATATGACATTGGTATATTTATTTCATATTTTAAATTTAGAATTGGAAGTCCTTTACACTTAGTGATTAGGTATTTTGAAACATAAAGAACAACTGTGTTGCAGGATACGATGGCACATGCCTGTAATCTCAACACCTTAGGAGGCCAAGGCGGGAGGATGGCTTGAGCCCAGGAGTTTGAGATCAGCCTGGGCAACACAGACAGACCCCCCCATCTCAGAAAACAAAACAAAACAAACAACAACAGAAGAATTGTTTTAACTATTTTTAAGCATTTCTGGAAAAGAAATGTCTTTATTTTATTGGATGTAGTAGAGAAACCATTTGGCACAACAACAGCCATCCCTAGCATGTTTCATAAGTTGGAAGAGTTGAGAAACAGTCCATGACCCAGGAAGACCCAGAGGTTCGGGAGACCTGGGGTCTGATCCCACCCTGACACTCACTTGCTGTGTTACCTGAGTCAAGCCCTTCCTCTTTTTGGGCCTTGGTTCATCTTCGATGGTAAGGAGGCCGATTTCTCAGGTTCCCTCCATCCCAGCCCTAAAGCTTGGGATATAATTGGTGCACTCTGGGGGCAGGCTGCTACCTGGACACCCCATCCTGAGTGATACGAAACAGAATTTTCCTAGAGGAGTGGAACCAAGAGGGTTACATTGTTCAGGGACCTTTGTGCATCTCTTGCCTCACTGTGCTTGTAGAGCTAGATTTGTGCTGTCTTCAGGCCCTACAAGAGTCTTGGCTTTTATGTAGCAGAAGCTTCTGTCACGAACACCACCATAATGGCCTGGTCCAGGGATGGCAAATGGGTTTTCCCTCGTTTGCACAATGGTAGTCAGGGTCCAGTCAGGGGACAGAAATCACACCAGCGATTTTAATAGTCAGCCTTGAACATGAGGAATTGTTAGCTAGGTATCCAAAACGGCATAAATGGAACTCTAGGGTATCATGGAGATGGCAACTATGGAAAGCAGCTCCACCCACACAGCCAGAGCCCAAAGGGAAGTATTGAAACATGGAAGGTTGGAAAAGGCAAAATTCAGACCTCTGAGGAAGAGGCTGGCAGGCTGGTGCCACTGTCTTTGAGGGGCACAAGGAGGGTGGTGTCACAAATTTTTGAAAAACTACAAACTGGCTCAGCTTTTACCACAAGAAGAAACTGCTGTTGTCTGGAAGGACAAGCATTGCCTGGGTGATGTGCACAGAAACCACAAGCAGATAGGAAGGAGGGATGCCGCTCCTCCTCTTCCTCCTCCTCCCCCTCCTCCTCCTCCCCCTCCTCTTCCTCCCCCTCCCCCTCCCCCTCCTCCTCCCCCTCCTCCCCCTCCTCCTCCTCCTCCTGCCTGGTTGCTTTCCTCTAGCTCCCCCTGGTGGGCAGAGTCACAGCCCCAATATCACAAAGCGGGTATGGAAGGGTGAGTTTGGAGCTGAGAAGCATGCTTGGGCTGACCACCTGGCCCAGCCACCTTCTTTGGGTTTGGTTGTAGCTTCCTGGAGTGCAGCATTGAGGCTTATGGGGCCTCTTCATGTTGTGATAACTTGGTGATGTCAGCCATAAGCCCAGAAAAGAGAAGTGGTGGCATGAATGCCACATATTAGCCCTTTCTCTGGTGACTAAATTACCCACCACAGTGAGCGGGAGAGGTGAGCGCCACTTCCTGACTTCTAAGGGCATTGACAGCTGAGCCACAGAGCCAAGATGATGATCAACAGATTCCTTCCCCTTCACCTCCCTATCCAGCTCTCACTTACCTAATGTCCACAATTAGGTCATGTCCAGAATCCAAAAGTAAAACATAAACCCTTTACCCAGTGATTTCCTAGGAAATGTGGACTAGAGCAAGAAGGATGGTTGAAAAAGAGGCATGCCCCTGGCCACCACCCTCTCACAGCCAAAGATATTCTTCTCCTAAGACCCTGGAAGGGCAAGAGTGAGGAATGGGAACAGACCCAGACAGTAGCATGAACCAAGCACTCCCCAGGAATTCAGCCCAGAGAAGAGTCAGTCAGAAAGCTGGCAAGGCTTTAGATTCAGACAGCCATGGGTTCAAGTGTCAGGTCAGCCACTTTCCTTATGTTTATAATTAAGAAACATACCACCCCTGTCCCTAAATTAGGTGGACAAGAAACATAGATTTGTGTATGTTTTTTTTTTTAATTTCAACTTCATTTCTATTTTGCTGATAAGAAATAATAATTCTAGTCTTTTCCGCGGGGGTTTCAGGAGGATTTCAGTGGTGTGGCAGAGCTGGCTCGTATGGTTCACAGGAGCAGATTGCATGCTCCCTTCCCAGTTCTGCAGAGAGCTCACGTTGGTATCCTGAAATCTGCCACGGTGGGAGCTGCGCTACCAATCAGCAATGTTGAGTTTTGGTTTTTGGAGACCCAGATCACTAGTGCACCGCAGATCCCCTTCTCTTCCCAGGGCCTGCATCAAGGTTGGGAGGTGAGAAGAGGTAGAGGGTACATTTGGTAATGGAAAAGCGTCCTTCCATTTTCAGCCAGGGCTTCACACAGATCAGCCCCAAGATGATGCTTGCTCTTGTCTGCAAAGCATCTGTGCAATGCTTCTCTCATTCCCTTTCTGTGCCACCTTTGAACACAGACCCTCTGCCCGGCTGTCGTTGTTCCCTCCCTGGACACGCACTGGAAAGCACTTCCCTTGCAGCTCTGATGACAAAAGAGAGCTCTCTGCTCTCCTCACTCATCCCTAGCCGCTCCTCCTCATCCTGAGTGTGAATAAAATCCTTTTTTTAAGTGTGAATAAAATCCTTCCCTCCTCACCTTCCATTTTCAAATGGTATTATTAATGTTTTTATACTTTTGGAAACAAAACACCAGGAAATTCTGTCTCACATCTACCTTGAGCTCAGGAGCACAGGGCAACTCTCTGTTTCAATGGGAGAAAGAGGAGGAGGGAAATACTAGAAAGGAAAAATAGGTTAATATAGCAAAAATTTCAGTCCATAAATACATTGCATAATTCTGACCTTTTGAGTTGTTTTTTTTCCCCTACTAGCTAATTGCGTTCTCACACTTCTCTGTTGAGGTTGGAAGGGCAAATAATGTCAATAAATGATCTGTACAGTGCCTAGCACATAGTAGGTCCTCAATAAATGGTGGTTTCTTTCACCTTCATTGAGGCTCTGCACGAAGACAAGATTCAGTGGGGATAGAAAGTGAGAAATGTGTGCCTCATCCTTCTTTCCCTTGCATGGTGGCAGGGAGTGTGATCCATTGGTGATCCATTGGGTTGGTCATGTGACCCCACCTTTGGGCTTTGAGAAGCAGATACTGGTACATTAATAATGGGTAAAAAAAAAAAAAACCCACATACTCAATTAACATGAAATGTCCTCTTAGGTGAAGCAGAAAGACTGATGGACGATTCTAGAAGTGGATAAAACAAGGAATGCTCCCTTGGAGCATGGCATCTTGGCAAGCCACCATCTTCTTGGATGGTTTCCCCTCAGTCCCTTTCCAAGCCTTCCTCTTGCCTGTTATTCCAAATCTACAAGTTTCATTATGGTCAGTGTCATCCATAATCATAATTGCCATGCACCTCTCCACACCATCCATTGATGACTCCAATTCCATTCTCCTCTGCCCTGAACACCAGATTGTATTTGCAGCTCTCTTTTGAGCATTTTCAACAGATTCCACAGATACCCCCACACTCAGTACATTCCATCTTGAAGTCTTCATCTTCCTCCCTCTCCTGACAGTGACCATCATCTGCCATCTCCATCCTAGTGAAGATTACTTCCACCTCTAGTCATCCCAGGCACCTCCTTCATGCTCATTTCTTACATCAGTTGATTCTAAGTTCCTATGGTTCTGCTCTTTAATCATGCCTGCATCTGTAGCCCTTCTGTCCAGGCGCATTAGAGCAGCCCTTGTTTCTCACAGGGACACCAAATTCTCCTACAAATTCCTTTCTCTGCCCTCCTGTCTTGGCCCCTTCAATCCAGCCATCACTGCCTAAAACAAATCTGAATGTATGAAAGCTCCCTATTAAGCGACTCCCTATTACCCATGCACTGAAGTTAGAACTTGACATGACACTCATGGCTTTCCAGGATCCAGCAATAATGCCCTGAACTTCAGCCTCGTCTATTTACTCTTCTCACACTGCCTATTGCCTGCTGCAGACACACTGAACTATTGATGCTTTCTAGTTCCTTCTGCCTATGGCACCATTTCTCCTTTTGCTCCAGTAAGCCATACTTATTTTTACAACTCCATCTCCAGGACCTCCTCTGTGAAGCCCTCCTGGATTCTGCACCTCTTTGATGAGATTTGATAATTCCCCACTTGAGTCTACTTCTGCCCCTTTTTTGGGGTTTACCTTTACCTTTCCACAGTACAATTCTTTCTTTTATACATCTGTCTTCCCCTCTACTCCAGGCTCATCGAGGAAAGGGAACATGTCTTAATCAAGTTTTTTTTTCTATATAATAAAAGCCCTCTGATAAGGGGGGTGCAAATAGAATTATGCTGTTGTAAGGTGATTTCATTTGTAAATTAGGAAGGCAGAAGTTTGAAGTGTCAGGGATGAAGTGTGATTATGAAACATGAGGTAGTAAAATCCATTCTAAACAGTTTTGGATAAGATTGGGATGTATACTATTAGCCCTAGAAACCACTTAAAATATTTTTTAATGTATAGCTAAGAAACAAATACAGGAGGCCAGGTGCAGTGACTGACGCCTGTAATCCCAGCACTTTGGGAAGCTGAGGCGGGTGGATCACCTGAGGTCAGGAGTTTGAGACCAGCCTGGCCAATATGGTGAAACCCTGTCTCTACTAAAAATACAAAAATTAGCTGGGCGTGGTAGCGGGCTCCTGTAATCCCAGCTACTCAGGAGGCTGAGACAGGAGAATTGCTTGAAACTGGGAGGTGGAGGTTACAGTGAGCCAAGATCACACCATTGCACTCCAGCCTGGGCAACAAGAGTGAGACTCCATCTCCAAAAAAGAGAGAAACAAATAGAGAAAATAGGCTTGGTGCAGTGCCTTAAGCCTGTAATCCCAGCACTTCGGGAGGCTGAGGAGGGCGGTCCATTTGTGGTCAGGAGTTCAAGACTAGCCTGGCCAACATGGTGAAACCCCATCTCTACAAAAAATACAAAAAAAAAAATTTAGCAGGGTGTGGTGGCACGTGCCTGTAGTCCCAGCTACTGCTACTGGGGAGGCTGAGGCATGAGAAAAGCTTAATCCTGGGAGGTGGAGGTTGCAATAAGCTGAAATCATGGCACTGCACACAAAGCGAGACTCCATCTCAAAAAAAAAAAAAAAAGAAAAAGAAAGAAGCAAATAGAGGAAATAAAATGGAATATCAAAAAATATTTGGTGGTTGGGCGCAGTGGCTCACGCCTGTAATCCCAGCACTTTGGGAAGCCGAGGCAGGTGGATCACTTGAGGTCAGGTGTTCGAGACCAGCCTGGCCAATGTGGTAAAACCTCGTCTCTACTAAAAAAACAAAAATTTTCTGAGTGTAGTGGCATATGCCTGTAGTCCCAGCTACTTGGGAGGCTGAGGCAGGAGAATTACTTGAACCCGGAAGGCAGAGGTTGCAGTGAGTCGAGACTGCACCACTGCACTCCTGCCTGGGTGACAGAGTGAGACTCTATCTCAAAAAAAAAAAAAAATTGGTTAACCCAAAGAAGGAAGACAAGGAGCAACAAAGAAGAAAAAAACTGAATAAACAAATGGAAAACAAGTAGCAAAATAATATTGGGTTGGTGCAAAAGTAACTGCAGTTTTTGCTGCAATTACTTTTGTACCAATTTAATAGATTTAAACACAGCCATATCAAAAATTACTTTCAATGTAAAAGCCGCAAATTGAAAGGCAGAGATTGAGGCCCGGCATGGTGGCTCACACCTGTAATCCCAGCACTTTGGGAGGCCAAGATGGGAGGATCACTTGAGCCCAGGAGTTTGAAACCAGCCTGGGCAACATGGTGAAACCCCTTCTCCAAAAAATGCAAAAAAAATTAGCCAGACATGGTGGTGCGTGCCTGTAGTCCAAGTGGATAAAAAGTAGAACTCAAATATATGTTATCTATAAGACATAAAGCTTCATTATGAAGACACACATAGACTGAAAATGCTTATAGCTTTATTTATAATAGCCCCAAACTGAAAACAACCCAAATATACATTCAACAGATGAACAAATCGTGGTATACCAACAAGATAGAATTTTACTCAGCAGTCAAAAGGGACAAACTGTAGTACACCTATCAGCATGGATAAATCTCATAAAAACATTAGGCAGAACAAAAGACTTCAGATCCAAAAGAGTACACACTGCATTGATATAAAGTTCTGGAACAAGCAAAGCTCATCTACAGTTAACGAAAACAGTGGTTGACTAAAAGAGGAATTGACTCCACATAGATATGAGGAAACTTTCTAAGGTGATAGAAAAGTTTACTTTCTTGATTGTGATGGTGATTATACAAATGTGTTCATCTGACAAAACTCATTGAGCTGTATACTTAAAATGTGTGTGATTTAAGGTATGTAAATTCATACCCCCCAAAAATTGTTTTTTTTAAAAAAAGAGGATGAAAATGTGCAATGGTTAAGCCACTGTGGAAAGCAATTTGGCAGTTCTTCAAAAAGTTAAGAATAGAATTATCATATGACCCAGCAATCCCACTCCCAGGTGTATTCACAAAAGAATTGAAAACAGGTACTGAAACAAACACATAGGCACGCATGCTCATGGCCACAGCATTCACAATATCTGAAAGGTGGAAACAACCCAAATGTCCATCAGCAGATACATGAATCACAAATCATGGCATATACATTAAAGGAAATCAAAATAGTGCACCCAAAACCAAAAATCTGACGTATTTTGAGATAGCTGTTCAGAGGGCTTGCAAACAGAAGTAGGCCTGCAAAGCTGCCTTTTGTGGAAGAGACTTGGCATCTGTAGAGAAAATCTGCACAGATGCAGCCAGGCTTTTTCTGAGGCCTTCCTTTGTCTAATCTAGGAAAGATTAACTGAGAGTCTGACACCTTTAAAAGTCTGGAAGAGCCAGGCATGTTGGCTCACGCCTGTAATCCCAGCACTTTGGGAGACCAAGGTGGGTGGATCACCTGAGGTTGGGAGTTCGAGACCAGCCTGACCAACATGGAGAAACCCCGTCTCTACTAAAAATACAAAACTAGCTGGGCATGGTGGTGTATGCCTGTAATCCCAGCTACTCGGGAGGCTGAGGCAGGAGAATCGCTGGAACCTGGGATGTGGAGGTTGCAGTGAGCCGGGATCGTGCCACAGCCTGGGCAACAAGAGCGAAACTCCACTGAAAAAAATAAAAATAAAAATAAAAAAATAAAAGTCTGGAAGACACATTTGCCATCTATTCTTTCTGAGGGCTGCTACCTGTGAAGTTTCATTTACATTACAAGACCACGTATGCTAGCCATGCCTCCCCTTCTCCCCCTCCCATAACCTGTTTTGCCATAATCCAAGCCGTTATTCTTTCTGCAACCTCAAGATGTTGTATAAGCTTCTGAACCCTATTGAGGGGTTGGGGTAATTACTCTGTGGTTTTCTCCCATGTGCACATTAATAAATCTGTGTGCCTTTTCTCTTATTAATTTGCCTTTTGTCAGTTGATTTTTCAGCAAAATTTCACAGGGCAAAGGAGGAGTTTTCCCTTGGCCCTTACAACACAGAATGAAAGAAATATCATTTGGCAATAAAAAGGAACGAACTACTGATACATACTACAGCATGGGTGAGCACTGAAATTGAAAACATTATGTTAAGTGAAAGAAGCCAGACACAAAAAATCACATATCATAGGATCCTATTTACATGAAATATCCAGAATATTTAAATCCATAGAGAAGGCACAGGCCAAGGACTGAGGGAGGGGTAATAGGTTTCCTTCTGGGGTGATAAAAATGGGGACTAGACAGAGGTGGTGCTTGCACCACATTATGAATATACTAAATGCCCCTGAATCGTTCATTTTTCAATGGTTACTTTTATGCTATTTGAATTTCACATCAATAAAAAGAGATTTCTTTCTACTTCCAACCAAGAAAGAGTAATGGAAACCAGATTTACCTCCATGCCTGAAACAACCAAAAAGAATGGACAAAATATATGAAACGGTCGTTTCCAGGACACTTGGTAACAGGCAACAAAGGACAGTGATCCCTGCGTGATAAGGAACAAATGACGGGAAGCCTATGACCGCCCCAGCTTACGGACTTGAAAGAGTTTCCAGGCCACAGCACATGGAGGAGTAATTCAAGCAGAATCCAGCAGACCCCTCAATCGAGGAGACACAGCTAAGAGTCTGGAAAGACCCAGACAGTAAGAGGAATATAGTAACTATAGGAATATAAAATATCTTATTAAACAAAAAAACAAGATGTAACTCAGAATGTCTGGCATCCAATTAAAAATTACCAGGTAAAATAAAGAAGCTAAAAAATGTGATCCAAAATGAGGAGAAAAATTACCAGTTTAAACCAACCCAGAACTAATGCAGATGTCAGAATTAGCAGAGATAGACATTGTAACAGTTATTATAACTATATTTTATGTGTTCGAAAAGTTAAGCAGAGACAAGGAAGATAATACCAGAGGGCTGGGAGAAGACACGCAAACTGAACTTCTACAGATGCAGACTACGATGTCTGAGGTGACAAATAGTGTGGGCTGCGTGCAGTGGCTCATGCCTATAATCCTAGCACTTTGGGAGGCTGAGGCTGGCGGATCACTTGAGGTCAGGAGTTTGAGACCAGCCTGGCCAACATGGTGAAACCCTGTCTCTACTAAAAATAACAAAAATCAGCCAGGCGTGGTGGCACGTGCCTGTACTCCCAGCTGCTCAGGAGGCTGAGGTGGAAGGATAGCTTGAACCTGGAAGATGGAGGTTGCAGTGAGCTGAGATCACACCATTGCACTACACTCTGGGTGACAGAGCAAGACTCCGTCTCAAGAAAAACAAAAAGGAAAAAAAAATACTGTGGATGGGATTAATAGCGGATGAGACATGCAGAAGAAAATAGTAAATTCAAATAGATAGCAATAAAAACTACCCAAAATGAAACAAAGAAAAGAGAATTTTAAAAATGCAAACAGCATCAGTGAGCCATGAGATGACTTCAAGCAGTCCCCAAAGGAGAGGAAAGAGAGAAAGGAAAAAATAATTGAAGAGAATTATTGGCGGCCGGGTGCGGTGGCTCAAGCCTATAATCCCAGCACTTGTGGGAGGCCAAGGCAGGCGGTTCACGAGGTCAGGATATCAAGACCACTCTGGCTAACATGGTGAAACCCTGTCTCTACTAAAAATACAGAAAATTAGCCGGGCGTGGTGGTGGGTGTCTGTAGTCTCAGCTACTTGGGAGGCTGAGGCAGGAGAATGGCATGAACCCAGGAGGTGGAGCTTGCAGTGAGCCGAGATTGCGCCACTGCAGTCCAGCCTGGGTGACAGAGCGAGACTCCGTCTCAAAAAAAAAAAAAAAATTATTGGCTAAAATTTTACAAAATTTGATGAAAAGTATAAATCCACAAATCCAAGGAGCTCAACAAACTCCAAGCACAAGGAATTTGGAAGTATATTATAATCAAAATGCTCCCAACCAGTGTTAAAGAGAAAATCTTAAAAAGCATTCAGAGGGAAAAAAAACCCCACATTATGTACAGAGAAACAGAGGTGGGACAGCAATAAATGTCTTGTTAGAAACAATCGAAAAAAGTAAGACAGTGGAGCAGTATCTTTAAAATACTGAAATAAAAAAAACTATTAATCTAAAATTCTCTACTTGGTAAAAAATGTCTTTCAAAAACAAAAGTAAAATAAAGACTATTAGGCAGACAAAAGCTGAAAGACTTAATTAGAACAGACCCACATTACATGAAAGGTTTTTTTAAAAGTTCAGGTTTCCCTGCCAATGGGGCATGAGGATCCGGTGTTCCATTCTAGCGGGAAAATGTGGACTTGGCTGAAGAGCAGGCCCATATAATGTTTGAGAAGACCATGAAATACATCAGGGAGAATCTGCTGCCACTTGACAGGCCCGACGGCACCTACGCTATGTGAGTGAGAAGATTCTGAAGTTGGCTGCCAGTATCTCCAGGGACAAGCTGGTGTTGCTGGGAACCTGCTTCGGAAAATTCACTAAGACCCACAGGTTTCAGTTGCACATCACAACTCTGGATTACCTTGTACCCTATACCAAGTATAAAGTGCGGATAAAGCCTAGAGCTTCTTCCTGGAGCAGGTCAGTCCTTCCCGTATGGGAACCATCTGTTGAAATATGGTCTGGGTTGAATCACCAAAAAGACTTCTCAGTACCAGGCAGTGGTGGTGTGCTCCATGGCAGACATTCCTTGGGTTTTGGGGTGGCAGGAAAATCTACACAAGACTGCAGAAAAGTGGACCTCCTGGTGACTGTGGTATTTCATCATGCAGACACTGGGAAATATGTGAGACATGAAATGACGTTGACTTAAAACGAAGTCAAGGCCTCACAGCTGTGTGGAAGGGCCAAGCTTTGTTCCCTGTATTTGTGCAGACTCCACTATCATGTTGAACTTTGTCAACACTGTGACCTCTTCAGGGACTCCTCTGTTTACTATTCTCTCTACCACTGACAGATGCAGGCTGGATTCTTACTGTACAGAAATGACTTTAAAATGGAGTTTCAGATCTTTGTGTTTGCACTAAATAGAATGTTTTGTTTTGTATTTGAATCAGGCGGCTTCTTGTTCTGAATAACAGGTTCAAAATCATTGGAACTGAGGACAAGAATATCTGTGATAACACTTTGTTTTCCAAACTCATAAGAGCACAATGGATTTTCTCTGTTGTTTATTCACATGATGAAAGATAGATATTGACACATCAGAATAGTAGGCCACTCCTGGGATTTTGCATATGAAATTTGGCTAAAATAACAAGAGAAATTTATTCAGCTATTTTTCTATACAGTAAATTCTGTATGGTGAGGAAGAAAAACTTGGGTTCAAACCCCAGTTCTGCTGCTGACCAGCTATATGGCCTTGGATGAGTCATTCAACTTTAATAAGCATCATTTTCTTCTTCTGTTTGAAAAAACCACAAAACTTTTAAAAGCTTTAATCATTTACCTGAGAATGGTTTTTAGAATTAGAAATCAGGCCGGGCATGGTGGCTCATGCCTGTAATCCCAGCACTTTGGGAGGCCAAGGTGGGTGAATCACCTGAGGTCAGGAGTTCAAGATCAGCCTGGCCAACGTGGTGAAACCTTGTCTCTACTAAAAATACAAAACATTAGCCTGGCATGGTGGCACACGCCTGTAATCCCAGCTACTCAGGAGTCTAAACCAGGAGAATCGCTTGAACTCGGGAGGTGGAGGCTGCAGTGAGCTGAGATCGTGCCATTGCACTCCAGCCTGGGCAACAAGAATGAAACTCCGTCTCAAAAAATAAAAATAAAATTAGAAATCATAATTGTAAAGCATCTAGCACAGTGCCTGGGAAATGTTACGTATTGAATAAATGGTAAGAGTTATTTTTCTAGTACATATATTATGTATTTCTATTACGAGGTGTGGGGTCTTATGAGTGTCATTTGATTACATTATCTTGTTTTTTTGTTTTTTTTTTTGTTTTTTTTTTTTTGTTTTTTTTAATGAGAAAGAGTCTCGTTCTGTTGCCCAGGCTGGAGTGCAATGGCGCCATCTTGGCTCACTGTAACCTCCACCTCCTGGGTTCAAGTGATTCTCCTGCCTCTGCCTCCCGAGTAGCTGGGATTACAGGCGTGCACCACCATGCCCAGCTAATTTTTTTGTATTTTTAGTAGAGACGGGGTTTCACCATATTGGCCAGACTGGTCTCAAACTCCTGATCTTGTGATCCACCCGCCTTGGCTTCCCAAAATGCTGGGATTACAGGTGTGAGCCACCACGCACAGCCTACGTTATCTTGTTTTTTACGAGCTGTTTCCTCGCTCTTTTTCTTGGATAGAATGAGCCCAGGCTGAAATGTTTTTTTTATCACTTTGATTTCATGAAACATAATTTATTCACAGGAAAAAAAAGTTCAGGCAGAAGGTAAGTGATACCAGATATAACTATGTATCTACACAAAGGAACAAAGAACACCAACAATGTTAGCTATATAAGATTTGTTCTTAATACGCAAATATCTTTAAAAATAATTAATAGTTTTGGGGTTTGTTTTTTTTAACCCTTATTCTATCTTTATTTTTATTAATAAGAATGAAGAACATAAACAGAAAACATGTAAAAATAGAAGTAATTATACAATGTAAAAGATTCCCTCTTCAAAAAAGACAAAGAGCACAAGTTTTTAAAATTATCAGTTTACACCCTCAAAATATGGAACAATTTCTTTAACACAACCATACTCAATATCATTGGCAATTAAGTGAAAAGTAAACAATTCACACAAAGCTGGTGAAAATGTAAACTGGCACAGCTTTGCTGTAAGAAAAAAATCAAGTGAATATTAAAAGCTTTGGAAAATAACCTTTCATACATCCAACAATATTTATTTGTTAGGCCCCGTATGAGGTTTTAAATATGTTAACAAGACTGACCTTGTCCCGGTTCATGATCCAGTGGTGGAATGATGAAAGACAAAATTTTTAAAATAATAGCTAATTACAAAAGATGTTATGGAAGGAAGAGTCTACTTAAGAAAAGGGTAGTTGGGCAAAGCCTGAGAGGTATCCTGTATACTATAGATTGTACTAAATGCTATACATATATTGATAATAGACAGGTTTAATTAAAAAATAACAACATATCAAGAGGTTTCTAACATGTTTAAATGTGTATACTTATACCAAATAAAATGTTTATATATATATATATATATATATATATATATATGTATATATAGCAACAGGAGCATAAAGGCCTAAAGGTAAAAATATGAATCCGAGGTATATTGTTGTAAGGTTATTATACTACATAGGAAGTGATATAATATCATGTGAAGATAGACTGCATAAATTCAAACTAACAAAACCAAGAGTTACAACAAGCCAACTATTGAAATGAAATGGAATAATAAAAGTTAATTCAAAAGGTTTTCAAAAAGAGGAAAAGGGGAACAAAAAACCGAAAATATAAAGTGAAATAAGTAGCAAAATGGTGGATTTAACTCTATCCATATCAATAATCACATTATATGTAAATGGTCTAAATATCCCTATTAAAAGGCAGAGACTGCCAGACTGGGTAAAAAAGCAAAATGCAATAATATGCTGCCTAGAAGAAACCAACCTTAAAGGTAAAGAACAAATAAGGCTCAAAGTATAAGCATGGAAAAAATATACCATGCTAACACTAATCAAAAGTAAGTGGAGTGGCTATATTAATTTCAGACAAAGTAGAAAAGTAAGTTTCAGAGAAAAAAATTACCAGAGATAAAGAGGGTTATTTCATAATGATAAAAGGGTCAAAGCATCAAAAAGGCATAATTAATTTTGTTTATGCACCTATTAATATAGCTTTGTAATACATGAAGCAAAAACTGATAGAATTGAAAAGGAGAAGTAAAATCACAATTATTGTTGGAGATTTCAACACACTTTTTAAAAACAATCACTAGAACAAGTCAGAAAATCAGTAAGGATATAGATGAATCAAATAACACTGTCAACCAACTTGACATAATTCATATTTATAGATCATTCATTCCACCCAACAACAGCAAAATGCACTTAACTGCACATGGAATATTTACTATGATAGAATATATGCTGAGCCATAAAACAAGTCTTAATTTATTTGGAAGGATTCAAGTCAAACAAAGTGTGTTCTCTGACCACAATAGAACTAAATTATGAAATTATGTATCAGTAGCAGGGAGATATCTGAAAATTTCTCCATGTATTTGAAACAAAATAATACATTTGAAATAACCTATGGGTCAAAGAAGAAATCAAAAGGGAAATTAGAAAGTATTTTAAAGAGAATGAAAATGAAAACACCATATCAAATTTTGTGCTCAAGAAGCACAAATTTCATGCTAAAGCAGCATTAGAAGGAAATTTATAGCACTAAAACACCTAGTTAGAAAAGTGCAAATGTCTCAAATTAATGACTTAATTTTCCTCCTTAAGAAACTAGGAAAAGAAGACCAAATGAAACCCAAAGTAAAAAGAATAAAAGAATAAAGAGCAGATCAAAAATCAATTAAAAAAAAACACACACACAGAAAAAGGGGCCGGAGCGGTGGCTCATGCCTGTAATCCCAGCACTTTGGGAGGCTGAGGTGGGCAGATCACCTGAGGTCAGGAGTTTTAAGACCAGCCTGGCCAACAGGGAGAAACCCCATCTCTACTAAAAATACAAAAGTTAGCCAGGTGTGGTGGCAATGCGCCTGTAATCCCAGCTACTCGGGAGACTGAGGCAGGAGAATCACTTGAAACTGGGAGGTGGAGGTTGCAGTAAGCTGAGATCGCACCATTGCACTCCAGCCTGGGCGACAGGGCGAGACTTTGTCTAAAAAAAAAAAAAAAAAAAAAACCACACAGAAAAAGAACATAAAATAAAGGAAAAACTAATTTTTGAGAAAATAAACCTCTAGCCAGATTGATCAGGAAAAAAGGAGAAAATACGCAAATTGCCACTAACATAAATGAGAGATGTGACATCACCACAAACTCTACAGATACTAAAAGAATAAAAAGAAATTATTATAAAAACCTTTATGCCAATAAACTTGAAAACTTAGGTTAAATGGACAAATTCCTTGAAAGACAAAAATTACTGGCCAGGCACGGTGGCTCATGCCTGTAATCCCAGCACTTTGGGAGGTTGAGGCGGGTGGATCACAAGGTCAGGAGATCGAGACCATCCTGGCTAACACGGTGAAACCCTGTCTCTACTAAAAATACAAAAAATTAGCCGGGCATTGTGGCGGGCACCTGTGGTCCCAGCTACTCGCAAGGCTGAGGCAGGAGAATGGCGTGAACCTGGGAGGTGGAGCTTGTAGAGAGCCAAGATCGCGCCACTGCACTCCAGCCTGGGCAACAGAGCAAGACTCCATCTCAAAAAAAAAAAAAAAGGAAAGACAAAAATTACTAAAGCTCACTCAAGAAGGAATGTAACCTAAATAGGCCTATATCTATTAAATAAATTGAATTTGTGAGTAAAAACCTTCCCATAAATGTCCAGGCCCAAATGGCTTCATAGGTGAATTCCACCAAACATTAAAGGACAAAATAATACCACTTCCACATAAACTCTTCTAGTAAAGTGAAGAGGAAGGAATGATGCTTAATTGATTCTATGATGTCAGGACTACCTTGGTACCAAGACTACACAGACACATTACAGGGAAAAATATCTACAACTCAGCATTCCTTAAGAACATAGATACAAAATTCTTAACAAAATTGTATCAGAGCCTGTCTCAGTGTCTCATACCTGTGTAATTCCAGCATTTTGGGAGGCCAAGGTGGGAGGATCACTTGAGCCCAGGAGTTTGAGACCACCCTGGGCAACATAGGGAGATCCCGTCTATACAAAAAAAATTTTTTAATTAACTTGGCACGGTGGTGGGTGCTGGTAGTCTCAGCTACTCAGGGTGATAAGCTGGGAGGATCACTTGAGCCCAGGAGGTCGAGGCTGCAGTAAGCCATGATCTCACCATTGCACTCCAGCCTGGGTGGCAGAATAAGACCCCCATTTCAAAAAAAAAATAAAGGCCAGAAGCAGTGGCTTATGCCTGTAATCCCAGCCCAGCACTTTGGGCAGCTGGGGCAGGTGGATCACCTGAGGTCAAGAGTTCAAGACCAGCTTGGGCAACATGGCAAAATCCCATCTCTACTAAAAATACAAAAATTAGCCAGGCATAATGGCACATGCCTGTAGTCCCAGCTACTCAGGAGGCTGAAGCATGAGAATCACTTGAACTGGGGAGGCGGAGGCTGCAGTGAGCCAAGATCACACCACTGCACTCCAGCCTGGGTAACAGAGCAAGACTCCATCTCAAAACATCATCATCATCATCATCATCATCACCATCATCATCGTCATCATAAAGTAAAATAAAAAGTCTGGGCTTGGTGGCTCACACCTGTAATTTGTAACTTTAGGAGGCCGAGGTAGAAGAATCCCTTGAGCCCTGGGCAAGACAGTGAGACCCTATCTCTACAAAAAAATTCAAAAATTAGCTGGGCATGGTGGTATGTATCTATAGTCCCAGCTACTCAGAAGGCTGAGGCAGCAGTATCTTCTGAGCCCAGAAATTCAAGGCAGCAGTGAGCTATGATCATGCCACTGCTCCAGCCTGGGTAACAGAGTGAGATCACATCTCTAAATAAATAAATAAATATATATTTTTTAAATTTAACAAATACAGTCTTAAAAATATCTAAAAAGACTAGGTAAGCTTTATCCCAGGAATGCAAGATTAGTTTAAAATCAGTGTAATTTACCATATTAGAGGCTGAAAAAGATAAATCATATGAACATCTTAATAGATGCAGTGAAGACATTTGATAAAATCTAACATCTATTCTTTATTGTTAAAAAGAATACTGTCAGCAAACTAGGAATAGAAAGAACTTCCTCAACTTGATAAAGGGCATTTATGAAAAACCTTCAGGCAACATAACACTCAATGGTGAAAGACTCAATGCTTTCCCCTTAAGACAAAGAACCAGACACCCCTGTTCAATTCCTCATTTCTACTCTACATTGTACTGGAGGTTTACTAAGCCAAGAAAAAGAAATAAAAGGCACCCCAATTGAAAGGGTGCCCAATTGAAAGGGATTTATCTACAAGTGATATGATCATCTATGTTGTAAGATACAAAATCAATATACAAAAAATTTATTTTATTTCTATATGCTTGCAATAAATAATCAGAAGTTGGAAATGAAAGTAATATCGTTTACAATGGCATAAACAACATGAAATACTCAGGGATAAATCTGATAAAATATGCAAGGCCTGTATGCTGAAGATTACAAAACATTCCTAAGAGACATTAAAATGAAGCGATATCCCATGTTCTTAGGTAGGAAGACTCAATATTGTTAAGATGTCAGTTCTCTTCATATTGATGTATAGATTCAATATACTCCCAATCAAAATCTCAGAAAGCTTTCTAAGAAATTAAAAAGCTGATTCTAAAAGTCAGAAATACAAAGGATCTAAAATAACCAAAGCAACTTTGAAAAATAAAAACAATGTTGGAGAACTATACTACCTGATTTCAAAACTTATTATAAAACTACACTTAAGACTGTGGTATTGTTGTAAAAATCGCCAAATAGACCAATGGAACAGAATAGAGAGCCCAGAAATAGGCACATATATGGACAACTGATTTTTTATGAAAGTACAAAGACAAATCAATAAAGAACAATCTTTTCAAAACTGGTGCTAAAACAATTGCATATCCATATGCAGAAAAATGAAATTTGATCCATACCTCAAACCACATACAAACATTAATGAAATACAGACCCTAGGCGGGGCACAGTGGCTCATGCCTATAATCCCAGCACTTTAGGAGGCCAAGGTAGGCGGATCAACTGAGGTCAGGAGTTCGAGAACAGCCTGGCCAATGTGGTGAAATCCGGTCTCTACTAAAAATACAAAAATTAGCTGGGCGTGGTGACACATGCCTGTAATCCCACGTACCAGGGAGGCTGAGGCAGGAGAATTGCTTAAAACCGGGAGGCAGAGGCTGCAGTAAGCTGAGATCGTGCCACTGCACTCCAGCCTGGGTGACAGAGCAAGACTCCAACTCAAAAAAACAAAAGAAATATAGACCCTAAAACTATATAACTTCTAGAAGAAAACACAGGAGATATTTGTGACTTTGGGTTAGGCAAAGTTTTCATAGACATGATACCAGAAGTCCAATCTGTTAAAGAAACAATGTATAAGCCGGATATTAGCAAAATTAAAAACCCTTTTTGAAAGACTATAATAAAAGATTGAAAAGACAATTCACATAATAGGAGAAAATATTTGGAAATAATACAAATTACCTGCACCCAGAATATATAAAGAACTTTCAAAACTAAATAAAAAAAAATTCCTCCCTCCTCCCAAAATGGGCAAAAGATTTGAACAGACACTTCCCCAAAGAAGATATACAAATGGCAAATACAGTACTCACATGAAAAGATATTCAACATCGTTTGTCACTGGGGGAAAGTGAATTAAAACTACAATCATATCACTGTGCATCTATTAGAATGTCTAAAATCAAAGTGACCACACCAAGCATTGGTGAAGACGTGGAGCAAGTGGAACCCTCTTGCACTGCTAGTGGGAATGTCAAGTCAGCTGGATGTGGTGGCTCACACCTGCAACCCCAGCAACTTGGGGGGCCAAGGCAGGGGGATCATTTGAGCTCAAGAGTTCGAGATCAGCCTAGGCAACAAAGTGACAGCCTGTCTCTACAAAAAAATAGAAAAAATTAGCCACATGTGGTGGCACACACTTGTAGTCCCAGCTACTCAGGAGGCTAGGCTGGGAAGATCACTTGAGCCCAGGAGGTCAAGAACACAGTCAACCATGATCATGGCACTGCACTCCAAGCTGGGCAACAGAACAAGACTTTGTCTCCAAAAAATAGATAAATAAATAAATAAAATGTAACACCACTTTGGAAAACAGTTTGGAAGTAGTTTTTTTTTTTTTTTTGTAATAGGTTAGACATATGCCCACTATATGACCTAGCCATTCCACTCCTAGGTATTTACTCAAGAGAAATGAAAGCATACGCCCATACAGAGACTTGTACAGAAGTGTCCTCAGCAGCTTTATCTGCAACAGCCAAAAACTGAAACCTAAATATCCATCATATCTGAATAGGTAAACAGGGTCTATCTATACAATGGAGTACTACTCCACAATAAAAAGAAATACGGTATACACACAATAGTATGAATGAATCTCAAAATAATTGTAATGAGTGAAAGAATCTAACAGCAAAGGATATATTGTATGATTCCATTTATAAAAAGTTATAGAAAACACAAACTAATCTACAATGACAGACAGTATATCGGTGGTTTCTTGGGGACAAAAGGAGCAGGGAGGAACAAAAGAAGGATGATAAAGAAGTGCAAGGAAACTTCTGTGGGTGACAGATTTGTTCCCTATCTTGATTATGGTAGTGGTTTTGCAGGTCTATAACAATGTCAATATTTATAAAATTATATACTTTAATAGGTGCCATTTATTGTATGTGAATTATTCTTTACTAAAGCAGTTAAAATATTAAATACAAACGTAATACTTTTTTTTTTTGAGGCAGAGTCTCGCTCTGTCACCCAGGCTGGAGTGCAGTGGCACGATCTTGGCTCACTGCAACCTCCATCTCCTGGGTTCAACAATTCTCCTACCTCAGCCTCCCAGGTAGCTGGGATTACAGGCGCCCGCCACCACGCTCAGCTAATTTTTACATTTTTAGTAGAGACGGGGTTTCACCATATTGGTCAGGCTGGTCTCGAACTCCTGACTGCAAGTGATCCACCCGCCTCAGCCTCCTAAAGTGCTGGGATTACAGGCATGAACCACCGCGCCCAGCCCCAGAATGTCTTGTAGCAGCTGTTTTCCTGTTCACGTCCCCTCGCTGCTGCATAGGGCAGGAGATATGGGCCACAGTAGCTGTGATCAGCAAGAAACCAGGCTCCACGCCTCACCCCCAGGTCTCTCTGAGGCCCAATACAGACTACAAGGCCTTCCAGCTCCCTCCCCGTCAGCCTCCGGCAGATTCACTGGAAAAGAAGAGCAAACCCTCAACCCCTATCTTTGCACCGCGGGCTTCTTCCCTTCTCAGCCTGTGCTCCAACTGCTCTCCCGGCTTATCAGTTGTCCCCAAGCAACAGCTGGAAAGTCTGTAGTAGGGACCCCCCTCTGCTCCAGGCTCTTCTCTCACCTTCCTAGCTAAGGGCAGTCCCTCCAGGGCTCTCCTTGAGGCCCTCAAAGCTCCAACCAGCCCCTTCGTCAGACACTTTTGGAGAAGTTCACTGCCACTCCTCCAAAGAAATTGAAACAGTTTGATTCTCACTTAAAGGTTCTGTTTGCATTGAGGAGTTTGTCACACATGCTAATGAACAGCCGGCTGACCCAAGGACAGAAGGGATGGAGGTGGCCTCTAATAAATTCTTCCTGGCTGCTGTGCTGATAAGATGCAAACAAGTGACCAGGGACTTGCCTGTGTCCTGGACTTTGGTGAGTACAGCTCCAGTTCATCTTCTTGATCAGCTCAACTCCCAGGCCTGCAGCTTCCAGGCGCCCCTGCTAGGCTGGGGCAAGCAGGCAAGCAAGCGTGCTGGACAGCAGGTGTGGGCAACAGGTGGGCTGAAGGCCTGGCAGGGCCCGGCTCCTGCTGGTTCTCTTCACGAGGCCCACCCTCAGGTGCTTTTAAGTGGGGACAGCTGAGCAAGTAGGTTTGCACATTTTTCTAAGGATCTCAACAATGCAAGACCACTTTCTCCTCCCTTCCTTAATTGTAGTGCCTTTTTTTCCATTTATATAAAAGTAGTTCACACTTATTGCAGAGCATTCTGCAAATAAAGAAATCACGGGAAAAAATTAAACCACATGCAATCCCATCACCCAGAAATGACCGCTTAAATTTGACTTCCATTTACTTTTACTACTTCCTTACCTTTACTACACATGTGTTTTAAAAGCAAACATGGGGCTGGGCATGGTGGCTCATGCCTGTAATCCCAGCACTTTGGGAGGATGAGGCAGGTGGGTCACCTGAGGTCAGGAGTTCAAGACCAGCCTGACCAATATGGTGAAAGCCCATCTCTACTAAAAATACAAAACTTAGCCGGGCATGGTGGCGTGGGCCCGTAGTCCCAGCTACTCAGGAGGCTGAGACAGGAGAATTGCTTGAGCCCGGGAGGCGGAGGTTGCAGTGAGCCAAGATCACACCACTGCACTTCAGGCTGGGTGACAGAGCGAGACTCCATCTCAAAATAAAATAAAATAAAAGCAAACATGGAATCATAATAATAGTAATATTTATTAAGCAAATGCTTACTATGCACTAGACTAAGCTAAACCTTTCACTTGGATTATCTCATTAAATTTTCACAATAAGTCTGAGTGATTGTGTCATTATTATCCCCATTTTATAGATGGAGAAATTGAGGCTTAAAGAAATTGAGTGCCTTGTCCAATGTCATCCAGCAATTAAATGGTGGGGCTGAGATTCCAACTTAGGAGATCTGATTTCAGAACCACCACTCTCACTCTGACTACTTTGAGACTAAAAATTCTATAAATATCTAAGTCCTGAGCCTTCAGCATCATTTTTAATGACTACCTAGCACTCTATTGTTCAGACGTACCATCATTTACCCAGTTACTTATCAATGAACAGAGGTTGTTTTCAATGTTTTCTATAATACATTCACTGATAAAGATCCTCATAGTTCAATATTTGCTCAAAAGCTAAAATTGGAATCCCTGGGCCCAAGCATATGTATAATTTTAAGGCTTTTGATACATATTGCCAAGATGGTCCTCCAAAAATAATGAACCAAATTATACTTCCTACATCCTCATCCACACTAGAATACAAAGCATTCTTCATCCAAGTGATTAGAGGCAGCTCAAATTCCGCCACATGAATAATACAATTAGATTAATTAGGGATTTGGGGTAGCTCAACAGTTTCCATTGGAAATTCCATCCTCCTATCGCAGAAGAGCTGAGGCCAGATATTGAGCAGAAAGGAGGCTCAATGAGAATGAGAACAACTTCCACTTAATTGAGTCAGGTTAATAATTCTGAAGTTCTCAGAAATGCCTTTGTCTCCATCACTGTCACTGAACAGTCACTGTCAGTGACCAAGGGGGAGAACAGTGTGTGGAATGTCCCTGAGTCCCTTGGCTAAGTCCAGCAGGAGGCAGCTTGGAGCACGGAGAGGACAGAGAGCTGGGGGTTAAGACTCAGGAGTGCTCATCTCAGCCCTGGGATTTCTAATGAGTGTGAGCATGACACAGCAAGCCTCATTCCTCTCTTCTGGAGGTGAATGCCTGGGGGGTGGGATCATGGCCTGGAGTTCCCACCAGCTGCAATCCCCTATATCCCAATGTCCCAGAATAGAACACTAACTAACACCAACTGCCATTTATTTCACTCCCACCTACACGAGACACAAACTCAGCATTATACTTGCATACATTATCCCATTTAAGCCTCCAAAATCTTTGTAGTGCCACTTTTGTCCTTGTTTGACAGATGAGAAAACTGAGGCATAGAAGTTTAAACGAGCCACCAGTGTTGGACTGGTGGCGAATGGCAGAACCAGAATTAGAGCCCAAGACACTCTGACTCAGTTTAAGACCCCATTTCTAAACACTGGGCTACACGCACTCTCCTCTAATCAGAAAAATAGTTCAAGGCTAAGAGCCAGGTCTGTGCTGTTCCTCACTCCATCCCCAGCACCTAGCCCAATGCCACAGTAGGCAATGAGGGTTTGTGACTGTCTTAGTCGTCTATTGCTGTGTAATTACAAAAAACTCAGTGACTTAAAATGGTACCCATTTGCCAGGTGCATTGACTGACACCTGTAATTCCAGCACTTTGGGAGGCCGAGGCAGGTGAATCACGAGGTCAGGAGTTCAAGACCAGCCTGGCCAAGATGGTGAAACCCCATCTCTATTAAAAATACAAAAATTAGCCAGGTGTGGTAGTGGGCGAGATCACGCCACTGCACTCCAGCCTGGGCAACAGAGCAAGACTCATTCTCAAAAAAACAAATTAGCTGGGTGTGGTGGCACATGCCTGTAGTCCCAGCTACTCAGGAGGCTGAGGCATGAGAATCGCTTGAACCGAGGAGGCAGAGGTTGCAGTTAGTCGAGATCACGCCACTGCACTCCAGTCTGGCGACAGAGCAAGACTTCATCTTAAACAAACAAACAAACAAACAAACATTCATTATCTCACAGTTCTGGGAGTCAGAAATCCAGGTACAACATCACTAGGGTCCCTGTTGAGCATCTTACAAGGCTGAAATCAAGGTGTCAGCTGAACTATGTGCCTACTAGAGCTTGGGATCCTCTTCCAGGATCATTCCAATTATTGGCAGAATTCACTTACTTGCTGTAGCATGACTAAGGTCTCCATTTTCCAACTAGCTGTCAACCAGGGACTGCTCTCAGCTCCTAAATGCTACCCCCAAGTCCTTGCCATGTGATCTTATGGATTCTCACACTCTCACCCTCAAATCTCTTCCTTCAGGAGGGTTCCACCCTTTCTGAGATAACTTTTGGCTGAAATGTACACTCATTCATTCAACAACGTTTGTTGAAGACCTACAGTGAGCAAGGTACTTTGTTCTAGGTGCTCAGGTACAGCAGTGTCAAAAATAAAAATAAAACATCTCTGTCCTCAAGGTCCTTATATTTAGTGAAGAAGACTGATGGGAAACTAGAGAAATAAGTAAACTATACAGCGTAGTAGATAGTGAGAAAGTGGTTTGGAGCATAGCAAAGCAGGGAAGGGCAGAGGCCCAGGGAAAAAGGAGGCATTTATTTATTTATTTATTTATTTATTTATTTATTTGATGGAGTTTCACTCTTTTCACCCAGGCTGGAGTGCAGTGGTGCGATGTCAGCTCACTGCAACCTCTACCTCCTGGGTTCAAGCAATTCTCTTGCCTCAGCCTCCCAAGTAGCTGGAACTACAGGTGCATGCCACCACGCCCAGCTAATTTTTTGTATTTTTAGTAGAGACGGGGTTTCACCACGTTGGCCAGGCTGGTCTCGAACTCCTGACCTCAGGTGATCCGCCCACTTGGCCTCCCAAAGTGCTGGGATTACAGGCGTGAGCCACCGCGCCTGGCCCTCTGATGGTTTTATAAAGGGAGCTCCCCAGCACACGCCCTCTTGCCTGCTGCCATGTAAGATATGACATTGCTCCTCCTTCACCTTCCACCATGATTGTGAGGCCTCCCCAGCCATGTGGAACTGTGAGTCCATCAAACCTCCTTTCTTTATAAATTACCCAGTCTCGGGTATGTCTTTATTAGCAGGGTGAGAACAGACTAATACACCTGCACATATCTACTGCACTCCAGCCTGGGCAACATAGCAAGACCACATCTCAAAAAAGGAGTCGAGCGTGGTGCCTCACTCCTGTAATCCCAGCACTTTGGGAGGCTGAGGCAGGCAGATCACTTGAGGTCAGGAATTCGAGACCAGCCTGGCCAACATGGTGAAACCCTGCCTCTACTAAATATAGGAAAATTAGCAATGCGGTGGTACACTCCTGTTACCCCAGCTACTTGGGAGGCTGAGGCATGAGAATCGCTTGACCTTGGAAGGCGGAGTTTGCAGTGGGCAGAGATCACACCATGCACTACAGCCTGGGGGACAGAGGGAGACTCTGTCAGAAGAAAGAAAGAAAGAGAGAGAGGGAGGGAGGGAGGGAGGAAGGAAAGAAGGAAAGAAGGGAGGAAGGAAAGAAGGAAAGAAGAGAAAGAAGCAGGGACCTTGAACTTCCTGCTGAGATGGCCCAGAACTGTGAAGGCCAAGCAGGAGGAATGTGAGTGATGGCAGCCTCCAGGGTGTTGGAAATAGCAGCTGCAGGTGAGTCCTGAGCTCCAGGAAGACCCCAAGAAAAAAATCAGTACCAGCAGTTCCTGGACTCAAAGGGCACTAATAACTATTGTTAAATGGTCCAAGCATTTTAATGTGTTTATATCTGAAAATTGTGATGAGGAAGGCATAGGGGTTTATTTACTCTGTTAATTCTTTGTCCCATGAGAGACACATTTCTGCTTAAAACAGGGAAAGAAAGAGAAAATAAGGCTGCCAAAAGCAAAGAAATTCTATATGTATATTTTTAGTTCAATTTTTGGATTAAGGGAGAATAGAAAAAACAAAATCCATGGGAATGCCAATTAAAAGTTCCCTTTATGTGCCAGGCATGGTGGCTCACCCCTGTGATTCCAGCACTTTGGGAAGCTGAGGCAGGAGGATCACTTGAGCCTAGGAGTTTGAGACCAACCTGGGAAACATGGTAAAACCCTGTCTCTACAAAAATTACAAAAAAAAAAAAAAAAAATTAGCCAGGCGTGGTGACACACACCTGTAGTTCCAGCTACTTGGGAAGCTGAGATAGAAGGATCGCTTGAGCCTGGGAGGTTGAGGCTGCAGTGAGCCATGATCACACCACTGCACACCAGCCTGGTCAACAGAGCAAGAAAAAAACAAAGTTCCCCTTACCTTACATTTGTTAAAATTGCGTAATATGTTCATTCTGTGCCAGCTAATATGAAAATGTGTATTTAAGTTTATGAAATCCCACTAAGGAAAGACTCTACTTTCTTACCCAAATAAGATTTTTATATATTTGGGTAAGAAAGTATCAAAATATTTTATATTTATATTTTAGATATAAATATAGTTATATTTTATATTTTTATTTATATTTTAGATAATACAAAGAGGCAAATAGCGTTTCTTAATGAGACAAATCAAATCTTTTCTTTTCTTTTCTTTTCTTTTTTGAGACAGAGTCTCCCTCTGTCACCCAGGCTGGAGTGCAGTGGAGAGATCTCAGCTCACCGAAACCTCCACCTCCTGGGTTCAAGTGATTCTCCTGCCTCAGCCTCCCAAGTAGCTGGGATTACAGGCATGCACCACCATGCCCGGCTAATTTTGTATTTTTAATAGAGACAGAGTTTCTCCATGTTGGTCAGGCTGGTCTCAAACTCCCTACCTCAGATGATCCACCCACCTCGGCCTCCCAAAGTGCTGGGATTACAGGCGTGAGCCAACGTGCCCAGCTAAATCCTCTCTTAAGTAATTTTTTTTTTTTTTTTTTGAGACAGAGTCTCACTCTGTCACCCAGGCTGGAGTACAGTGGCATGATCTCGGCTCACTGCAACCTCTGCCTTCTGAGTTCAAGTGATTCTCCTGCCTCAGCCTCCCAAGTAGCTGGGATTACAGGCGCGTGCCACCACACCCAGCTAATTTTTGTATTTGTAGTAGAGATGGGGTTTCACCATGTTGGCCAGAATGGTCTCGAACTCCTGGGTTCAAGTGATCCTCCCGCCTCAGCCTCCCAAAGTGCTGGAGTTACAGGTGTGAGCCACTGTGCCCAGACCTCTTTTAAGTAATTTTGGAGTACCAGCACCTTCCCAACTCACATACCACTGTCTCTTCCCTAGAAGCCCCAGAAGGCCAACTCCTACCACGCCCACAGGTAAACACCTGACCACAGCTGGGTGGATCACATTCTCTCTCCCAGGAATTTGAATTTGGCCAAAGAAACAGCTTACCAGTCTCAGCAAGAGGACGGAATGAGGGGTAGATCTATCTAGTAACCCCAGCCTAGCCAGGTCATGCCTTATGGTCCTGGAATTGAGAAAACCATGAATTCTGTGAACATGTCTGAGCCCATTCTATGGGCCAGATCTGGAGAATCAAGGACATCCTGATAGTATACATGGACTTGGTCTTCCAAGGCTCTAGGCTTGCTGAGGAGGCAGACATGATACCAGATCATTGGCACTGTCCTGGAGGGGCTATGCCAGTAACACTGGGAGGACTTGCAAGCACTTCCCCCTTGGACCTCAGTTCCTCATCTAGAAAACAATCGAAACGACTCTTCTGGTTTTACTGCCTATAGCTTCTGAAGACAAAAGCCACCTGATTAGAGTTGGGAGGCTGGAAGGCAGATTTTAATTTTCCACCTGTTATGGACTGAATGTTGGTGTCCTCTCACAAAATTCATATGTTGAAGCCCTAATCCCCAATGTGACTGTATTTGGAGATAGGGCCAATGAGGAGGTGATAAAGGTTAAATGAGGTTAAAAGGATGGGACCCTAACTGGACAGGGCTGGTGTCCTTGTAAGAATGGGAAGAGACACCAGAGCTCTCTCTACACAATGAGAAGGTGGCCATCTGCATGCCAGTAAGGAAGCCCTCACCAGGAACCACACTGGCCAGCACCTTGGTCTTGGACTTCCAGCCTCCAGAACTATGAGAAAATAAATCTCTCTTGTATCAGCCACCCATTCTGTAGTATTATGTTATGGAAGTCCAAGCCGACTAAGGGCCCACTTCTTCAAAACTGGGCAGATGGCCCAAAATTGGGCAGAGGTGCAGTGGCTCACACCTGTAATCCCAGCGCTTTGGGAGGCCGAGGCAGGCAGATCACTAGAGGTCAAGAGTTTGAGACCAGCCTGTCCAACATGGTGAAACCCTGTCTCTACTAAAAATACAAAAATTAGCTGGGCGTGGTGGCGGACACCTGTAATCCCAGCTACTTGGGAGGCTGAGGCAGGAGAATCGCTTGAACCCAGGAGGCAGAGGTTGCAGTGAGCTGATATCATGCCACTGCTCTCCAGCCTGGGCAACAGAGCAAGATTCCATCTCACAAAAAAAAAAAAAAAAAAAAATTGAGCAGACGAGGCTCTTATATGGTGATATTTGCCCAGCGACACCTCCTGAAAGCACACAGACTGCTTCCAAAGACAGCGTCCACCAAGTTCTCAAGGGATATAAACAGGAAGGTTCCTCTGGAAGCCCTGACATCTGCCCTGTCCCCAGCCTGAGGCCACCCCACTACCAGGATCCAGGAGCTGACAAAACTCATGGCGGACGCACTGGGTGGAACTCCAGGCTCCTCTAGTAAATCCCTAAATCCCTGCTGCTTTACCAGTGGGTGGAGGAAGCCACACTCGCAAATGGGCAGCCTTGAATGCATGAGGCTCAGAACGGGGCTGTTGGGCCTGGAGCACAGCCCCACCTGAGCCGTTCCTCCAGCTTTCCTGCCGCAGTGTGTGTCGGTGCCAGACGGGACCCTGTGGAATGCTGGGAACTGGGTGACCTCAGGCCCCTCCCAAACCAGGCTGCAATCATGCCCCACTTCCGTAGGGGCTACCCTCTTTTCTCTTCCTTCACCTGAGTTGACCCATTCCTTGCCTCCCTAAAGCTCATAAAATGCCATTTCATTACATGATGTTTTCATTCATGCAAGAAGACCACCATATTCATTAAGATGGAAGACAGAGAGAACTAAGTAGATCTTAGTTTTCCCTGCCTCTATTAATCATGAAAGCGTGGCTCCTCAAAACCCAACCTTGTCTTTTGTTTTAACGTCCCAGCTTCTCTTTAGAGTTTTCTCTTTTTCTTTTTTCTTTCTTTCCTTTTTTTTTTTTTTTTTTTTTTGAGATGGAGTCTCGCTCTGTCGCCCAGGCTGGAGTGCAGTGGCACAATCTCAGCTCACTGCAACCTCCGCCTCCCAGGTTCAAGTGATTCTCCTGCCTCAGCCTCCTGAGTAGCTGGGATTACAGGCGTGTGCCACCACTCCTGGCTAGTTTTTGTATTTTTAGTAGAAATGGGGTTTCACCATGTTGGTCAGGCTGGTCTCAAACTCCTGACCTCATGATCCACCCGCCTCGACCTCCCAAAGTGCTGGAATTACAGATGAGCCACTGCACCCAGCCTAGAGTTGTCTCTTTCTAGGCCCACATCAAGCTCTGTGCCCTTTGGAGTTAACTCCTGAAGAATCTTTAAAAAAACAAAACAACAAAAGTCTCTCTCCTCCCTTGGCTTCTGTGATCCCAGCTCCCCAGCCTCTCTCTTTCCTCTCTGGCCCATCCATCTCTGGCCCATTCCCCTTCTCCCTGCTGACGTCATCCACTCCCTCCAAGCCTATCTCCACAGGCGGAGCTCTCCACAGACGCAGACCTGCCTGTGACACTTCCACCAGATGCCCTGTGGTTTTCCACTCCACAGGCCCAGAAAGGACTCAGCATCCCTTCCCCAAACCAGCATCTGCTCCTGGTCTGCATCTCTCCTGGGCACCTTGCCTGTGCCCAGTCACCACAGCTCTCAAACCCAGGCTCATGCTTCTCGATCTAGAGTTACTATGAACCAAGGTAACATACATAAATATAAATCACCTAGCACAGTGCTCAGCCTTTGCCAAACAAATGCTCATTCATCTCTCCTTTCCCCATGTCTGCAGCCCTGTTCTCCATCATGTGTTTTATCCTCTAGAGACCAATCTGATTTCTGGAGTCACCATTTGCCAAAAACACCCTGCAATTTTCTGTTTCTAATAATCCAGCTGCAGAGGTAAAAGTGTCTTTTTTTTTTTTATCTTAAACCAAGTTGATATTGTATAAAATTATCTGGTTGTTTTGATTTATCTAAAATATTTAGACTAAGAGGATACCTGAATTTTTTTAAATAATTATAATGTTTTTAAAAGCTTGTCTCAGGAAGTTTTTATAAAACAAAGTAGAAAGAACTCATTCCAGCCAGGCATTAGCCTTCCTTCTCACTCTGCGTTTGGAAGGATTTGCAATTCAAATTGAGGATAAACTATTTTCACTTAGAAAAACACATTCCCTCTAGCAAAGAAACTCTTTTGAATAAATCTCTGCAAAAGAGCCATATCTTTATGCTTCATATGTGCAACATTTAACGAGAAAATTCTATTAATCTTTTTCTTCTCTTACTCTTTCCCATCATCGTAATGATTTTCCTTAATGATGGAAATTTAGAACTGCCCAATCCACAATCACACACATACCTCCTTTGTCTTTTCAGATTTCTTCCCAACAAAACCCCACAGACGATGGAGATCAGATTTAGTTTAAATTATTTTAGCTGACATCAGCTTCAGGCCAGATCCTTGGTGTCAAAATGGAACGGAAAATTGAAATAAAACCCATAACTATAGTTGAATTATCTTGATAATTGTCTAAATTTCTGTATCCCCTAAGAGAACTACTTTCAGATCAATGCAGAAGAAAAAAGCATATTGATGTGTTAATAAGTAAAAGGAACAAATGGCCCTGGGGAGTCCGGCGTGTGGGCTCTGGAAATAGACTTTCTGATTTGAACCTCAACTGTGTCCCTTACCAGCTGAGGGACCCTGGGTGAGTTGCTGATATCTCTGAGTTTTAGTTTTCTCATTTGGAGTTGTTGCGAAGATTAAATGAATTAATTCATACAAAGTGGTAAGGACAGTTCCTGGCACATACTAAGTGCTCAGTGAAAATAGGAGTCATAGGCCAGCACAGTGATTCACACCTGTAAATCCAGTACTTTGGGAGGCTGAGGTGGGTGGATCACTTGAGGTTAGGAGTTTGAGACCAGCCTGGCCAACATGGTGAAACACTGTCTCTACTACAAATACAAAAATTAGCCAGGCATGGTGGTATGTGCCGTGCCTGTAGTCCCAGCTACTAGGGAGGCTGAGGTGGGAGAATTACTTGAACCTGGGAGGTGGAAGCTGTAGTGAGCCGAGATCGCAGCACTGTACTCCAGCCTGGGCGACAGAGTGAGAATCCATCGGGAAGGGGTGGGAAGGGCAGAAGAATCATTATCTGTGCCAGTTCCAAATTCTATAAACCTAGTACATACAGTACAGTGTAATCATTAGAACCTTTTACTCAGATGGCCTTGGTTCAAACCCTGGCTCTACCACTTACTAGCTGTGCGACTCTGGGCAAGTTACCCAACAGTGGCTCCATTAGCACAAGGGATGTTAAACATTGTGTCTGCATCATGGATATTGTCATGCGTATGAAATGAAATGGTGTGAAATACTTGGCATTTATAATAAATGCTCAATGAATTTTGGCTGTTAGTTTTCCTTGCATGCTACAAAAATAAGGCTGATTAACTCAGAACTGTTTCCCTAAACGCCTGGGGGTTTTCAAAAGGGTAGAGCTATAAGATTTTGCTACCTTAATTGTTGATTAGGGGCCAAATATCATTACAATACACCTCCTATTTAGGGCAGCGGTTGGGGCTACAAGCCCTCATAGGTGGGCAGCAAGGCCCCTTAGACAAAAAGAAGTCGGACATTCCCTCTCCTTCAACTGGCAGCCCAGTCATGGGCACGTGGCCTGCGCTCAGCCAATCAAAAGTTGCAAAGGTTGTCCTTTTGCAACTGGCAAGAGACTATGCTTCTGAAAGTAGGGAGAAGGAAGGTTGGAGGTGATGGGTGGAGACAGGAAAGATGGGTTGAAAGGGAAGACTGACAGCTGATCTCTAGAGTCTTGCCCGCTCCCACCACCGCACCTCCACTTTTTCTCTCTCCTAAAACTCTGAATTACAAAATCAACACATTCTTTACAACAGAAGAAACATCCATAAATGTATTCAGAAAGTGTGAATGATCACCTTGCGAAGTATCCGCCTCTATTCTCCCCCAATTAGCCACGTCCCTCTGCAGCTTATGCTGTGTGACAGCGTGTCATAGCCATCCCTCAAGGTCAACGGATGTCTACTGTATGCACTCCACTATGGCGCCATCATTTTCCATAATATAAATGCACCAGTGTTTTTTCAAGCACTCCTCTTTGGACCGGCACCTTTTTAGATATCCATTCCCATTTTAAACGCGCATCCTCAGTGACCCAGCAACCTCGCTTTCAGGAACCAAACCCCAGAAATAAAGCACTAGTGTATACATAAAGCTGTGCATGCAGGATACTTAGTACACGTTGCCTGGATTGTCAGGAACTGGAAATAACCTAAATGCCCAGCCATCTCCCCTTATCTGTGTTGTTTATGGCATTTTGTTTCAGGAGGGGGAAAGTTTCAACCGTAAAAAGTATTTTATGAAAACCACAACTCAAACCCAGGTGAGAGTTGGTACTTTTAGTTTCCTTCCAGCAATTACATTTTAGCTGACTTTCCCCTGGGGGGTTATGGGGAGGCAGGAACCAAAAATACAATGTGTATGTCAAGGTCCGATTACCATAGCACAAGAGGATCATTGTTAGGTCCATTTTACCCACAGAGACAGCAAATCAGAATCCTCAGAGAGTCCAAGTTGAGGTTTTGTTTCCATCCGGAGAGTCTCAAACCTTAGTGTTCATACAGTTCACCTGGGGCTCTTGTTAAACTGCAGATTGATTCATTAGGTCTGGGGTGGGGCCTGAGATGTTTCAGCTCCAATAAGCAAACAGGTGATACAGATGCTGCTGACCCATGGACCACACTTTGAATTGTAAGGATCAGATCAATTCACATCTACTGTCTGAACTGAATCCCAGGACTATCCAAGTTTTAGCACTGAAAGTCCCGAGTCCCAAGAAACCCTTGAGTCCCAGGCAAATCAGAACAGTTTGTCACCCTAGGGGTTGTATTAGCTCAAGTTCAGATGACTCAGAGGCCTGAAAACATAAATGAATGAAGTTGGCTGGTTGAAAACTTTGGCAAACAGAAGAACTTCAACTGCTCACTCAGGCTCTACCCGAGAGTCTCCAACTTGCAACTTTGTCCTAGATGACCCCATAGAGTACATCCAGCTGAGAAATTCTGTAACATGTTTTTTTCTGACGATAACTGTAAGTGTCTATGGATGAGAAGTCACAATGAAAATAGTAGAAATCAAGGACTACTCAGAAACAAGATGAAAATGACTTAAAGAGAAGTCAGGGGAAGAGTCTATACAACCAGTGAAAAACTCATTATGGGCCAGGCACTGTGGCTCAGGCCTTTAATCCCAGCACTTTGGGAGGCCAAGGTGGGTGGATCACCTGAGGTCAGGAGTTCAAGACCAGACTGGCCAACATGGCAAAACCCCATCTCTACTAAAAAATACAAAAATTAGCCAGGCATGGTGGCCCATGCCTATAATCCCTGCTACTTAGGAGGCTGAGGCAGGGAGAATTGCTCGAACCTGGGAGGCGGAGGTTGCAGTAAGCCGATATCACACCACTGCACTCCAGCCTGCGCGACAGAGGGAGACTCCATCTCAAAAACAAAACAAAACAAAACCAAAAAACCTCACTATGGGCCAGGCACAGTGGCTCACTTTTATAATCCCAACACTTTGCAAGGCAAAGACAGCAGCATTGCTTGAGCCCAGGAGTTTAAGACCAGCCTGGGCAACATAGGGACATTCTGTCTCTACCTTTTTTTTTTTTTTTTAATTAGCCAGGCATGGTGGCACATACCTGTGGCCCTGAGCTGCTCAGGAGGCCAAGGTGAGAGGACTGGTTGGGACCAGGAGATCGAGGCTGCAGTAAGCCTTGATCTCGCCACTGTACTCCAGCCTACGCGACAGAGCAAGAACCTGTCTCAAAACAAAAACAAAACAAAACAAAACTCACTATGACAGCCAGCCTTCAAGATAACTCCCAGTGATTCTCGCCCCCTGGCATTCATGCCCTGTGTGCTTCTCTCCTACACTGGATACAGCTAACCTGTGTAATCAATATAATATTGTAGACATGAAGAAGTGTGACTTCCAAGGCTAAGTCATAAAAGGCATTGAGGGCTTGATCTTGCTGTTTTGTTTGTTTGTTTGTTTGATCACTTGCTCTGGGGAAAGCCAAGTGCCATGCCATGAGGATACCCCAGCAGCCCTATGGAGAGAATCACAAAGCAAGGTACTGAGGCCTCCCGCTAACAGCTATATGAAGGAGCCATCTTGGAAACAGACCCTCCAGCCTCAGTCAAGACTTCAGATGACTGCAACCTGGCCCACATCTTAGCTGCAACTTTATGAGAGACTCTGAAACAGACCCACTCAGCTAAGCCACTTTTGATCAAGCACTCTAAAAATTCTCCAAAGATCGAAGACCCAAGAAGTTGCAAACTGGACACCAGCAGGGCCACAAACAAGTTTTATTTTGCCTGCACAGTTTTTAAAAAGGTAATTAGCCACCAACATCTAAAAAACAGGATATTCCCATTACACATTCCTTATGTAAACCTGGATTTCTAGCACTTCCTGAAACACCGAAAGAGTTTCAAACCGAGTTCTTCATTCCTGTAGGTCAAGAGTAGGTCAGCACTGAGCAGCAACTGCCCACTTTAGAGGGAACCTGTGGTCCCCACATCAGCAGCACGCCCACCATATCCTACTGTCTCTCCACCTGGCTAACATTACTTGTTAATATTATCTGCCAGCCCTCCTAAGTCTGTGATCCTTGACTCACGGATGAGAAGCCTTTACACCAATGGTACTCAAAGTATGGTCCCCGGACCAACAGCATCAGCATTACCTGGGAACTTGGTAGAAATGCAAATTCTTGGGTCAACCCAGAAACTCTGGAGTGGGCAATCATCTTTGTTTAAGCCAGCCCTCTGGATGATTCTGATGCCTCATAAAGTCTAAGAACCCCTGTTTCTCATAAGTAAGTGCTTTTGCCTTTAAAACCCATTTTCTGCTGTTTAGTAGAAGGGGCTCAAACGATCTGAAAGTCCAGCTCTACCAACGTGAAGACCTCAGCCCCCACATCCACCATAAATGCCAGCAATCTGTACCTTCCGCCAGGTTTTGTGTCAAATTCTCTGAGGCCACAAAATTCCAAGTTCTCAAAACACCTCCCAGAGTCCACACACTCTCAGCAGTATCATGACAAATAAGAACTATTTGGTCTCAAATAGTCTGCTAACCTGCATTTTTTTCCCTGACACGTATATAAGTAAACAATACAGTTGATTTTTTTTTTTTTTTAACTGAGAGCAGGGTCAAGTCCTACAGTGTGCTGGGCACATTCTCTGTTGTAACCTAAAATTTCTTTCAACCTCGGGTTTCTCAGGTGTAAACTGAGGGGCCAGATGACCTGTCCTCCTTTACGGCCCTAAAAGTCTGTGACTACCTGACATTAAATGAACTTTCAATTTTGGAATACTGAATGCCCCCATCTATCATTAAGTGATTGTTGTGTTGGACAATATGGCTGTACTTAACGAACCAGTCAATGAATTGATTTGGCTGTACTTAACAAATTTGTTTTGTCACATGTCTATTATAAGCAAAGCACCTGGTCCTCTTTTCACAATGCATTTAAGTGAACCCATTAGTGACTTCAGATAAAAATCTTGAAGCAGGGCCCGGCGCTGTGGCTCACGCCTGTAATCCCAGCACTCTGGGAGGCCGAGGCGGGTGGATCACGATGTCAAGAGATTGAGACCATCCTTCTTAACATGGCGAAATCCCATCTCTACTAAAAATACAAAAATTAGCTGGGCGTGGTGGAGCGTCCCTGTAGTCCCAGCTACTGGGGAGGTTGAGGCAGGAGAATCGCTTGAACCTGGGAGGTGGAGGTTGCTGTGAGCTGAGATCGTGCCACTGCACTCCAGCCTGGCGACAGAGTGAGACTCCATCTCAAAAAAAACAAAACAAAACAAACAAACAAAAATCCTGAAGCATCTACCATCCTAAAGGCGTGAACAGGTTTCTAACTCCTCAACGTACCAGGGAGGGCTCAGCAGCAGTGAGAAATCTTACAGTGTGGGGCAGCTTCTGTGCTGAGGGTGCGTGGTTATGAATATTGCAACATGATATGTCTCACCCAGAAAACCCACCATGCAGTCCCAGGCTGAATCTTCATCCCTGTCTCAGGGTTCTAACTCGAGTTGACTCTACTTCAAAGGAAGGAAAGCTTGTTTGGTCAAATACCCGTGGAGCGTCGGTTTCAGGAATGTGACATGCTGTTAAACCACAGCCGTGTATGCTTGCGGCCGCTGAGATTTTTCAAGGATGAAAGTTTCACTTTTCAAAGAAAAACATGGCACCATGTAAGCTGGAGAAACATAAGGTAAATGGTGTCAATTGGCCCCAAGAAGTATTTCTTCCAGAGAACACCTACTACATGTACATTCCAGGGGAGGCTGGAGAGGTATGTGAAAATGGACTAAATGTATAAGATTAGAACAATGAGACACAGTTCCTGCCTCCCAGCACATTTCAGGAGGTGGAGACAAAGGACAGCTGGGATGGGTAGAGGACAATGTCAGTGCATGGGATTATGGGGACCCGGGGAGGACTGGGGAAGGAAGCAGGATGTGACCCCAGAGGCCAGGTCAAGCGAATGGTCAGCATGGGCAGGTTGGGGGAACTAGGGGTGGTTGGAGCAGACACAGGACCTGGAGCAGGAAACACCAAGTCACAGGGCAGGGGAGAGGTCCCTGGGCAGTCAACACAGGGCACTTGGTGCCTTTCTGAGGTCACATATCTGGGCTCCCACTTCCACATCTGCCTCTGAGGTTTGGGAGAATGATCACCAAAGACTGCTGAATGCCTCTGGAATAGGACGTGGGGATGTCCCATCTCCACAGCCCCAGGCATTTCAAAGTGGGTATCTGAGGAACTGAATTAATACAGAATCACATTTCGGAGATTCACAACTGTTTAATTTTGGAAGGGGGATGGGGGGTCATCTAACCCAAGCTCACCCTCCATGTCTTGATCTCTGTGGCGGCTTAGGTATCCAGCTTTGTATTTGGCTGCCTCTGTTGACAGAGAGCTCACTCTCTCCCTCTCACAAGGTAGCCTGTTTCATCACCAAAGGGCTGGAGTTGTCTCAGAATGTTTTCCTTACATGGCGCCAGCATCTCTCTCCTACTTTACCCTCCTAAGAGCATGCTCTGTCCCTCAGAACGGGTCTGAACCTGTGTTTACTACAGCAGCCCTTTGACTGTCTAAAGGAGCCACCGCAACCTCCCTATACGTCCCTCGTTCCTCCCTAGGTGCTTTTGTGCGGTGGCTCCCGCACCTGGTTGCGGTCATCCGAAGGCTGATTAGTTTGCCCGCGTTCTTTGGAAACTGTGCTCCCTGCTCCCTCAAAACTGACAGCGATTTTCCAGGTAGAGTGAAAGCAACATAAGCCACACGTGGGCAGTGTGGGGGCAATGCTGGAAACCTGGGCCGCTGACCCCATAGACCACCAAGGGTTGGCGGCTGCTTCAGGAACTGAAAGACGCGCAGGTCAGCCCAGCCTGGGATGACCCCTTCCAGAGGGGCCAGGCAGCCTTGACCAGACCTGGTGCTAAGTACTTGCTAAGCCCTGGGTGGCCTGTAGCTTCTCACTGTCCGGGGTAAAAGCAAGCCCTGGGCCAGAGTCTTGTACACTGGAATTCGTGGACACTGGTGGGGAAAACCACTGGCCTCTGAGCCTGGCATAGAAGGGAGAAGCCCGCCCCCTTGTGGATCTCTGGAGAGTAACAGGGTGCAAAAAGCACTGAAACCCCAACCGGAGACAGGGAGTCTCGGGGAGCAGCCACCTCCTCTCAGCGCTCCCATTTCACCAACCACCTCTGGGGACCTGCAAGAGAATTGATCTGTGCTGGCACGGGAGTGGTAGCAGGGGACATAAAAGGAAGCTAGGAAGTTGAGACCCCTGGATTATGTCTGGCAACAGCGAGTTAGAAATCGGGCAAGTGTTATTAGCTGTTTAAAAAAAGAAAGAAAAAAAATGGCATCTGGAGGTCTTTCCTGGTTCTGCCACTCCCTGTGTGGCCCCAGGAAAACTACAGTCTGTCTCTGGGCCTCCAAGGACCTTGCTAGGTAAAGGCTCCAATCCCTCTGAATGCTGAAGCCTCAGGCTTTCACATCTCAGTCCTGACAGTGGTCTGTGGTTGGTGGCAACACAGTCCTGATTGAAGAGAACATGGGAGGCAGCAAGGGCCAAGGGCATTGCGCAAGGGGAAGCAGAGGGCACCAGCTTGGTCGCCCACCCGCAGCAGCCCTGGACAGCACAGCACCCCTATCGCTACACCATGCTGCTAGGAGCCCGAAGGGTCATTTTCCAGAGTGAGTCCAAGAGGGGTCATGTCCCCTCCTTCCACAGTTTTGGCCAAATCTACATCATTTCTCCATCACGTGGACACCAGCCCAGAGGTGACTGTGCCATAAAACATACTTGACCCAGAGAGATGTGACCCAGGCCCATTGTCCAAGACAGCAGCCTTGCTCACATGCTTCCAGACTGCCTTTCCTCTGCACAAAGCACATGATCAAAGATTGTGTTTTTAACGTATTTTCAAGATGAATTCTTTGCTACTCTGTAACTGATCAGGATAATTGGGCTAAATCTAGCCCTGGGAAATGCAAACCAGAAGCACTTTCCTCGAAGCTCCCCAGATTAAAAAATGAATGATATGTTAAGATGGCTCAGATTTCCGACTGCACTACATTCGCAGAGAAACAGAGCCACTAAGTCAGCGAAGATAGTGTTTTAAAGGCCAGCTGTCCTCCAGAAGAATGAAAAGTATTAAAACTCTTTTAGATGGGGCACAGTGGCTCATGCCTGTAATCCCAGCACTTTGGGAGGCCAAGGCGGATGAATCACTTGAGGTCAGGAGTTCGAGACCAGCCTGGCCAATGTGGTAGAACCCCATCTCTACCCAAAATACAAAAATTAGCCAGGCATGGTGCCATGCGCCTGTAGTGTCAGCTACTCAAGTGGCTGAGGCACAAGAATCACTTGAACCCGGAAGGTGGAGGTTGCAGTGAGCTGAGATTGTACCACTACACTCCAGCCTGGGCTACAGGGCAAGGCTGTTTCAAAAAAAAAAAAAAAGCTGTTTTAAAATGGCTTTGTGCCGGGTGCAGTGGCTCACGCCTGTAATCCCAGCACTCTGGGAGGCCAAGGTGGGTGGATCACCTGAGGTCAGGGGTTCAAGACCACCCTGGCCAACATGGTGGAACCCCTATCTCTACCAAAAATATAAAAATTAGCCGGGCATGGTGGTGTGCATATATAATCCCAGCTACTCGGGAGGCTGAGGCAGGTGAATCGCTTGAACCCAGGAGGCGGAGGTTGCAGTGAGCCAAGATTGTGCCACTACACTCCAGCCTGGGTGACACAGTGAGACTCTGTCTCAAAAAATAAATAAAATAAAATTTAAAAATGCCTTTGTAGAAATTATCTGAAATAATTATGCCCTCAGTCTAGCATGCTCCTAGCTGGAAATGTCCAGGAAAAATGTTAGGGGTAGAAGAGTCATCTCTGCACACTATAGTACACTAAAGCTTTGGCTGAAACTACATAGCCTGAAATGTCTCATTTTTTAACGGCATTATGAGTTATTACATAAACATCCTTTAAAATTCAGAGCAGTCCAACAATAAGAACAACCCAAGTTCTACCTAAAAAACTATAGTCAGGTAGAATATGTAACTGTAGACAGAACACTTTTCAAACACCTATTTAGACCACCTGGTTTCTGCAGTATTGCCAAATTCTAAAATTGTAATGAAAAATGTAAAGTTTGAAACCTACAAGTCATCAGAGGTTCAGTGAGCAGATTGTGCCATTCCAAAACCAAAAATGTGCTTGCATAAGCAAGTCACTGGGGCTAACCTTTCTGGATTGAGAGTCTGGCCTTCAGTTCAGACTGTGGCTATGCCAGGGTCAGAAATGTGACAAAACTGCGCTTTCACGGAGGTTAGCCAAGGTTCACAGGGTCATGACTGGGCCATTTTATCAGTCATGTCAGGCTCACACCCTATTGCCTGGGATAGATAAAAACTTTATCTGTCAGTCTGCTAAATCTGCTCCTCCTGCCTCATTTTGAATAAAGAAAACCTGGGCTCAGCTTATCTTAACCAGAGATGCGCCTTTCCTAATACTGTTTCCATATGCAACTTCTAAGTAAAGGTGACACGCCAATGATTTCTGGTCTCATTTTAGTCAAGAGCTGTCCATAACTGGAGTGACTGGCTTTGTCTTATCTAAAACCGTAACTTCAGAGAACAGTTCTGGCACTATTGGACAACACAGATTTATTATGTTTATGACATGTTAGATAAGCTGGAGAGGTTAGAGTGACAGTTCTCAGTGTTACCTTTTCAGGTTCATCTTTCCCTAAAGTACAGCAAACCAAAAAAAAATTAAATTAACTTGGATCAATTTTCCAAATAGGGAATCTAAGTGACTGTAGAAGAATTTACAGAGATACGTCTGGAATAACACACACAGACATATATTTTCTAATAACTGTTAACATAAAAAACAGCTAAGATTTCTTCTCACAGAAAACAGATGCAAAGATGACAAATAAGTCCAGGTAGGCATTGTAAAATCTGGTTAAATACACTAAGAAAATACTAAACTGGTGAGTTTTACCCAACAGGAATCTTAAAATACCAGAAAAGTACCTTCAAATTTTACTTTATTTGGAAATGATACAAATTCATTATTTTAATATTTAAAGATTGTGGTAGTATAGTCAAAACACATAAATATTATAATATACATTTAGAAATTAAATATAAAGTCAACACAACACTCCTTAAAAACTCATATGTACACTTCCAATAAGTCTCAGGTTTGAACATTCAAGCTCATCAGATTTCCCCATGGAAATGGGTGAATCTTGCAGGGAGATTGTCCACAGGATACACGGTGGGACTGGTTTTCATTGTAGGAGGTCCATTTAGAAGCTGCCAGTCACAATGCCTGGCCAGCTCCACTGTAAATATTTTGAGAAGAATTTTTGCAAATTCTTTGCCTACACAGCTCCTAAGGCCTCCTCCAAATGGAATGAAGCTGAACCTGGATGCATCCTCTGGGTGAGGCAGCATGAATCGGTCAGGATTAAATTCTTCCTTGTTGGTGAAGATCTCTGCCACATCATGAGTATCACAGATACTGTAGATAACATTCCAGCCCTTGGGAATCTGGTATCCCTGCAAAAGATTATGAAACCCCAAGGGCTGACAAACTGGAATTTAACTTTCAACAACAAAAAGCAGTCACTGATATCTTTGGGGGAAATTATGAGCTAAAAGCAAGGGAGAGGTAGAAAGAGAGAGGTGGATCCAGGTTGCTGAAACATATCTCCATATAGGGCAGAACAATTATCAAAAGCATAAGAATTGCAGCCACAGCATAGGGAAGAAAGAGGAGTTTTTAAACCACAACAAAAGGGAGAAAGAAGAGAATTTTAACTTACATTTAATTCAAAAGTCTTCAGAGCAACCCGAAACCCTCCTGGAACTGGGGGATTCAGTCGAAGGGTCTCCTTAATAACACACCCGATGTATTTAAGTTGTTCCAAAATTTCCATGTCCAACTTGTTGTCTTGATTGCTCTTGCAAAGTAAACCCTATCAAAACAGTCATACAGAGGTGAACAGTTATTTTGTGCTCCAATAAAATCAGCCCAGCAGACGTAAACAGGGCTTAAGTGGAGACTAAACCCAAAGGGCCCCATGATGGGAGAGACTGGGAGGGGGAAACAGCAGCTAATGGCCATTTGCCTGCCCAAATCCACTATCTATTTACAATCCCAGGAGAATGCTGCTCACCAGTTAGAAGGACCAAGTTTCTCCCCACGCCCCCCCACCCCACACTCACCACCACCACCCACACTAATCAGCTATTCACACTATGTATGCCCTTGGACACACCAATTCAAGAAAGTGGAACCTATCTGAGAATCTCCACGGTTCAGCAAAAGGTGGAGGAGGGGTAGGAATACAAGGTCAAACCCTGCCCAAGTGGGCTCACAGCTCAAGACTCCATCCTGTTTATTCACAAAGCTAATTCTGCCCACTGGCCCACGCAGCCCTGGGCCCTGCACTTTCAAAATACTCCATGAAGGCAGCACACTGACTTATTCGGAAGTTGGCTAGGGAGCAGCTGAATTTCCTAAGCTAATAAGGACACCCCCAGACCCAGTCTCCCTACCTTACTCTTCAGCTCTTCTCGCACTTTCTGGAGAACATGTGGGTAGAGCCCCAGGTAAGTGATCAGAGATGTGGCTGCACTGGCCGTGGTTTCGTGTCCTCCAAAGAGGAGTTCGGTTGAAGATTGCTTTAGTGCCTAAGAATAGAGTGAGACCCACATTCTCACAAGTCTGCCTGCGGTTTGACAGAAGGATTACTCAGAATCGAACTGAGAGTTCTGGAGGGAAGACTAGAAGGGCTAAATGTTTTGCTGACAGAAAGTCAAGGAAAGCAATATCTTTAAACAAAATGCAACGTCCCTTTAGTTCAGCTGGAGCAGTAAGGCGAGTACGACCCCGCTCTACCGGAAACTCCTGAGTTAAAGTCTTAGTTTTATTAAAATCGCAAGGTTCTTTATTAACATTTTTGCAAATTCCAACTTTCCCTTTGAAACCTGGAAAGGCTAGGGGATGCTCCCAGTTCCGCCGCAGCCCCTTCCGCAGCTCTCCTGACCGGGTGTCTCAGCCTTCCTTCGGGATTCCATAGCTGTAGTCTGAGCCGGCCGCCCACTCCAGAAAGCTGGGCCCCAGGCGCGCGCTTTGGGGGCCCCAGGAACAGCGCTTGGAAAGCCAGGGGACCAAACTCCGCAGTGCCTGGTCTGAAGCTGCTACTCACCTGCATGTCCAGCCGCTCTCCCCTCTCCCACGAGTGCTCGATCAACAGCTGCAGCGCGTCTTTGCAGCCCTGGCCCGCCTCGGATGCCCGCAGCCCGCAGATCTTGGCGCGAATGTTCTGCTCGATGCGCGCGTGAATGAGGTTCCGCGCCTTCATGCCCTGAGCGCAGAGAGCGCGCGGCGGTGAGCAGACGCCCAGGTCCCGCGCCCCTAGTCCGCAGCCCGTTTGCCGCCCTTACCCGGTACAGCCCGCTGAAGGGCACGTCGATGGGCAGCGAGAAGAGATTGCGGGTCATTTCCTCGAAGGCCTCCACAAGCTGCTGCTCGGAGTCCCCGTCGCCCGCCAGTTGGGGTTCGCAGCCCAGTAGGATGCGCATGGCGATTCGGAACATGAGGCGCTTCACCTCGGGGTAGACCAGGAGGCCGCGCTCGCCGCAGCTCAGCCACTGCTCCAGGCTGCTGCCCACTTCCTCGGTGATCACCGGCACGTAGCATTCGAGTGCCTCGCGGCTGAAGGCCCGCATAATCACCTGAGTCCCGAGGAGGGGACAGCGTTAAAAGCCTCCATCCGCCCCTCTCGTCTACCGCCGTCCCCTTCCAGACACCCCCAGTCCTGCCAGACACATGGCACTCTCCGAGCTGGGAAAGCTAACCTGGAGCTGGCAGAGGGTCCTAGCCCACCTCAAGCTGCTAGCCCGCGCCTAGCATCCATCAGCCGGAATTCCGCTCATAAATGGGGTCCCCCTCCCTGTCCAGCCGTCGCCTCCTGCCCCCACCTTCTTGCGCTGCTTGTGCGAGGAGTCGTGCAGGTTAGAGAGGCAGCCAGATCCCAGAATGGTGCGCACCGACGCTGGCCAGTGGACCGACACCAGCCGGTGCTCTCCGAGCAAGATGCGCCGCACATTGTCCGCGCCCATCACCCGTACGGTGGGCCGCCCGAACAGATGCGTCTTGTAGATGAAGCCGTATTTCCTGCGCTTCATCTGCAGGAACTTCCTCCGCTGTGGGAGGAAGGCGGAGGAGAGAAGTGGGCATGAGGGGGCGCCGGGGAGCGCCGCGCTCCCGCCAGCCCTGCTCCTAGCCGCAATAGCATGCCTCCCGGGGGCGCCTACCCCGACTTCAGCAGAAGCCCAGAGCCGCGCCGGGCTCCGGGGAAGCAGCCTGTCCCGCCCCACCCTCCCTTACCTGCAGTACCATCTGCAAGGTTTCCCCAAAGAAGGGGAAGCCCATAGTCCCGGGGGGCAATGGGAGGGCACAACTGCGGTCGCGGCCGCTCACGCAGTACAGGTCCCAGAGCTTGATCGCAGCCAGGAAGAGCAGCAGCGGCAGCACGAAGGTGCAGAGCGCACTGGCCAGCAGCGCCGGGAGCCCCATGGCGCGCCGCGACCTCCCGCGCCACCTGCCGCCGCCGCCAGCGCTTCAAACCCCACGGCGCTGCCGCTTTATAGGCGGCCCAGGTTGCTGCCCACGTTACCTTGGTCAGACAATTAGTTCACCCAAAGTTCATCTTTAATTGCGGATTGGGCCCCTGGCTCCTCCCCCCGCGAGGCGCTGCCCAAAATCTTTAACCGTTTGTTCCGCGCCGAGGCAGAGGCGGCGCGGTGGCGGCTTCCCTCCGAGCGCGCCTCCTGGGGTGCGGGGCTAGGAGCTGCCCGCCTCCCCCATCCAAGGTGTGCTGAGCTCCGAGGCGGCGGTGGGGGAGGGCCAGGACTCCGAGGAGCCGGAATTCCAAGCTCTAGCCTTCCCGGCGGTCTCTTTGGAATCCCTCCCGCCCGGTCCCACCCGCTGCCCCGGCCCAAAGCAGCCTTCACTGGCTTTCCATTTCCAGGTGCCGGGTGGGCTCTCTTCCACGTGATGAGGAAGCAAGGGAAAGTCCTTTCAGGAATCGTCCAGCTGCCTCCTCCCACGTGTGGGGAAACTGAGGTCCAAGAGAGATGCATAAAGCAGGCCTCCAGACGTCTCCGAAGGATCGCGCAGAAGAACTCAGGGCCAGAGTCCAAGAGAGAGCCTCGGGGCATCGGGCGCAATAGGCAGATCTGGGATCCCCAGCTCCCCAACCCCTGCAAGGGGGCCAGGACTCATGAAGTCTTAGAAGGTCCTACTTCAGGATACAAGAAGGCCTCCAGGTCCCTCAGGTCCCCAGGTGCTACCCTGCACAAGCCTGATCCCCGACCCTGGGGCACTTCGTCTGGGGCTCGGCAGTCGGTGCCCGTCTCTGAGATCCAAGCACAGCTCGCCTATTCGGAGGGCCCTGCTGCTTGGCGCCCCAGCTGGACAGCAGGGAAGGGGGTCCTTAGCCCTGGCAGGATAAAGAGACGGTATAAGAGGAAGGGGAGCCCAGGAGTCCTGGCTCCGAGGCCCGGCTCCATCTGTACTGCGTGTGACCTTGGGCAAGTCACCACACATCACTGTGCCTGTTTCCTCCTCCTTAACCGGGAGGCGATCATTCCCGACCTGTCTAAGCCTCAGGGTAGTGAGTTCCCAAAAGGGGGCTCCGGTTGCAACTACTCTTCCCAGCTCCAGGCACGGTAGACTGCGTTACCTGGGTGTCCGGTACACCGGGCACTGGAGTCCTCCTCCTCTCTCCCAAGTCCCACCCAGAGTAAAGCCACTGTCCTCATCCAGGTGAGGGGGTGCTCGGCCCTAAACTCAGGGCTCTACCGACCCCTAATGGGAGGGGTGAAGGGATCCGTACTGGGAAGTCTTCTGTACTTTGCCCATCTACAATCAGCTGCTACTGAGCTGCCAATGCCCGGAGCTCAGACGCTGCGGGACGCGCACCTGCTCTCTCTGCTCTCCACCTGCCGGAGCTTCCCGGCTCGGGACCAGTCAGGGTCACACGCTACCTGGGTTTGGGCGCTGAACGCACCTGCGGCGCCGAAAATGAAACAGAATGACCTGCATTTGTTTAAAACTGAACACTGTCTCTGGCAGAAGCACGCCGCACGCCTTGGAAGGCGTCCCTTGGAGGTGGAAAACTCTGCTCCTGAGAGTTTAAATGCGTTGCCCTTCTCGCGGTAGTCCCCAAACCCGGAGGTATCAGGAAATATCTGCAGAGGTCGGAGGGACCCGCACAATCCTAGCGACTCTCCAAGCCAGAGTCGCCGCCACAGGGAGTGTTTCGGGGGGTCAGCGTTTCCCCATAACCTGCCCAGTGTTTCAGAGGCTCTGGGCAGGGTTTCAGTCTCCGGCAAACGATTTGGTGGCTGTAAACACGGCGAACCAACCTCTGGCCACTGCAGGAAGCCAGGCCAATCGCGCTGGAGGTAATTCTCAGAAATCCCGGGTCCGCCCCTTTCTGGACAGCGCCTCCGGCCGGTGTGCAAAGCCGACGAATGGGGACGTGACCTGGGGCCCATTCCCAATCCTCGGGCCTGACCCGCCTGTGACCCCTGCAGGCCGGACCGTGACATCCGAGTGAACTCTGCGGGGCCACCTCGCCAAGTTCAGCTCAAGCCGGGTCACAAGATGAGCGGGGCCTGCACGCTGGAAATTGCCGCAGGGAAAAAAACGTTTTAATCTATCTGTACATCGAGGCCGGCGGGGGCGTCCGGCAGGAAAGGATTAAATGTGAGAGTGAACGATCATTAAAGAACATCTTGTAGGGGGGCAGGGCGGGGGGTGGGGGGTCAATAAATTACCAGGCCAATAGGAACTTTGATCTAGGAATCTCGCCAAGCTTTCGTGGGTGGTGGTGGGCGGGGAGGGGGGTGGGTTCACTGAAAAACAACTCGTTTCCAAGATGTTTACAAAACAGCCTCCCTATTGCTAAGAGGCGGGGATGGGGAGTCGGGTTTTTTGTTTTTTTGTTTTTTTGTTTTTTTTGCTGGTGGGGTGGGGTGAGGGTACAGGGACTAGACTGGAGTCACAGCAAAGGAGTCCACCTCCGCTTTTCTCCTTTCAGCCCCCGGTCTCATTTCTGAACGTGCGTTCCTGTCTCACAGTTCTATACCTGCTGTTCCCTCTGCATGTGGCACCCCTCCCCCAGGCCACCGCTGGCTGGTTCCTTCCAAAGTCAAATGTCACCTCCTCCAAGGTTCCCCCCACCCATCCAGCCTAATTTAGCCCCAGACACTATCACAGGCCTGTTTTATTTCCATGACGGCGATTATCACCACTGGACATATTCTTACCCTTTTGTTTGCTAGTTTATTTCTTGTCTGCCTCCCTCCAGAGCATATCAAGTGCAGGAGGGAAGGAACCTCCTCTGCTCCTTCCCCAGAGAATCTGCAGCTACTAAAACAGGAGCTAAGATATCCCTCAAAATTACTGAGCATGATGTATCCATGGAAAATTAAAACTGGAGCCATCCCTACAGAGGCTTATAGTTAGTCCAGACCCCAATGCAGGTCAACCAGGTCTTCTTGGAACCAGCTCAACTAGCCTTGCTTCTGAGGGTCCCCACCCCATTCTTCTCTCCTCTCTCTAAATCACAATCAACCCTGAAGCCTGCATCCTTCTCCTCGCCCAAACCCACGCTTCTCAGGCCAGGCTGTCCTCTGCATTTGCAAGAGCACTCTTAGGGCGGGCCCACGTCCTGCCACCTTTGCTGCCCCTGGTGTCTCCCAAGCTCAGGGCCTGGCACCAGGCCCTTGGCTGACAATGGGTGATGAATTGCCCTGTGTGGGGGTTATGGCAGTGTCAGCCCAGGTTGGAAGGGCTTGCTGTACTGTGGAGCTACCAACCCTGTAAGTGCCTGCTGTGTCCCCCTTCCTTCTGGCCCTGGGATCCACCTTAAGCATGAGGTCAGGAGGGCACTGGCTTTCTTCTGGTTCACTAAGGGGTCAGCTCAGGCCTAGGCAGCTACTTCCCTGGCTCACCCCTTATGTCCAGCTGCCCCGGTCTGTTGGAAGCTGGGTGGCAGATTGAAGTGGGCTGTTGGGAATGATGACATGGAGGCTTTTGGCTTTGATTTAAACACTGGTTGGAACCTCTGTACCGGAATGGTTGAGAGAGTCCTCAAGTCTAGCTAGGGCTTATCATGAAAAGGAGGCCAAAGTGTTCAGCCCTACCTGATGGCCACAGGAACAGAGGTTGGGGCAGAAGAGTGAAGGGATGGGGGTGGAGGAGAGCACTGGCTGGGGAGTCCAGGAGCCTATTGCTGGGCTTCTCAGGTGAGTCATTCACCTAGATTGCTCCTCAATTTCTTCTCTGTGATAGAGAGGATGGTGAAGCCGTAAAACCAGAAGGCCCTGAAATGGCAGGGAGGGGTGAGGGCGCAGGGACTAGACTGGAGTCACTGGAAAGGAGTGACTCCAGGGTGTGGTGGGTCACACCTCTAACCCCAGCACTTTGGGAAGCCAAGGCAGATGGTTCGCTTAAGCCCAAGAGTTTGAGACCAGCCTGGGTGACATGGTGAAACCCCCCGTCTCTATTAAAAATAGAAAAAAAAATAGCTAGGCGTTGTGGCACGTGCCTGTAGTCCCAGCTACTTGGGAGGCTGAGATGGGAGGATGGCTTGAGCACGAGAGGCAGAGGTGGCAGTGAGCTGGTTGTGCCACTACACTCCAGCCTGGGCCACAGAGGAAGACCCTGTCTCAAAAAAATAAAAATAAAAATAAGGTCCCTGAAACCTGGAGACAATTCACAGCCCAGCTTCTGGGGTTATACTCAGAGAGAAGTCTGGGCAGCCCAGGCCCTAGGCTGCCCAGCTCCCAGCTCCTCTCTGGGTGTACTGTGGGGTGGGTCCTTCCCTGGCCTCCCCAACCCTGCACCCCAGTGCCTTCCCCCCAGGGAGCAGCTGCCCAGATAAACCCTAGCCTCCTCACTCAACCGCTCCCAAGACACTTTATTTCTTGGCCTTCCTATTTTTGGTACAAATATCTCAAACCTCTCTAATTATGTCTCAACCTCCCATGAAAATAATCCAGCGTTGGAGACGTGTTGGTGTGCCTATTCTCCTCTGTATACATGACAAGAGTAAATGCCTTCTTAAGGTAGGAATTTTTCCTTTTAAGAAGTGGCCAGCAGAATCCGGTGACCTTGAGCCCTTTCGAGCCTGGAAGTGCCCACAGTTGCTAGTTTCCGCCGAGACCGGCAGAGTGGCCAAGGCGCACGAAGCCAGACGCCAGCTGCCAGAGGGCCTTCCGTCAGGCATCCTCTGCGTGTTTTTTCTATGGCCCAAAGCCAGGCCAGGGTTGCGCCCACGGCGTGCCCGCTTCCTTACAAGGGTTGCAGGTCCCACCGCGTGCGTCGGGTCTCTGCAATGTCCCCGAGTTGCAATATTCCCACTCCCCTGCCACCCCTACCTCGCCTTCCCCCATCCATGCACCCTCCCTGGATTGGCTCGGGAAGGGGAAGCCAAGCAGCACCTCGTGGGGATCTATCTATTCCCTCCATTCCTGCTTGGCCCACGACATTTTCCTTCCTCTGGGCGCGGAGCGCAGAAGGCATCTTCCCATGGGCTTAGATGCTTCTCTGGCGCGGCAGCGGTGGCTCGCCCTCCTCCTTCCTCGAGTCCGGCACACATCCGCGTTTGGCGAACATTTGTTGAAAGATTGTTGAACGAGTGAAAGAGTGGGCGCGCGACGCTACAATGGGGAGCGGCAGATGGGTGGCGCTGCGTGCGCGCCATAGCCACCGGCCAAGCCGTGTCCTAGAGCGCAAGCATGTCAGAGGCATAGCCCATTCCCCGCAACCGAAGGCGTGAGGGGGTGGAAAAAGAGCCGCAGCCCGTCCACTGGGTGCACGATGGGCACCGTCTGCATGGCGGGGAAGGCGGGTGTGGCCAGTTCCCAGCGCGCGGTGCGCACTAGCTCCACAGCTAGCAGCTGGAGCACGGCTTGCGCCAGCTCCTGGCCGAGGCAGCTGCGCGCACCGCCGCCGAACGGGATGTAATGGAAGCGGCTGGAGGCGCCCCGGGAATCTTCGCGCGCTGCGCCGAAGCGCTCTGGATCGAAGCCTTCGGGAGGGCTGCGGTACACCGCAGCCGTCTCGTGCGTGTCCCGGATGCTATACATCACGCTCCAGCCCTTGGGGATCTGGTAGCCCTGCAGAGAGGCGAGGAGATCAGCCTGACCACGAGGCACCTGGAAACGGGGGGGCCCTGAACTGACCCTCCACCCTGGTGCTTCCATCAGGCTTCCGAAAACCAGGAGGAATCCGCGATTAACCCGGAAACCAGGAGAAAGCTCTGTGTTCCAATCTCAACTCCTTCACTGGTGAAATGTATGACCTTGGGCTAGATGCGCAGCCTCTCTGAGCTTCAGTTTCCTCTTTGAAAAAATGAGGGGAAAAATGGCCCCTTTGTTGGTGAGGATTCAAATTAAGGACTTGGCACATATGAGTGTTCAGTAAACGGTAACTATTAGTTATGTTCCCGTTTGGTTTTGTCTTTTTTTCTTCTGACCTTAGATGAGGAGACCTAAATTCTAGTGCTACACCTCCCAGCTGCTAGAGTGGGAAAAATGCACATGACAATTCCTCGAGGTCAGTTCCATGGTAGAGCTCTTCTTTGCATTGAACTGAAAACTTGCCATCCTTCCCATCCATCAGCTGGACGATAATGTTCAGATTTGGTACCACACTTTAAGAAGGCGCACATGAGAATCAAACTGGCCATCCTTAAAATGCTGAAAGGCAGTTTTCATGTTCCCTCTGCCCACCCCTAGCTTTTTCAACCATTTGGCTTTTTGATACGTCTTCCAACCCCCTGACTACACTGCTACCCTCATATCAAGTTCCAGGGTGAATACTCAAAGTTTCTAACTGGAGAACAGAACATCTTGGAATCATCCCAGGAGCTCTCTTTCCTCTCTAGACATCAGTGTTCTCATCTGTGAACTGGAGGTGGCTAAGACCCTTTCCTGTCCTCTGCTCACCACCCTGGTTCTGTGCTTCCCTAAGGTCTTGTAGGGCACTCCAGCGCCTGCAGAATGAAGCTTGCATTCCAAGACTGATTCCGCATTCAAGACACTTCTCAACATCCACCTTTGTCTGAGTCTGCTCTCTCTGTAATAGGCTCTCCCGTCCAAACCTTTCACTGCTCCAGTTCAAACTCCAGCTCTCAGAATGTGTTGGTGTCATCCAGCACTAGAGATCACTCTCTTCACACTACAAGTGGGATGAGGCTGTCACACTACAAGTGGGATGAGGCTGTCAGTCCCGGCCCCCTTCCTCTCCAAGTGGAGCCCCTCCAGGGTAGAATCCCAGTCCCTTTGATGCCTCCTGAACCCTGGCACGCAATGTGCCACAAATGTTCACTGTGGAATGCCCATTTTTATCTGGAGCCACCCAGCCACCAAGCATGGTGCTCAGGGGACTGCAACGACAGCCTTTCAGGCAAACACCCACAGTTTGGCACAGCCAGAGCACCACTGCCTGAGGCCACCACTGTACCCCCACAGCCCGGACCCACCTGGATGGAGTGTCAGAGCTGGAAAGGACCAAGACAGCTTCCTTGCAGAGAGTAAACTGAGGCCCAGAGTGAAGAGGGAACTGCCCAAGGTCATACGGAGATGGAGTCAGTTCTAGACCTCAACCTTGCTCAGCCCAAACCGGCCTGATCAGAGATGAAGCGTCTACCCGGTATTTTAATCCCCCCCTCCCCTGGAATCTGGCCCCAGCCAGAACCCTGGACCGGTCGCAATGAGGGGTTCCTTCATCTTGTGAGGGAGCCAGAGGGGTGGAGCACAGGACATACTGAGGGGTTCTCTTTGTTCTCCATCCACACTCACTGGCTGGGAGGGGGTGCTGCACGGATAGAAGAGTATTTTTATTCTAAAACTCCGCTCTCATTGAATTGACCGTTCCGAACCGCTGCCAAAAGCTGAAGGGTACGAGATCCCTAACCTTGCAGTCTCGCCAGGCTTTGCGTCCCTCAGCGGGGGATCCGGGGAGGTGGAACAAGGCTCAGCCCATTTTATAGGACGGAAGGCTGAGGCTCTGAGGGCAAAAGAGGTGACCGCGCCGTCCGAATCCCTCCGCCCTCCTCCCACCTGGGCGCCGCCGCGGCAGGCGGCAGGCGGCAGGCGGCAGGCGGCAGGAGGCAGGAGGCTGGCCATGGGCTGGCACGGCGCACTTACGTCGAGCTCGAAGGTGCGCAGGGCGGTGCGGTAGCCCCCGGACACTGGCGGCAGGAGGCGCAGCACCTCCTTGACCACGCAGTCGACGTAGCGCAGACGGCCCAGCGCCGCGAGGCTGAGGTCGGGCTCGCAGCCGCAGTCGGGCGGGGGCCCCTCGCTGCCCCCAGCGGCCCCGGGCGCGCAGCCGCACGCGCGCCCCAGCCCCTGCGCCACCAGCTCCTCCCGAATCTTGGCGATGGCCGCCGGATGCTGCAGTAGCAGCAGGACGAGCGAGGTGCTGGCACTGGCCGTGGTGAAGAAGGCGGCGAAGAGGAGCTCCACAGCCGACTCCTGCAAGACAGCCCCGGGCTGCACTGAGTCTCGGGCGGTGGAGTCGCCCGGGGCGCTGACCCGACGGCCCCGTGGAGATGAAAAGCACCCAAATTTACTATTGCGAAAAGCCAGGGGGCAGGGAAGTGCTATTACCGCCGCGACTGTGTGTACGGTTTTGAAGTCGATTAAATCTCAAGTCCACCATTTGGGAAAGTCAGCTGTAGCAACAGGCAACATTAGGATCTATCCACCCGCCTTGCGATGGTTCCCAGAGAGAATGCGGGAACTTACTCTAAGCACTCTTCTTGGTGCTTTAAGCATATTCACTCATTCGGTTCTCACCTCCCCTCTGTGAGGCACAATTGCTGCTCTTGTTTTATGGAGTTGAAAACGGAGACTCCAGAGTAGTGCTCAAGGTCCCTACAGCTAGCACTCCCGGCAGGAGTCCAGTGCTCTTCACCACCTGGTGGTGCGGCCGCCAACCCCAGTGGAACAGCCTGACAATGGCTGCAGTGCAACAAAGGCACCTGCAGCAGCAGTGCCAGCCTCGTACCAATGCCGGCATCATGGCTTCATCCTCTCCCTATCGGAATGGTCCCAGGGAGTCACTAAATGTCTTCTTGGTCTGCTCTGCGCAAGAAGAGCCCATTGCTCATGCTCTTATTAGTTCCAATCTCAGAAAAGAAGCTAAAGCTGAGGCCTACCCTTCAGGGATGTCTCTGGTAGAAAGTGGGAAACTGAGGCCCAGAGAAAGGATGCGTAAGAGTTGCTTATGGAAGATTGAGGTCTCCCTATTTCTAACTTCCCCTCCCCCTAACTTCTCCACTCCTTTTTGGGTGCTCAAGCAAGTCCTGGGGCCATTCCAAAGCTTACCACCTCCCCTCCACTGTATGTGCGATGTGTGTACAAGGGGAGGGGTCCTAATTCTCCAGGAGATCCACAGCAACAAGACAGACGGATAGAGGTACCAGGTGCCAAGGTAGCTCATAGAAGGAGAGAGGTGATTTTGGAAGGAAGAAGGGAGCTTTGAGGATGTGGAGTTTGATCCTGAGCCCCTTAGAGTTTCTAGAAAAAATGAATAATGAGGGCTTTGTAGGCAGGGGGACAGCAGAGGCAAAGGCATGGAGTGGCAGAGAAGGGCAGTGGGGGAAGGAAAGGAGAGAGAGCCATTTGTGGCCAGAAACCTGCAAAGATGGGCCTAGGATTCTTGCCTTCAGTTCTCCTACTGACAAGGCTGGCTGGAGGCTGAAGGCTGCAGAGGTAGTGAGTGTGGCTGAGTCATTACTGGAACCCAGGTCTCCTCTTGCCCCTCATCTTGAGGACTGCCTGTGCCTCAAAGTGGGGCCACACAAGATGTGGCTCTGGGGATGCAGCATTGGTGTAGGGACCTGCTGGGAATGCAAAAGAGGGGAGAAGGAGCGGCCTGTCAGCACCTACCTTCAGCTCCTGCATGGAGGGCTCATGGCCCAGCTCCCTTGCACTGTGAATGATTAGGTCGAGGGCATCACCCGGCTCTGCAGCCTTGTCCTCGTGAAGCTTCTCAGAAATGGCCCCCTCCAGGTGCCGATGCAGCTGGTCCCTTGCCCGGATGCCCTGATGTTCAGGGAGAGAAGAAAGATGGGGCAGGAAGGCTAAGGGGGCCAAGCCCGGCCACTTACCCAGAAAACCTTCTCAGCACTGGCTCTGCCAACATCCTTGTGTTAACAGCTTCCCAGCTTAGCTCCTGGCCTGGCATATGGCTGGGCTCAGTAAATGGTCGGGGATATGTCCACTGTCCACAAACATCATTCTGTCTTGATTATCACAATCCCCCTCTGAGCCACAGCAGAGTTACTGTCATCCTGAGGAGAGGATGCTGAAGTTCAGAGAGGTCAAGCAATTGCCCAGAGTCACACAGCTGTCCATGTCCATGCCTGGCACAGAGCCCAGTGCGGCTAGGGTCAGCCCATTGCCCTTTCCCTGTACTAGGCTCAGGCTGGGGTACCTTGATGCACCCAGCAAAGCTCTGACTTAGAGGACACTATTGGATTTGTAAGCATTAGCCTCTGTAAGAGCGTGGGCAATAGGGGATGCCTCTCCAGAGTTCAGGGAATAGCCGCAGCAAAAGCATTCCCCCGGGGAAAGCACTGTAATTCAGCACTTGAGTTCCATAGTCGGAGGAGATGAGGTTAAAGTCCTGTTCGTGCCCCTACTAACGGTGTGATCTTGGGTAAGTCAATAAAATAAGTTTGGCCAATAAAATGAGAATCATAACACTTTGCAGGCTGCGAGGATTAGATCAGAAAACGTATCCACGGTGATCAGCCTATAGCATGATCCTTTACACATATTATTTTTATGCAGGTGACTGAAAACCAGGGAATCAAACAGTGGGAAGTCCCAGAATAGGGGGACCAAAAGGCGGGATGGGGCATCCTAGCTGCTCTCCGGGTCCTGCCCATTGTTCTGAAGTCTGGAGAAGCAGCAGTTCTCTGATCCCGAAACCTAGCGGGTCCAGGGCTGGTGGAGCTGACGCCCACACCCCTGGGTCCGGGGCTGGCGCTGGGCTGGACCGGGGCTCATCTGCAGCCCTCACGCTCTCCTCGGTTCCGCAGCCATCTGGGCTTCCGAAGAGGTGATGGAGGCCGGCCCCAGGGGCGCCGCTGTGGGAAGGAGTCCGACCGACTGGCAGGACGCCTGCCACCGAGACCCCAAACTCTGGCGGCCCGCGCTTGCTCAGGCTGGAGCGCGTCGCGGCAGGCGCGTCCCACGGAGGTCGTGTGGCCAGCCCCAGGTCACACCAGCGAACCAGCACAGAGGCCAGGCCCAGAGCCCACCGCCACGCCACCGCCACAACGCCTCCCACCCCCGGGCCCTGCCGCCGTTCCCAGCAGAGGTGACGGACGCGCGGGGTGCGCCGAGGGCGTCCCGTCTGGGTCTGGGAGGCCCGCCCGCGCCGCGGAGCCTCGGAGGAAGGTCTGGAGCCGGGGCGGCCGTACCTTGCGTAGGCCACTGAAGGGAACGTCCAGAGGCAGTGAGAAGAGGTTCTCCACGAGCTGCTCGAAGGTCCGGGCCAGCGTGGCGCACTGCGCCTCGTCCAGCCGCAACCCCAGCAGGATGCGCGCGGCCATGCGGAAGGTGAGCGCTTTGGAGGCGTCGTAGACTGAGACCGGCCCGCCCGCCGCGCACCAGGAGCGCACCTCATGCCGCAGCGCCCCCTGCAGGCGCGGCACGTAGCGCTCCAGCGCGGCGCGGCTGAACACGCGCGCCAGGACCTGTGGGAGCGCGCGTGATCAGCGCTGGCGGCGGTCTGGCCTCATCTGCTTGGCGATTCCGGAGTAGCCAGAAGGCCAGTTCCGGTCCTTTCTCCCTCTTCCAAGCGGCCCAGACCTAAACTTCCTGGCTTTTGCTTTCGCCATTTCCCCCAGTTCTGCTCTGATGCACACAGTCCCTCCCAACCATCCAGGCTCCAGCTGCCATCTCCTCTAAGAAGTCTTCCCTGGCCCCTTTCTAGGTCTGAGTCTCCAGCGCTTCTGCTATCACAGCCACGGAAGATGGGAGATGAAAGAATCTTTTAGCGCAGTCCTAACTTTATAAACCGAAGCTGAAGGTAACGGACCCGCCCAAGGCCACCCGCTAGTTACCAGGGACCTTGGTCGGGTTCACAGTGTATCCAACACCGGGGCCCCGGCCTGGCCCATGGCAGATGCCGGGGACCGCGGATCCGACGTATCTACGGTCCATTCCCGTTTCCACTCACCTTGCGCCGCCGCCGGTGCGGCTCGCCGACCGCACCTAGCAGTGTGTGCGAGCCCAGCAGGATGTGCGCACTCTGCGGCCACTGGCTGCGCACCAGGCGGTGCTCGCCCAGCAGGATGGTGCGCACGTTCTCCGCGCCGCTCACGCGGATCACTGGCCTGCCCAGCAGGTGCGTCTTGAACACTGTCCCATAGCGCTCTCGGCGAGAACTGTGGAAGCGCGAGCCCTGCGGGCGAGGCGGAGGGTGGAGAGCTGGAACTTCTGGGCCTGGGCTGGGATCTGACCCAGACCTTCCAGCTGCCTTTTGATCACAACTTCCTGTCCCTGGCTGGCGCGTTTACAAAACAAGATCCCCAGTGGGCCTGGTATCTACTCTACGGGAATGTACATGCTCCTGTTCCTATTGGTGAGATGAGGAAACAGACTCAGAGTGAAGAAGTGAGGGCCCAAGGGCTCACAGCTGGGCCAAGCTCCAGGCTCCTTTTCTACCCTTGCAGGACGTGCTCCTCAGACCCCTTCCTAAAACCCCTTATGTTTACCCCCTGCGTTGTGTCTGGGAGTTGCTCTGGGGGGAATTCCAGTGACTTGAGGTCCCTTCGAGGGAACGGAGTATCTAGGTAAAGGCGAGAGTTGTGCGCGCTTCCCGGGGTCGTGGGCGATGGGCAGGGACTGGCTACAAATCCCATGGGCATTGAGACTGAGGAGGGTCCAGTGGGAGCCGGGGGAAGAAGGGACCGTATTAGCGCTCGGGGTCGAAGGACTGCTCACCTGAACTAACCAGTGCAGCGTTTCGCCGAAGAAGGGCCACCCCATGGAGCCCTTGGGCAGAGGCAGGGTGGAGGCCCGGTCCCGGCTCAGCATCCAGCGGAGGGTCCAGAGGTGCTGGGCCAGGCTGAGCAGCAGGCCCGCGCACAGGAGAGCAGTGCCCGCCGCCCCCAGCACTGACAGGCAGCTCAGCCCCCAAGGGAACATGATGAGCCCGCGGGGGCCAGGCCGCTCAGAGCGCAGGGAGAGCAGGGGACGCAAGAACCGGGGCGCGAGCAGTGCGCAGTGCTCACCTGTTCCGTCCGCAAAAGGCCTGGGGTTTGGGGGCAAAGCCCGAGATTTATAAGCTCAGGCCAGAACTCTGTTCTAAAAACAGACGGACGGTGAAAGACTGCAGTGACCGTGCGCCCTTAGGGAACGTGCCTTCCTCGAGGCCGGCACGCTCAGGACTTTTTCCTGGCTCCTGGGCCCAAATGCCAGTCCCTCTCGAAGGTGCCTGCTGCCTCGGGAACGCTCACTCCCGGCTCCGCGGGGCACCTCCCACCTCCTCCCGGGCTCAGCACCCTTTGGATAGAAGAAGGGAAGGAGGGCGAAAGAAGAGCAACTCACCAGTGTTGCCAACCTGGTCTGCAGACCCCCGCCCCACCTGTCCCTCCTCCAGTCGTTTAACCCTTCTTGGCCCACGCTGGACACGTTTATATAGATATTGGCTCCCCCCCTACGGACCGATCCCGGTTCACACAACGTGACGTGTCTTTGCATATTTAAAGCGCTCCACGCAGAGTGGTGATTGGAGGCGGTGGGCAGCGGCGCGCTCACGGAGGGGCTCTGAGTAGGGAGTGGCAGGCGCCGGGGCGGCTCGAGCTGGGCTGGGGGCTCGCCCCGCGAGCGTCCTCGGGCGGGGCCTGCGGGTTCGCGCCAGAGCTTCCCCGCTCTTCGCAGGCGCTCAGAAAGTGGGCGAACCCAACGCGCAGAACTGACCCGGGCTTGCGCCCCGCAGTGCTCCTGGCCCACCCCCGGCCGCTGGCTCCCTCTGCCGTCCCCGCCCTCGAGCTTCTAGGTGCCTTTCTCTCGCCACTCCAAGGTGAAAGAACTGGGCTTTTCTCTCCTTTGCTCCGACTATTTCAGGGAAACTGCAGTCGTCGACGCCTGCGTTGGCATCGCAAAAGCCCAGGAGGGATAGCGCAGCCGAGATTCTCCGACAGCTCCCCACCTCTCCCGGCTCTCTGATCTACCACGTCAGGTATCCTTCCAAAGATGGCAGTTCCACTACTGCCCTAGGCTTCATAAAGACGTCCTAAGCCTCCAGAAGCGGATACCCACGAGCACCTTTCCGGTCTCAAGGACCGAATTCATCCTTCCCTGCACATCCTTCCCTCCCTCCCCCGAGTTTGCCCGACGACTCTTGTCAATCTACATTGTTGCGTTTTGGGCTTTGTGCGTCCCATTCAAGGGTTCCAAATGCCTCAGGACTCACTCGTTCTTGTCCCTACAGTGCAACCTGGGGTGTGTGTGGAGGGGTGCAGGGTGTTTATATTATTGGTAAGAGTAAAGAGGTCCCACAGTGGTCTCCTCCAGGCAGTGCAAAGGCAGTATCTCTCTGAATCCCGGGACGTCTCAGCCAAAGCAGGGAAGACACCCCAAGTACGCTGGAAGGCTGGGTAAGGCGCGAAGGGCAGCCCCATTCCAGTCTTCAAAGAGAGCTAGCTGTTCACCGCTCCTCTCCTCCAGATTTCACCGTGCCTGAAGAACTACCATGCTTTTCATGTAATATTTTTAAAAACATTAAATACTTTGGATTAAGAGATGATCGAGAGAACAAGTGCGCATATGTATATATATGTGTGTGTGTGTGTGTGTGTATGTATATATACTGTTTTGGTGCCACTCCCATTCCAGTAACTAGGAAATAATATGCCTTTTCTCCAGGAAGCACTTGTTTTAAATCAGTAAGCTCTGAATAGACAAAATAGTAATGCATTTTCAACAACTTGCTCAATATTTTTAATATTTCATCACAAAATCCAGAGATGTACATATAATTCTTTACACTTATTTTACAGAATCAGGCATAGTTTCTTACAGGCCTAAATCCTGAAAAGGCAAAGGGAAGATTCAGCATAAATACAACAAAGGGAGAATAAAGACTGGATTTATATTGCCATTTGGACCACGGAAACATACACAAAGGAAAATGTACATTTGTTTTAGGTTTTCCAGAGTTCATTTGGTTTGGCTTGTTTCCACAATGAGGATAAAGTACTGAAATCTGCTATTTGAAGAAAGTAACCTGACCCCTGTGGTAACTTCTGTGTGCAGGAACCATCTACCCTCGCACAAGCTGCACCTGAAGTGGTTAGCCCCATTTAGTTCCTGTCCTCTCTTTTAACTGGAACCAAACCAAACCAAACAAATCCAGAATGGGGTCACCTACAAGCAATATAGTTAGAAATATTAACCCTGATGAACAGAAACAACACTGCATCTTTAGAAAATCCAAAACCTTTTGTTCATATTCAGAACGATTAAATTAAACCACCCAAGTAGAACAAATAATTCACATTCTTACTGAGTTAAATCAAGTTTGATTTCAGGCAGCTTTTAAGATTTGTCTATTTCCCCTTCAGAATTAGCAGAATTAGAAATTTTGGTCTGCTTAAATCACATTGAGGTGAAAATAAAAGCTAAAAGTCAGAAAATGGTAGTGAAATACTACCATATCAGACATGATTGAATTCCAAAGCCATATACTGATCAAAAAACAGATTATCATTCAAGTCTAAATAGAAAAAAATACTTATGAGTAGAGGCATATGTTTTTCAAATGTATTTGTAATCAATTTCATGTATAATTTGTGACAATTTATGTATTACACTTTTGCATTTTCCCCTAAAAGTGAAAAAATGGTCATTTTTTTCCATATATAAAATAGTATTCGATTATTTAAAAATCCATACAAATGATATTTATTACTATTTCTTGTTTAAGCCCTCATGTATCTTCTCTATTGTATTTTTGGATTCTGTAAACAAATTACTGTATCATGACCAATACTTGCTCAAGATCAACATTGAATCATGGATTTGGTGTCACTGAGTGCAAGCCATGTGAGGTCTACATGTGCTGGGACATACCATTCACCAAACTTCTCAGCTGTTTCACGACTGTCTCTATCAACTTCTGTTTGTCTCGATCATTCTTCCTGAACTGAGCAAATATATTGTTCTTTTTGCTAGTATCCTTCATCCTAGAAACATATGTGAATGAAGAAGCTTGGTAAAAGAAAATTAAAAGCTAAGCTGTCACAAGTAAAATATCTTGGCATGCTCTGAATTATCCCACACTAATCCTATGCTTGAAAAATATAGTTCAAAGAAAGTAGATACTAAATAAACATACAGATATAGTAACCATGCAAAAAATTAGAAGCTTTATTTTACATTCTATGTTAAGTGGTATTTTTGCATTAGTATGTACATCTAAAATATGCTAGGTTTACTACTATCATACTATTTTCTAATATTATTCCACAAAGTATGCTAAAATACATACCCTGTATAGACTCTGCTAATCATATTCATAGCAAGATAAGGTGAAAGGAAAATAACATTAGAAAATGTAAAATAGCGATGTTTTTGCCTCAGTTGCATTTCATGGCATTGTAAAATAAATTTACATTTATTTTAAACACTTCCTCTTGTCCTTTCAAATCAAATACACCACAAATATTTTGAAATATAGGAAAATAATAACAATTTTAATTTAAAATTGAAAATTTTAATAGTGATACTTTTTTATTTTTCTTATCCAGCAGCCCCCAGAATCACAGCAGATTCAGAGAGTCTCCCAATAGTGACATTTTAAATGAAATATGATTGAGTAAAGAAAAAGTCTGTCACATAATGAGAGGGAAAAGTTAACACCTAAATTTATGTTTAGTTGGACAAGATGCATCAGTAAATCCTATTACCTCAGTTTTTACTGTATTTTTTTTTTCAAATCACATATTTCTCTACCTGCAAAGAATCCAAGTCCATAATGCTAAGATTTAGGTAACACTGGTGGCAAACATTCCAATTCCTGGTCACATTTGACAAAATACCTTCTTTCCTGAGTTATAGACTTTTTTTTTTAAAGAAAGCTCCAATTGTCACATCCCCAGTAAACATATTTCTAAGGTCAATTAAGCTTGCAATTCAGGATACAAAAGGAAAGATGTTTTGTTCACATCAATATAAACAGCAGTTGCTTATGAAACTACACCAACTCTGAAGGGCAAGAAAGAAAAGCTTATTTTTTGGTCATTAAACTAGAGTGAGCTTTTAAGCTCCATCTAGACTTTTCTTTTTTGACAGAAATCTCTAGTTCTTCAGTTTATCACTGAATCAAAAGGTGCTAAAATGTTATACAAAAAAGTTTCAGAATATACTCACTTCTCCAAAAGAGTAAGGGCTGTGTTTGGATTCACCCGAAGGTACTTAGAAGCTGGCTGCCCATAATCAGCTAGGTAAGTAGACCAATCCCAAACCATAAACAGGTCAAGGAGCTGCGAAAGATGGGGGAAATGTTAAATCAACTTTTGATTATTTACCCAGTTAATACTTAAATTATATGCTATCCTTGGTCCATTTTAATATGGCTTGCTTCTTAGATGGAACAGAATACGGAAATTCATTTTTAAAACTTCATTAACTGTACTTTACAATCAAAATAGATCTTTTTACTTTGAAATTACTAAAAATGCCAGGGGTTGTTTTCTAGTAAAATACTTCATGTTTTCAAATAATTGTAAAATAATGAAAACAATGTTAATATAATATATATTAACCCTTGTACTGATGTATAGAAATTTTATCTTTATGCATTAGTCAGTACCCAGATTTAATTAATAAAGGTTGGTGCTACTAACCTGTATGAAGAATTTTAAAGAACTTAAATTGAACCTTTTTTTCTTAGAGGTAAGTATGTTTACCTTTCAAGGACGCTGTTTGCACCTAAGACTTTTTCCAAAGTAATTTAAACCAAAAGCTCAGATAATCTCAATTAAGTGCATTAAACAACCTCTGCTAGATTCTCTCTGGTGATAGATCCTCTGTAGTATTATGAAATGAGGGCTTCAGGATTCAGCCTGTTAACTCTAGGCTACCATTTTGTATAAACAAACAACAACAAAAAAGAAACCCTCTTGTTTCCCGTGGTGTCTTAAAATTGACTATTTACTTTATAATCTCCAGTTAGAATCATTGTCAAATATGGAAGTAATCTTTTAAAAGCAATGCCATGCCTAAACCTAAGCACCAAACTCTTTATCCAACTTTAAAACCCTAATCCCCTTTAAGCCATTTAAAACCAACTTCCTATCCCCATTTGAATTGTTTCAGAAAGCTAAATGCTTTACTTACTACCTTCCTTTAGTTTTTATATTCTTTCTTTTTGTTTTAACTCACTTTATAAGTAAGGGGTCTTACTGGTTTTGCTTTCAAATGGAGGAAACATTTGCATTTACTCATGGGATACAAGAGCCGACCACTGACTCTGAGAGGGATAAAACTCTGGGGTGATTAAAACCTCATAAAGAAAGGTCACCAGAAACTAGCTTTTCTTGATGAAGGTAAAGAACTTGCTTGACTATTTCCCCATCCAATTTACAGGTATTAATAGAGATTTTCTTGCAACAGGCAGAAAATTCTATAATGAAAATATTAACTATGGAAAGCCACTCTATTTTCTTTCGGACAAGATACCATTCTGGGCCATACCAACAGTTGAAACACTAGGATAGAAACTATACTGAGACAATGTTAAAGAATATACTGTCTGAAAAAGAAAAGGGAACTTATTTAAAGTTCTGTGTAATTTTTAACTGTTGTTTGGCCACATTTTTCCCTCCTTTCACAAAGAGGAAAAGTTACTTTCATACACTCAGATGGTAAGAGTGTAAATTAGTATAACGTCTCCGGAATGTGATTCTGCAATGTGTTTAAGAACCTTATAAAAGTGGCCATTCCCTTTGATTCAGCAATCCTACTTCTTGGAATGCAACTTCGAGAAACAGAAAAAAATTTATGCACAAAGATATTAATCTCAAAAATGTTATTTGTGTTATCAAAAACTGAAAATAGCCTAAATCTCAATATTAAGAGACTGGTTAAGTAGTGAGGTCTATCTGTATGATGACTATCATGTGGTTATTAAAATTAATGTTTACAAAGAATTTTAAATAACTTGGGATAATGTTTATGATAAATGTTGCTACTTAAGTTACATAAAAACCCATCCAAAAAGACTGGAAGAAAATTTGCAAAAACGTTAAGGATGCCGGTTATAAGCTGGGCATGGTGGTGTGTTCCTGTAGTCCCAGCTACTCTGGAGACTGAGGCGGGAGGATCACTTGAGCCCAGGAGTTAAGAGTCCACCCTGGGCAACATAATGAGACTTCACCTCTAAAATAGTAATTTTTAAAAAAGAATGATTGTCATTTATGTGGTGGGATTAAGGTTAACTGTTATTTTCTTTATTTTTGTAATACTCTACAATGGATATGTGTTAATACTATAGTTATAAATAAGGTTTATATATTTATATATTAAAATAAATTTCAATAATGAACACCCCTCACAGAGTTGTCAACAGAAGCCTCATTTTCAAGGATTCTTCTTTCAGGTATATGTGTGTATTTGCACAACTGTGCATGTGCAATGCACAGTGTCAGCAGAAAGCAACCTCTTAAGGCTCTTTTTCTCTAGGCTGATTTACCCCCAAGTGGGAAAGGAGGAGCCGACTTAATGAATGAAAAACCCGCACCAACTCCAACTGTGAATACAGAATTGATTCTTTTACAGCACAAGACCAGACTGTCCTGGATAAAGAAACACTATGCTTACAATGTTCACATATGGTCAGATACTCATATGCAAATCTCTTATGTGCAAATCCGCAGAAATTACAGGAACCACAAAATTAAACCTACCTGCCCATATGTAGACAAATCTATATGCTTTCATATTGACATTAATCTTTGTATAAATATTTATAGAAATACATATTGTACACAGTTAATTTACAGGTATCTGTAGAAATCTGCACGAATTTGCAAATTAATGGTTAAGGAATTAATTGCCAAAGCAGACAAAAAAGCCAATGATCTACATAAGATTCATTTATTTATTCAACATATATTGACTCCCCACCTATCACGTGCTAGATACTGTGCTAGGTACCAGAGATACAGCATTGGAACAAGACAAAATCTCTTTCCTCAAGGAGCTTACATTGTAAGATAGGAATAAAGCAGTAATCTTTTGATGTTAACATGGAAGAAATTATAAAGAAAAGCTATTCACACAGAATCCTAGTAATTTAAACTACAGTAACACATGAGGAAGCTACTATCACTTTAATATAGAATAAAATAGAAACCATTAACTTATATAGAAGCTGGTGACTGCCTGCTCATTCCGCTCAGTCTATGAATCCAATGACTGAAGATCCAATGGCTGAGACATTTCAGTGTTTGTGTCCCAAAGACTACACATGGACATGGGCAGAGAGCAAAGATGGAGCCAGCAAGCATGTTGATCTCATATTCTCATTTATCATTTTCATGTGTGTAAGGATTTTTCAAATGCATTGTACTGCTGGAACAAGTAAATAGAAACAAACTTCAAAACTGGGCAGGCAAGCTCATAAAGTGTGTCTAGCACAGTCTAACCACTCAGTAGATATTCAGGAAATAACTGATTAAATGATGATGCCAGACCATTATTCCAAGTTTCCTTGGGAGCTTTTTTCTTAGGCTTTATAAGTACAGGCTACTTTAGCTTATGCTGATAGCTCTCTGAAAAAGGCCAATGTTGGCTTGCAGGCAAACTATGGCAAGTGAATATAGTGAAGTGACATCCCTGTATCTCTCCCAGCTTTTCACTGGGGTATTGATAAAGAGGAGAGACTCCATCATGATACAGCATTGGGTCTAACGTTAAGTAAGTCAAATGATCTTCCTGGAGAAAGTAGCGTTAATATTTCTGAATTGTCTATCAGTCTCCTTCACGCATAACAATTATAAGGTCATTTTTCACTTTTTATAATTCAGTTCTATTGAAGTGAAGGATAAAACAAAAAACCAGGACTTTATTCCTGGGTCCCACCTAACATTATGCCAGGCCAGATTTTATGGACTGAACCCATTTCCACAGGCAGCTATCCATGCCTGTTCCGACCAAGATGACCCTGGTCTTTGATTGGGATGACTTTAAAAGAACATGATTGCTTTGGAGTCAGAGTGTGATGGGTAGAAAAGGGGAAACTGGGGTGTTGCCAGGTACAAACACTAATACTTGCCTTCACTCTACCCCAACAGTCACTGCCTTGCGGACTGCCTCTCACAATTGGTTAGGCTTCACAGGATGCACTATGTTCTTAATATTAAGATCTACATTATGAAAAATCTCACTTCTCTACTTAAGTTTTGCTTCCTTCAGATGGCAATGCACAAATAATATGTTTGTTATTAATCACACAAAATCTCTTTCAGTCTTGTAAATAAACAGTAGGACATGGTCTCAACAGGTGTATTTATTGGTTAACACATACACCTGAAGTTCAAAGATGTAGATCAAACATGAACAAAAACAAAAATCTCCCCAGATTACCCAAAAGCAATTTTACAATTACTTATTAAAGGATAAAGTCAGGCATATGATAATGAAAATTGGTATTAAGCTTTATAAATGGGTTTCTTCCAATAGTCAAGTAAAGTAATTCCACCTTAAATCCTTTTGGGAAGTAAGCAAAGTACAGATGATATAAAAATGAAAAGGCAAAATCATGTGCTTGAGTTCTACCTCATCATGATTTGTAAGATTATCTGAAATTAGTATTCCAAGTTTTTTTTCACCAAGGATTCAAAAATACCCTTCATAACTAATCTGATAACATAAAGTGGGTGTATGCCAACATTTGTAAGTGAGTTGTACATTTCACTTCCTCAGCATTCCCTGTGTGTGTCCAGCAAACACAAAGATCAGCTTAAGGAAAGAAGTGTTACATGGGTGGTCCCATTTATATGCTCAAAATAGTTGAATCACTTCAGAATCACTGAGGAATTCATTTGTGTCAACCCATTTAGCTTGCTGACAGTTTCCCATCCTACAGACTCATTCTCGATCCATGCCCAAGGAACTTGGGGTTTCAGACCTGTTGAGATCACTTTGTACAAATGACACAATGAATCTAGGCAGACTTAAAACTATTCTATGAAACTCTTGAAGTGACTTTTTGCCTTTTTAAAAGTGAACCCACAGTGCCAGGTCATTTTTTCCTTGAATCTGATTTAGCTTTCTTTGTTTTGGGTCTTTTGGGTTTTGCTTTTGAAGCACCTCAGGGGCAGTGACCCAGGACAGAAGATAAATAAAGTTAAGCCAACCTCAAGAGAAAAGCAATTGGGGATACCAGGTTTGCTTTTGTAAACGTGAACAGTGACCTGGGGGCTCAGGGTCAACCTCAGTCCCCCAAGTTCCCTTTTCCAAACACTAAATCCACCTGGGACCTCAGAGTTGCTTTGCAGATTCCAAAAGTAAACCAGGAGATCATTTTTCCTTTGCCTCCAAAAAGCAAAGCTGAGACCAGGGTTCCTAGAGTGCTCCAGAGATTTAAACAACAAAAGTCCTAAACCCTAGTACTGCTTCAAGGAAGAAATACTTGTCCTTCTAACAAATCCTGAGTAATTTGCCACTGGGAATTCAAGAAAAATGGGTCTTACTAAATTAGCTACATTGGAAAAAACTACAAGTCCTTTTACAAAATATATTGTGAGGTCAAATGATGAGCTCCATATGATTTTTAAAGCACCTGGATTTTCCTTCCTTTCCAGCCATCTAAAAACACCACATTTGGAAAACTCCACATGTAGCACAGAATTTTAAGTAGCAGTCAGAAGGAGCATAGGCAATAACTACAATACAAAAAAGCAAAACAGTATTGTGCCTCCAGCCACCTCACTTTTTTGCCTTCAGGTGTTAACTGCCTTCATGCTACCTTCTGGATCTGATGCACCTTCACCCAAGCCTGCCCTCTTCCAATGTCCCATCTGCTAGACTTGCTCTCAGCCAATCCTTTCACTCCCACCTCTGTGAGGACTAGGAGTGAGTTCTGAGCACTTCATGCTGCAGAAGCTGCTTAAAGGAATTAGTCTCTTCAAGTAACTTCACTCAGGTGAACTGTACATGCAAATGTAGAATGTTCTTAAAGTATTTTTTTATGCTAAGCTAATGTAGTAGTCCTAGATAACCTCTAGGTGAGTTTGGAATTTGAAAAAAAAAAAAGAGGAATACAGTAAAATTTACATAATTGGATTTACACACATCCATATTTGCTTTATTTTGATTTTTTTCTTTTTGGTCACTACCATGGCTAAAATAGCATATAGATACATACATGTGAATTTATGTGGTTAATTTATTAAAATTAATTTTATCAAATACATAGTTAATAATCAAATGGAGCATATCATGAAACCAACAGTTCACTGCCGTACTCAGAAGTAACCATGTTTAACTCCTTACTTATTTGTTTTTTGTGTTTTCTGTTGTTGTTGTTTTGAGACAGAGTCTCGCTCTGTCACCCAGACTGGAGTGCAGTGGTGCAATCTCGGCTCACTGCAACCTTCTCCTCCCGGATTCAAGCAATTCTTTTTTTTTTTTTTTTTTTTTTGAGACGGAGTCTCGCTTTGTTGCCCAGGTTGGAGTGCAGTGGCGTGATCTCGGCTCACTGCAACCTCCACCTCCCAGGTTCAAGCAGTTCTCCTGCCTCAGCCTCCTGAGTAGCTGGCATTACAGGCACACGCCACCATGCCCGGCTAATTTTTTGTATTTTTAGTTAGAGATGGGGTTTCACCATGTTGGTCAGGCTGGTCTCAAACTCCTGACCTCGTGATCCACCCATCTTGGCCTCCCAAAGTGCTGGGATTACAGGCGTGAGCCACCGCACCTGGCCTCAGGTTCAAGCAATTCTTGTGCCTCAGCCTCCCAAGCAGCTGGGACTACAGGCACATACCACCACGCCCGGCTAATTTTTGTGTTTTTTGTAGAGACGGGGTTTCACCATGTTGCCCAGGCTGGTCTCAAACTCCTGGCCTCAAGTGATCCACCCACCTCGGCCTCCCAAAATGCTGGGATTACAGGTGTGAGCCACTGCGTCTGGCCTTTAACTCCTCTTTTAGTTCTAGTGATTATCTCACTATCCCTAATAGGCTTATTTTTCTAATTTTGAGTTTATTATTTTACAGCTATCACATATGAGAATTTACCTTACTTTATACCAGCTCTCTTCTTGGGTAGCTATCCTACCATTTTTGTCTATTTTTGTTTTTATAACTTTAATATAATTAAACCTCTATTTCTTGTTATATAACTTTAAAATTTTTTTTTTTAACAGCTTTGAGATGTACCATACAGTTAACTCATTTAAAGGGCACAAATCAATGGTTTTGACTCTATTCACAGAATTGTGCAACCATCTCAATCAATTTTAGAGCCCCTGAAAGAAACCCCATAGCCATTAGCAATCACTCCCCAAATGGGAATCAAATAACATGTGGTCTTCTGGCCTACCATGGTGGTTCACCCCTGTAATCCTAGCACTTTGAGAGGCCAAGGCTTGAGACTAGGAGTTTGAGACCAGCCTGGGCAACACGGTGAGACCCTGTTTCGACATACAATTAAAAATTAGCTGGCTGTGGTGGTGCACACCTGTAGTGCTAGCTACTTGGGAGGCTGAGGTGGGAGGCTAGCTTGAGTCCAGAAGGTGGAGGCTGCAGTGAGCAATGAACTGTACTCCAGGATGGGCAGCAGAGCAAGACCCTGCCTCTATTTAAAACAAAACAACACAAAACAAAACAAACAAAACAAAAAGACCTACCTGGTCTTTTGTAACTGGCTTCTTTCACTTAAGCATAATATTTTCAAGGTTCATCACGTTGTAGCATGCATTATTACTTCATTCCTTTTTATTGACAAATAATAATATATTGTATGGATGTACTACACCTTGTTTATCCAATCATCAGTTGATGGACATTTATCTTTTTTGGCTATTAAAAATAATGCTGCTGGGCCGGGCACGGTGGCTCACGCCTGTAATCCCAGCACTTTGGGAGGCCAAGGAGGGTGGATCATGAGGACAGGAGATCGAGACCATCCTGGCTAATACAGTGAAACCCTGTCTCTACTAAAAAAATATATAAAAAATTAGCCGGGCATGGTGGCAGGCACCTGTAGTCCCAGCTACTCAGGAGGCTGAGGCAGGAGAATGGCATGAACCTAGGAGGCGGAGCTTGCAGTGATCTGAGATTGCACCACTGCACTCCAGCCTGGGCGACAGAGCGAGACTCTGCCTCAAAAAAAAAAAAAAATGCTGCTATTAACATTTATGTACAAGGTGTTTGTAAAAAACTGTTTCCATTTCTCTTGGGTATATATCTAGGAGTAGAATTTGTTATATAAACTTTTAATAGGATCTTCTGACTTTCCATTTAGCAGTATAAGAACATTAGCACCTTATGTAGTTGAGTTTTAAAATAATTCTTTTGGCAATTGGGATAAAATATTTATATTATGTATTTAAACCCAAACAACAAATAGATATTTAATTAAAGTTTCCTGAAAGTTTTTTATGAATGCAAAAAGATGTTAATAAATTCTTTTTTTTTTTTTTTTTGAGACGGAGTCTCACTCTGTTGCCCAGGCTGGAGTGCAGTGGCACGATCTTGGCTCACTGCAACCTCTGCCTCCTGGGCTCAAGTGATTCTCCTGCCTCAGCCTCCCAAGTAGCTGGGATTACAGGTGTGTGCCACCACCCCAGCTAATTTTTTTTAATTTTATTATTATTATACTTTAAGTTTTAGGGTACATGTGCACAATGTGCAGGTTAGTTACATATGTATACATGTGCCATGCTGGTGTGCTGCACCCATTAACTCGTCATTTAGCATTAGGTATTAGAGACGAGGTTTCACCAAAGTGCTGGGATTACAGGCGTGAGCCACTGCACCCAGCCAATGTTAATAAATTCTTATCAATTTTTTTTATTTCCTATTTTTGAAAAATAATAAAAACCTTCAATTACCCAATAGAAGAAAGAACCTGTCATATAATTTCCTCAAGTAGATTCACTTCAAATAGTTGAATGTAACTTAGATTTTTTTTTTTTATTATACTTTAAGTTCTAGGGTACATGTGTACAACGTGCAGGTTTGTTACATATGTATACATGTGCCATGTTGGTGTGCTGCACCCATTAACTCGTCATTTACATTAGGTATATCTCCTAATGCTATCCCTCCATGCACACACAGAAACACACAGGCATGGCTTGCTTTTCTTGAGAGTACTGAACGTAAGAGTTCAGCTTCATGTAGGTCATACATGAACTAGCAGTACTTTACCTAATTACTGAAACCAAAAATCTGGATTTAGTTTGCTTTGTGTCTTTTCTCTCACAATTTTTTTGTTTGTTTGTTTGTTTTTTGAGATGGAGTCTTGCTCTGTCCACCAGGCTGGAGTGCAGTGGCGTGATCTTGGCTCACTGCAACCTCCGCCTCCCAGGTTCAAGCAATTCTCCTGCTTCAGCCTCCTGAGTAGCTGGGATTACAGGAACACGCCACCACACCCAGCTAATCTTTGTATTTTAGTAGAGACGGGGGTTTCACTCTGTTGGTCAGGCTGGTCTCAAACTCCTGACCTCGTGATCCACCTGCCTCGGCCTCCCAAAATGCTAGGATTATAGGCGTGAGCCACCGTGCCTGGCCTCTCTCTCACAATTCTTCCATCTGATTTATTGACAAATAGTACCAATTTAACTTCCTAAATATTTCCTGTATTTACTTTCTTCCACCTTCTTCTTCTCCTCTTTTTGTTTTGTTTTGTTTTGTTTTGTTTGAGACATAGCCTCACTCTGATGCCCAGGCTGGAGTACAGTGGTGCAATCTCACCTCACTGCAACCTCTGCCTCCTGGGTTCAAGTGATTCTTGTGCTTCAGCCTCCCGAGTAGCTAGGATTACAGGCACACGCCCCCATGCCCAGCTAATTTTTGCATTTTTAGTAGAGACAACGTTTCACACGTTGGCCAGGCTGGTCTCGAACTCCGGGGCTCAAGTGATCCACCTGCCTTGGCCTCCCAAAGTGCTGGGATTATAGGCGTGAGCCACCGTGCCTGGCCCTCTCCCAACTTTCCATCCCTACTATTACTACGCCTGTCCTAGTTCAGACATCACAATCTCTCCTCTGGGGCCATTGGTCTTGCCTATTCCCTTTGCCTCTCTCTTACAATATTCCAGATTAGCCAACCTCCACACTGCTGCCAGAGAGATCTAGCTAAAACACAAATTTGATTACACCATTCCCTTGTTTAAAACCTTTGATGGCTCCCCATTTCCTACAAGATAAATTCAAGTTCCTTAACATGACATGCAAAGCTCTCTTGCACCTTATCCAGGTCAACCTTTTGGCTTCTCCCTTCAAGTAATCCAGGCTCCTAAATGAGGAACTACTCTTAGTTCTCTAGAAACCATGACTGGGCCAGGCGTGGTGGCTCACACCTGTAATCCCAGCACTTTGGGAGGCTGAGGTGGGCGGACCACCTGAGGTCAGGAGTTCAAGACCAGCCTGGCCAACATGGTGAAACCCCATCTCTACTTAAAAATACAAAATTAGTCGGGCGTGGTGGTGGGCACCTGTAATCCCAGCTACTTGGGAGGCTGAGGCAGGAGAATTGCTTGAACCCAGGAGGCAGAGGTTGCAGTGAGCCGAGATCATGCCATTGCACTCCAACCTGGGTGACAAGAACAAAACTCGGTCTCATAAAAAAAAAAAAAGGAAACCATGACTACCCTAGGACACTCCTCATTCCTCAGCTCTTCTGTATGGAGTCTCCTTTCCCTCCTTCTTCACTCAGGTAGCTCTTACTTAGTCCATAACACTTAAGTCTAAATCAGTCTCCCAGGAAGCCTCTCCAGACCACCTTGGTTGGGTTAGCTGTCACTCTTTTTTGTGTCCTCATACTACCCTCCACATATCTGTATCACAGTGTTTTTCACAGTATATTGACATTAGAGGTTAGTTTGTGTATCCACCAAAGAATCAAATATCAATAATTCCATTTTTAGTCTGGGTGAATCATAGTTATCCCAGCACTTATCTCCTTCCAATATCTCAACAGTTGAAGTGCCTTTTTCCTCCTTCTAATAATGTACTTTGTAAGTGCCTCAAAGCTAGTGACTTGTTTTGCTTAGTATCTGTATCTTCACATTTAGCCCGGTAACTGGCATATACTAGGCATCAACTAAATATCTGTTGAGATTCACTGCATATGTTACCTTTTGATACATAATTTCATAAGTCTACACTGAGCCCATATCATATATACTGATAATAGGGCTATGTTATCATTTACTTGACATCTAAACTACTAGTAATTAAGACATCTCTGAATTTTAGTAATGTTTTATAATTATTCTGAAAGCCAGACTAGGCTATTTATTGATTGATTTAATTTGTGCCATAGGACGTACTAAAATATTTCACAACCAAAGTTCTGCTCCTTTTGTAAACTAGTGATGCCACCATCAAACATGTTAAATAAACATTCCCAGGTCATACATTTAATTTTCTGTACAGATTCACTACATCATCTGCTACACTTGCATAACAAGTAGTTATGTAATGACTTCACCAATGAAGCTCAAAGACCTCTAATACCAAGGAAATCAAACGTTGAAACTCATGATGAGAGGTGTTCAATAGACTTTCAGTTCTCTCTGATAAGTCACTTTGCTCCACTGAAGCTACGAAGAAATAAGATCTGCTTGTATGAATTGACTTTGGAAGAACTTGAGCAACAAAGGAAGACAATATGAATTAGCCAATGAAAAAATTGTATGCCAACATGTCTATACTCCAGGATATGGCAGTTGCTTGAATGAAGGAAGCCAGACCAGGCTAGGATTTCCGCAGTACAATTGTTAAGAAAAACACGAGGGAAGAGAATAACTAGTTTTTCTAAATTCAAAAGAATCTAAGTGCTTCTTCTCCCTCTTGCCCCACCTCAATGGTTATGACTTAAAATAAAGCAAATGAACACTTGGAGAATCCAACAGCTAGATTAATTTAGTCTTCAATATAGGCAGTCACATATGTTTTACCCTAAAATTTTAGGAAGTCAAATAATACTTATAATTTGCTATTAGTTATAAACAATGACTGGCTTTTCTTTAAGGCTGAACTAAAATTAAAACTAAATACTTGGCCAGGCACGGTGGCTCACGCCTGTAATCCCAGCACTTTAGGAGGCTGAGGCGGCAGATCACTTGAGGCCAGAAGTTTGAAATTAGCCTGGCCAACATGGCGAAACCCCTTCTTTTCTAAAAATACAATAATTAGCCGGGCGTGGTGGCGGGTACCTGTAGTCCCAGCTACTCAGGAGGCTGAGGCAGGAGAATTGCTTGAACCCAGGAGGTGGAGGTTGCAGTGAGCCGAGATTGCACCACTGCACTCCAGCCTGGACAACAGAATGAGACAGTGTCTCCAAAAACAGAAACAAACAAATAAAAAATCCCCCAAAACTAAATATTTAAGTCCCCAGAGGCACCTTATTCTCTTATTTAAAATGGAACTCAAGCCATTCAGGATAACCGAAAGAAACCAAGCTCATTAAATCCCAATTGCCTCAAGAGGAAAAGGGAGATCATTTCTATGGCAATAAATTAGTGGGAAAAAAAATAGACTCCAATTTTGGCAATAAATCTTTGGTGAAGTGATGACCTAAATTTCAGAGTCAAATCTCATTTCTTATGCTTTATAGAGATAAGGCCTCAGTTTATATACTGAGGCCCAGAGTATAAATACAGACCCATTACCATTTTGCCTTGGAATCCTGAAGGGATGCAAAGTTGGATTACCATACTTAGTCTGATGGAAATAAGGAAACTAAGGATCTCTGTGGTCTCTGTTAAAGACAATATTATAATATCTCAGTTAGTATTTGTATTTAGGAGAGTTTATAACCTTACTCATTTCTTTCAAATCTTATATTTTATAATCTTTACTCAAACAATTAAAAAAGATGTGCATTTAGTTTACTTTTCTTGAATCTCAAAGGTGCTTCTCTTATGCTAGATAATATATTAACCCCTAATTATCCATTTACTTCCAGACCTGATTGTATATGTAATTACCTTTTGTCACGTATAATAATTTGCGCGACAAACATGTCAGAACACTTGCTGCTTAGTCTGTTTCAACAGATAAATGTAGTCTTTCCATAGCCTCAAAGCACAATTAAACATGAAGAAAAAAGGCAGTTATCAAACTATGCTGAAGCTGATTCACTAAGGCAGAAGTTCACATCATGTAGTCAGGGCTTACTTTGGGGCCTGATGCTTGCTTGAATGCTTAGTTAGTAACAGATTTCTGAGACAACGAAACAGAGACAACACTGTAACATTCTGACCAGTGCAGGTAGCCACATGAACTTCAAAATGGGCAACAGATGAACTTTAAGATGCAGCTCAGTTAAGAAGCAGCTACTGGTAAACAGCTATTGAAGTCACACCTTCACTACAGGTTATTGGATAAAATTAAAAAAGAGAAACTAAATAAAAACAGCAGTTGAAGGAGGACTTATTTTCTTGGGAAGATAAATGCAGCCACTGGAATTAAATGGATTGTGATCTAAGTCCTGTGATGCTTGCACGATGTGAATCTGCACTATGAGAGTACAAAAAGAAATCCCTACCTGACCTCTGGATAACCTAAAAACAGGAAATTAGGACATTTCTAAGCAAAATAGGCTGTTATCCTGTTAAGACAATTGTTTCCATTGACACTTTGCATAATCATCTTACACTAGGCCATCAGAAAAAACTCAAACCATGGCATCTCTTCTTTGTAATACATAAAAACAGTGCCTGGCCCAGTGCCCTCAACACAGTTGAGGTAAAGTTTGTTGATGATAATTAAGAGGAGAACAAAGAAGAGAAAGAGAAATAACAAACAGGTAAGAAAACTGGAAGTATTCTTTAAGTATTTACAGATCGGTTGAAAGTAAATTCATAAAATATTAAAAATACAACTTAATTCATAGTAAGAATCTGGGGTAATTAAGAGAGTATGCAACGACTTTAGGGAAAGCTCAGTAGACAATACAACTTAACATGAGTCAGCATTTTAAAAGAATAATTGTAGCTGGGCGCGGTGGCTCAGGCCCGTAATCCCAGCACTTTGGGAGGCCGAGGCGGGTGGATCACGAGGTCAGAAGTTCAAGACCAGCCTGGCCAAGATGGTGAAACCCCGTCTCTACTAAAAATACAAAAAATTAGCTGGCTGTGGTGGTGGGCACCTGTAATCCCAGCTACTCAGGAGGCTGAGGCAGAGAATTGCTTGAACCCAGGAGGCAGAGGTTGCAGTGGGCCAAGATTGCGCCACTGCACTCCAGCCTGGGCGACTCCATCTCAAAAAATAATAATAATAATAATAATAATAATAATAATAGTAAAATATCTGATATTTGATTATGGTGCTTCAGAATGTTAGAAATCGGCACCATCTGGCTGGAAAAAAATCAAGCTCTTCCTTTGTATCACTTAATCAATACTCTGGATATTATTTGGCTATCCAATTATACTTCACTTAAATAAGAAAATACTTCAGAGTTAATACTTCTTATGACGCTGTCTTAGTCTGTTTGGGTTACCATAACAAAGTACCACAGATCGAGTGACTTATAAACAATACAAATGTATTTCTCACAGTTCTGGTAGCATACTATAGCAGGTACCAGTAGTGTTTAGTCTGTGCCCTACTAAATTTCCTCCCAACCCAGGTTTTTAAAAATCAAGCTACTTTCATTTTGACTGAATCATTTAAGGGAGTTACAAACTCTGAGTCCCAACTTTCTCTTCCGTAAAAGAGATTGTGTTCACATGTGACAAGCACTATATTTGACACTAGTGATGAAAAGACGGTAATGGCCCAGTCTTTGGATTTAAGAAGTTCACAAGTATAAAGGGAAAGATATTCACACAAACATAATTACAAACTAACATGCTGATTACACAGATGGACATATGTATAGGCTATTATCAGAGCATCAATTATTGCTTAGGGGGTGGGAAGTAGACCTAAGCAGCTGTCTTAGATGACACCCAAACTGAGTCTTAAGGAGTTAATCAAAGGAGGGCTCGTGGTATTTCAAGCAGATGGAACAGTGTGAGGAAAGACACAAGGACAAGAAACAGTTATGCTTATGGGGAAATGCCATGTACTTTAGTGCTGCTAAACTGAAATATGAGTAAGGGGGTAGTATAAGACAGGCTGGAGAAGGGGTCAGGAGCTGAATCATAAAAGGATATATATGCCTTGTTCAGGAACTTTGGGTAGCCATTGAAAGGTTCTAAACAAGGAAGCTGGCCGGGCGCAGTGGCCCAGGCCTGTAATACCAGCACTTTGACAGGCTGAGGGGTGTGGATCACTTGAGATCAGCAGTTCAAGACCAGCCTGGCCAACACAGTAAAATCCTCTCTCTACAAAAATACCAAAATTAGCTGGGCTTGGTGGCATGTGCCTGTAGTCCCAGCTACTCAGGAGGCTGAGGCAGAAGAATCACTTGAACCCAGGAGGTGGAGGTTGCAGTGGGCCGAGATCGCACCAGTGCACTCCAGCCTGGGAGATAGAGCAAGACTCCATCTCATAAATAAATAAATAATGCCGGGCACGGTGGCTCACGCCTGTAATCCTAGCACTTTGGGAGGCCGAGGCAGGCAGATCACTTGAGGTCAAGAGTTCGAAACCAACCTGGCCGATGTGGTAAGACCCTGTCTCTATTAAAAATACAAAAAAAATTAGCCAGGTATGGTGGTAGGCACCTGTAACCCCAGCTACTTGGGAGGCTGAGGCATACTTGGGAGGCTGAGGCAGAAGAATTGCTTGAACCCAGGAGGTAGAGGTTGCAGTGAGCCAAGATCATGCCACTGCATTCCAGCCTGGGCAACAGAGTGAGACTCCATCTCAAATAAATAAATAAATAAACAAACAAACAAGGGAGCTGACATGGTCAGATTCACCACTTCGGTTCTGTAGTAAATGCACTTAAGGCAGAAAAAATAATTAGGAGACTGTTGTAACAATCTTAAAATACATTGGGACAGACAGGTACATAGTTGGGATAGAGAGAAAATGATGAATAGGTAGGCAAGTAGTTAACATGGAGAGAAGAGGATGGGTTTGAGAAATACTTAGGAGAAAAAAATCCCTAGGACGTGGTGATTGTCCAGGACATGGCAAAGTGGTTCTACCAATCAAAAAAGACAACATGAAAAAGGGATGTGATTTGAGAATAAGGGAAGATAACAAGTCAACAGCTTTGGTCACACAGCATGCGGGACACACACCTAAGTCAAATGGTTTACCAAGCAACTTGATATGTATCTAAGGCATACTGCCAGAGATCTGATGAAAGCGGGTCAGCTCACCTAGGTCAGGAGTATAGGGAGCAGTGTTCTAAGGACAGAAACCTTGGGGAAACCAACATTTAGGGGGCAGAAAAGGAGACCACAGAAAAGAAAGAGGAAGGATGTTAAGGGAGTACAGACTCAGAAGACGAGAGAATTTTAAAGAGAACATGATCCACATTACCAAATGCAGCAGAAAGAACCAATAGGATATGGGCTAAAAATGTCTACTGGCCTTCCCTGGTGACCTAAGTGAACACTATTTCAGCAGTGTGGCAAAGCAGATAGGAATGGATTGAGAAATGAATGAGAGATGTGAAAATAAGAATAATCAATTATAAACCACTCTTTTAAGGATGCAAATGAGGGAAGAGAAATTGGAAATAGCTAAAATGTTTTTAGGCTAAGAAAACGATAAAGCAGGCCGGGCGCAGTGGCTCACGCCTGTAATCCCAGCACTTTGGGAGGCCAAGGCAGGTGGATCACGAGGTCAGGAGATCAAGACCATCCTGGCTAACACAGTGAAACCCCGCCTCTACTAAAAATACAAAAAATTAGCCAGGGTGGTGGCAGGCACCTGTAGTCCCAGCTACTTGGGAGCCTGAGGCAGGAGAATGGCGTGAACCTGGGAGGCGGAGCTTGCAGTGAGCCGAGATCACGCCACTGCACTCCAGCCTGGGCAACAAGTGAGACTCCGTCTCAAAAAAAAGAAAAGGATAAAGCAGAGGAAAGGCAGATGAATAATGAAACAAAATGAAACAAAATCCCATACAAAAGATAGGGTCAAGGGCATAGGAAGATGAGAGCCTCATTAAAAAGGCTTCCTAACACCTGAGAATGAAGGACAGGAAGAATGGGTGTGGATATAGATAAGCTGACTGCAAAAGCAACAGTGAGAGGTTGATGGTGATAGAGATGGAAGACAAGAGGCTCAGAGGGGCTGGAGCTTTCACTCAAGAGTGGAGGAACAATGGTCTACAAATAGAAATGAGGAACCAGGGGAACACGAATCTCATTCACACGTGTAGCCATGAAAGAATGCATCCTGCCACTAGAGAGAGCTGCAGGGTTAGCAGTATCCTCCGAATTCTATGAAAAGGAGGTGAAGAAAGCATTCTGCCACACAGTTGAAGCAGTAGGGCCATTTACATTGCAATGAGGGTTTTCAGGTGGCATAGAATAAGTGGGCCAGAAGAAGTGAAAAGATGAGTAGACAAAACAAGGAGTGAATGAAACAGGAAAAAAGTTGGAAGGTGAGAAGGAGTAGAGTAAGGAAGTGGAAACTACTTAATTTCATTGAATAATCAAATTTTATTTTAATCTTCTCAGATGAAGGATGTGTGACTGAGAAGTAACAGAAACAGCAGTGTCTGACCAAGTCTCAGAGAGAAATGGTGGAGGCTGCCCTGAGATTTTCAAAAGGGAAGAGAAGCCTCTATTTGGATGGGGTGAATGTCCAGATATCTGGAGCAGCAGCAAGGGCACTTGCTGGGGAGAGCTTCTAAGAGGTTTGGAGCCAGGGGTTAGATTTTTGGAAGTCCCTTCCAATCCTCAAGTCTTAGGATTTTATGACCATGAAAATCACTGAATCACAATTTGAAGGTAATTGGTAGATGTTCTGACATTTACGAAAACACAAATGGGTTCAAAGAAAAGGAGAGAAATATACATTGCAAAATACTCTAGGGACTAAACAGTGACTTAACTATGAGTACTAAGCACTGCAATGCATATCTAAGAGGAAGTTTAGAGAATAATGCTATAAATGGTAGTCTCAAATAAAAAAAATACCTTCAGCAATATCAGCCTTTTGGTGTATATTAGTAAAAATTTTCATGACAACTATTATCCACTTGGCTCTGAAGAGGTCACTATTGACCTTTTGGTCTCCCAAAGTGCTGGGATTACAGGCATGAGCCACCATGACCGGCCTTTTTTAATAGATGGTATATATATATATACATATATAGGTGGAAGAATACATCCCTTTGAAGTGCTAGCAAAGTGTTGGCAGCGTTGAGTTCTCTGCACCATCTAAATTAGAAGATAGGTGGCTCTATGGGCCATTGATAACTTCCTAAAGTGCGGAGTGTGTACATATACTTACTTTTCCTTTGTATGTTTGTTTTCACTTTCTAATCAAATTTTGAGTTCTTCAAGGGTAGAGGTAATAGCTCTTCTCCCTTTAGGGTACTCAAAGCTTGTTGAACTGAGCTAAATTATATTTCATAGAACACTTTAAGAAGCAAAAGTTTAAGAACTGTGTCTCTTCTGGGACAAAACAGCCATGAAGGAAAAGCAGAGATTATACATGAAAAAGCTTCTAATTTAAACCACTGGAAAGCTCAATATTGTTGAATCAATATTGCTTGAGTCTAGAACTCTGTCATGTATATATACGTCTCATTCAAGTAGAGTGCTGGCTGTTCTCTATAAAAGTAGAAGTTGACTTTCAGGGAAATTACGTGTCATGTTCAAATTTATATGTAAAATAGGATTAGAAGATAATTTCTTCAATTTATAAATTAACTGCTTAAACAATTAGACTAGGATGGCTTAATTTACACAAACATTTCTTTTTATTTGTATGTGTAGCCAATCTGCTTTCAAAAAGAATGCTTAGTAGGATTTTTTTAGAACTCTGTTGTCAGATTCACACTTGATATGGCAAATACAGTATAGGTTGTCTAGGGAATATTATTTTATGTAGCAAAAAGATCATAACTGAAAATAGGAATTGTGGTTATAATATCCACTAGTATGTAAAACAAACAGTGCATTTACTGTTTTTCTAACAAAGCATTTAAATATTTAAACTTCCCATAACTATCCTCCAAACTGAAAGAAACCTGTAACAAAAAAAAAAATTTCCAGTCAACAAAAAAAATTTATTAGAGAAAAATTTTTTTTTTTTTTTTTTTTTTTTTTGGAGACGGAGTCTCGCTCTGTAGCCCAGGCTGGAGTGCAGTGGCGCGATCTCGGCTCACTGCAAGCTCCGCCTCCCGGGTTCACGCCATTCTCCTGCCTCCACCTTCCGAGCAGCTGGGATTACGGGCGCCCGCCACCGCGCCCGGCTAATTTTTTTGTATTTTTAGTAGAGACGGGGTTTCACCGTGGTCTCGATCTCCGGACCTCGTGATCCGCCCACCTCGGCCTCCCAAAGTGCTGGGATCACAGGCGTGAGCCACCGCACCCGGCCCGAGAAAAATATTTCTTAAAAATGAGTAATAGCCAGGTGCGGTGGCTCACACCTGTAATCCCAGCACTTTGGGAGGCTAAGGCAGGCGGATCACCTGATGTCAGGAGTTTGAGACCAGCCTGGCCAAAATGGCGAAACCCTGCCTCTACTAAACATAGAAAAACTAGCTGGGTGTGGTGGCACGTGCCTGTAATCCCAGCTACTCAGGAGGCTGAGGCAGGAGAATCGCTTGAACCTGAGAGGCAGAGGCTGCAGTGAACTGAGATCACACCACTATGCTCCAGCCTAGGCAACAAGAGAGAAACTCCATTTCAAAAAAAAAAAATGGAGAATAATAGGGCTGGATGTAGTGGCCCTATTAATCCCCGCACATTGGGTGGCTGAGGTGGATCGCTTGAGGCCAGGAGTTTCAGAACAATCTGGGCAACATGGCAAGACTCTGCCTCTACAAAAAATACAAAAATCAGCTGGGTGTGGTGGCATGCACCTGTAGTCCCAGCTACTCCGGAGGCTGAGGTGGATCACCTGAGCCTGGGGAGGTTGAGGCTGCAATGTGCCATGATCACACCACTGCACTCCAGCCTGGGCGACAGAGAAACCCTGTCTCCAAAAAAAAAAAAAAAAAGTAGAAGAAGAAAGGAAGTTTGGCAAAAATGTGAATTAATTTTGAGAGAAAAGATATAGCTCCTTGTTGAGTAATGCCAATGTTAATAGTTAATCATTAGTTTACTGCATATATGATATTTATCAAAGGCCAGAATATCACTACCCTCCATAGTTGACAAACTGTTCTAAAAATTTTAACCTATCCCTTTCAGTGAAAAAAAGAGCAGGAATATTGATAATTGAAAACAGGTAAATCTGGGACTGTCTCTTTTTACATTATGCACAGTCTGTGGAAACAAAGATTTAATCCTTGTGTAACTCACTGAAAATTTACCTTAAAATGTATCATATTACAATAATGCTTATATTGTAAATAAGAAATATTCTGTATTTGCCCAACTGCAAACTTAAATGACTTAATTTTTTCCATAAATCTGTTAGCTTTATTTATTGTCATATTGCCAAGTTACGTATCTCTTTTAAAAATAATTCTGATTTATATACTTTTTTGGAGAGCTTTTTCAGCAGTACCCAGTAATTCCACTTCTAAAGGCCTACAGAAATACTTACACAAGTGCTCGATATATATGTATAAATATATTAATGGCAGCTTCATTAATAGATAGACAAAACTAAAGAATCCATAATGTCCAACAAATGAGGACTTGTTTAATAAATTATGGTATATGTACACTATAGACAGTACAAAGAAATTAAAAAGAATGAAACATCCATATTTACCAATATGAAAGCATATGTTGCATGAAAAATGTGAATTATAACATACCTCCCCCAAAAAGGAAATAACTACATGTGTGCATGTAAGTATCTGCATGTATACATGTTCGAATGTACACTACAAAGGTCTGGAGGGAAATAATGACTGTGAAAGACTGAAGAGGAGGGGAAAATAAGAGCTTTCTCTTTTTTTTCTTTTTTTTTTTTGAGATGGAGTTTCACTCTTGTTGCCCAGGCTGGAGTGCAATGGTGTGATCTCGGCTCACTGCAACCTCCACCTCCCAGGCTCAAGTGATTCTCCTGCCTCTGCCTCCCAAGTAGCTGACATTACAGGCATGCGCCATCATGCCTAATGTTTTGTATTTTTAGTAGAGATGGGGTTTCTCCATGTTGGTCAGGCTGGTCTTGAACTCCCGACCTTCGGTGATCTGCCCGCCTCGGCCTCCCAAAGTGCTGGGATTACAGGTGTGAGCCACCGTGCCCGGCCTGAGAGCTTTCTTTTTAGGTTTGATTTTAGTTTAACAGTGAACATACAATATCTACTTCCTGTGTTTTCGTTTCTGTTTTTCTGGAGACAGAGTCTTGATCTGTCATCCAGGCTGGAGTGCAGTGGCAAGATCTTGGCTCACTGCAACCTCCGCAGGCCAGGTTCAAGCAATTCTCATGTCTCAACCTCCCAACTAGTGGGGATTACAAGCATATGCCAATGCACTCGTCTAATTTTTGTATTTTTAGTAGAGACGGGGTTTTGCCATGTTGGCCAAGCTGGTCTAGAGCTCCTGGCCTCAAGTGATCCGCTCACCTCAACCTCCCTAAGTGTTGGGATTACAGGCGTGAGCCACCACGACAGGCCCCAATTTCCTGGTTTCGACAAATACTATAGCTATGTAAAACGTTAGCACTGGGGGAAGTGTACAAGGGACCTCTCTAAACTATATTTGTAACTTTTTGTGAGTGTGCAATTATAGTACTTTTAAGAAATTTTTAAAAACAGTGAGCATAAACAATTTTTGTAATTATCACAGTGTTTGTTTTTGGTTTTTGAAAAATCATTTTACAGGGTAATTTTCCAAACTACAAAACAGCTCTAACGTTTACTCTTAAAATAATCATAAAAATTTGAGTTCAAAGTTCATATCGATAGCTGAAGGCATAAGCACCTATCACCTACATATTTAAGCACATAAACTATAAACTTCCGGAATTATGACACTGGAGCAAAAAGAAGAAAAACGCAAAAGTCATTTAGGTTCAGACTAATCCTTTAAAATCTAAGCTTTCCCAAAAGGGCAGCATACTTTTCTAATATCTGGACCTTAAGGTAAACTTTGTGAGATGTCTGGTCTTGTTATATTCAGAAGTAAACCCAAATGTATCTTCCTTTAATTCTTTGGCACTTCAAATGAATTTAGGATTGTCTGAGGAAAAAATGCTTGCTGGAGGAGCTGTGTGAACAAGCTTGTTGTCCTGCTACTATATCTAGTCAAGCATTCAGATACTACAACTTTGGCAAATCCCATTAATACTTTAAGAAGTCAACGACTTTAAAACTTCTAAAGAAAGTTCCTGTGAAGTAGTCACAGGGGCAAGTTTAAGCAGGCAGGGTGTGTATACAATATAGTAACAAAATAATGCAAACAAAAGAAGATTTGTTTAATTATAGTGGAAATAATTGTTATTTAAAAGTGCCTTCTTCCTCATCATAAAAGAATAAACTGGACCAGTGGCAAAAGAATTGTATGTTGTGATGCCTTAAGATTAGAAACAGAAGACAGAAATTTCAAAGTAAAGTCCTGGCAGACGTCCAGTCTCTATGGCAAGAATTCTGGCCAAACAATTCCTTCATAAGATTCAAAGCTTGTTCATGTCCCTTTAGACAGAACTCAAAGTTGTTCATTTTGAGTCAAATACAAGTGTATGTTTATCAGGGTTTTCCTATCTTTCTATGGTGATGTACATGGGAACTTCTTTCCTAAACCTTATAATCATTTGGGGGTATGGTAGAGAGAGATTATCAGGCCATGTATAAAAGGATAAAAGAAAATGGGTGAGGGGCTAAGAACAAGGAGGTGGGTGCCCAGGGTACTTCCCTTTTCAAGCAAGACTGGTGGAAGAAACTGTCAGCTTTTAATAGTTCACCTATGATATGAACCTGGCATAGCGATGCCACTGCCCTGTTGAAGTGTTAAAAACCAATAGATGGTAGCTGCTGACTCAATCAACTGATAACCTCTTTACTGCAAGCTTCACATAATTCCTAACTTTAGCAATCAAGATTAAGCATGCCAGGTAAAAGCTCTCTCCCAGAAGTAAACTCTACAACATTTTCCCTCACAGATTTCATTAAACCATTGTTAATATATATAGTTGAAATAGTTCAGGAAACAGTTTCCAAAGTCATGCAGTAGTTATTAAGAAGTGCAGGACTCCATCCTGTCTCTGATTTCCTACACAATAGTGTTCTTGTCAACAAGTCATTCAGATACTTTGGTGGCTTTCTTTTTACACTCCTAACTTTTTATCCTTTAGCTGTCTTTCAGAATCCAATAGTCTTTGTCTTCAACTTTATCTCATTACTGCCAACTAACTTATCTCTCCAATAGTCTGGCTCTTATTTAATTTCTACCACTCACTTCTTTTTCCCCAGTGCCTGGCACTCAATCATTTTTATTGAAGAAATAAATGACAAATAAACAAGCAAATAAATCAAAATCTACCCACACCTAATGCTTTTTACTGCGAACAGTTTTAGGAGTCCACTAACAAACGCTTAATTTATTTACATATTGCATTGTTCCAAACGGGTTTTAAGGCAATTTACAAAAACATATGCAAGACAAATTTAACTTAGTTAACTGAGAAAAGCCAGGGCCACGAGAAAATGAGAGTAGGAAAGATGAGGAGGTTAGTACACAAAATACATGTGATGCTATGCTATATTCCTGAGTTTTTCTGTCTCCAAAATACAGAATAAACTACCATTAATTGTACAACTCACAGTTCTCTTGAAATAAAAACAAACCAGTTGCTCAGGGTAAATTCAACTATCTGTAATACTGAAAGCAGAAATCTCTGAGTCTGCTGGGAGCTACTATGACCTACTATGAAATACAGTGAACCCAATCATCAGTAGTTACTACAGCAATTCTATCATCTGTAGTCTAGACTACCAAAACAATCATCTAATTGCTCTTCCTGATTCTAATTTTGTCCCTTTTAAATCTATTCTCCTTAAAACAGCCAGAATAAACTCTCAAAATACAAATCAGAGTATGACACTAACCTGCTTGAAACCCTTGAATGATTTCCCATCATACCTATGATCCAAACTCCTTAACAAAACCCTCAAGGCCTTACATGATTTGGCTCTGATAATCCTCCTAATTTCATTTGCCCCTCTTCCTCTTGCACACTACATTATAGCCATACTATTACCCTTTCTCTTTCCTAACAGCACCTTAGGACTTTGCTCTTGCTCTTCCCTCTGCCAGGAATGCTATTTCCCTATATTTCCCAATTTCACTCAGTTATGTGCTCAAATGCCACCGCCTTAAAGAGGGTTTCCCTGATCACCAAATCTGAAGTGGCCCACCTCACCTCCAGTCACTATCACATTAACCTGTTTTATTTTTCTCATACCATCTAAAAGCTATTTGAAATTCCATCTAAAACTATTTAAATTAGCACTCTTTGTTGTGGATCTCCCTCCAACAAAGGGGGACTGTGAGAGGAGGGATCCTGCCTATCTTGTTCACCACTGTCTTCTGCACTTAAAACAGTGCCCAAAGCAGGTGCTCAAACATTTGTCGAGTAAATGAAGAAACATCTGAAAATACGGCAGCTCTTGGTGATCTGGCTTAATCTGGACAGCTTTCAGTTTTGCTGGAGTAGTGGTGTGTAGCTATCTATTTTTAGGTCACATATGCTGCCTTTGAGATGAAAACATTAGACTTTCTTCTCAGAAAAATGCACATACAAAATTCTGCTTGAACCTCCTAAAACCAACCCATGGTTCTCAAGTTGGAACCCCTGACGTAAAGGCATGTAATGACCTTTGTGCAATGCAATCTACGTTGTTGTTTGCTGTTGTTTTTGTGACCCTCGCTCTGTTGCCCAGGATGGAGTGCAGTGGTGCAATCATAGCTCACTGCAGCCTTGACTCCCAGGCTCAAGCAATCCTCCTGACTCAGCCTCCTGACTAGCTGGGACTACAGGTGTGCACCACAATACCTGGCTGATTTTTTGCCTCAGCCTCCCAAACTGCTGGAATTACAGGCATGAGCCACCACACCCAGTCTGCAATCTATGTTACAACAAATTCCTGTCTGTGGAGACGAAGGCTAAGGGGGGAAAAAATCAATAGAAAACTACAAATTATTCATAACAGATTTCCCTATAAAGTGGTAGAACATAAGAGTGGTCAAATGTGTAATGCCTATGGCTAATGGTTGCTTAGTCCTCTTGCAGTGTATTATATTGAGAAGCCCAGACTTAACAATTTATCGTGAAAGAAATGGCATATATCTTCATGATATGTGCATTTGTCTTATTAGAAAACAAATCTATGAAGTGAGGGGTAGTATTATGGGGTGCCTCTTTTAAAAATGGCATGGGGGCGGGCACGGTGGCTCATGCCTATAATCCCAGCACTTTGGTAGGCAGAGGCGGGCAGATCACCTGAGGTCAGCAGTTCAAGACCAGCCTGACCAACATGGTGACACCCCCTCTGTACTAAAAATACAAAAATTAGCTGGGTGCGGTAGCATGTGCCTGTAATCCCAGCTGCTCGGGAGGCTGAGGCAGGAAAATCGCTTGAACCTGGGAGGCGGAGGTTGCAGTGAGCTGAGATTGCGCCACTGCACTCCAGCCTGGGTGACAGAGCGAAGACTCTGCTCAAAAAAAAAAAAAAAAAAAAGAAAGAAAGAAAAAAGAAAAGAAAGAAAACGCATGGACTACACTCTTGTCTAATTAAATGAGAACATATTAGATCAGAACACAGATAAGAACAAGTCAAGCTGTAAGAGTTGATAAGTTAAAAACCAACTAAAAAATGAAAAAGAATGGGCTTTACCTTCAGAAATAATTCCTGAACTCCTGGAGGCAGAGAATCTTCCCTGGTTTCAATTAATAAAAAGATTCATGTGCAGGGTAACAAAATGACTTTTTTTTTAAAGTATTCTTTAAAAAATGATGTTGCATCAAAGAAGTGATGACAGGAAAAAGAACATATCTAGGTGTAAATTTCCCCTCTTACCTGGCAGGGAGGGCTTGGTGTCAGGTAAAGAGATCAACTGAACAAAGTAGCTTTTGTTCCTCTACCTCCTTCTCTTTCTGCATCTGTAGGTGCTCACAGCTAAATTAACGTGAAAAGTAAACCATCTGGGCCAAAAATATCTGTAAGTTCTAAAGGACTTACAGCATTTTTTCATCCTATTTTTAGTACACTAAATAGTAATACTGTTTTCTTCCTGGAAGTTTGGCTTTAAGGTTCTTATTTTGGCAAAAATTAGATTGTTTGCCTTAAGGGGAGGTGTATCTTGAAAAATGTCACTTTAACTGTATTTCTTTTTTGTTAATAATACTATGAGACACTCTACAACAAACAGAAAAACACAGAACCTATCTTGATCATTTTACTAAAACATCTACCCTTCAAATTGTTCCCATCTCATTTATAATTTATGAAGTATATTAGTAAGAGAAAAAAGTAAAAACATATTCTTTATTTTTCTCCATACTTGGAGACTGCATACTTTCTCTGCATACTTGCAGACTGTGGCTCAATAACAACAGCCTTGATGAGTCACTAAGGAATCCAACAACTGTTAGGATTTGAACTCTACATGAGCTGGTATTTTAATTTCTCAATTAAATCTTCTCATTCTTCACAAGGAATCCTGTGTTACTGTTCATGCTTCTTAAAAACAAGTTATTCTGTATGACTGACTGGTTTACTGCATCTAAGCAGCATTAATTCTCTAGTAATTATCAAACTTCATAAAATTATCTGAATGCTTTTTTTAGAAGTTCAAATTATTTTTGAAAATTTACCATTTTTTTGGCTGGGCGCAGTGGCTCACGCCTATAATCCTAGCACTTTGGGAGGTCGAGGCAGGCAGATTGCCTGAGCTCAGGTGGGCAGACTGCTTGAGCTCAGGAGTCTGCGACTAGCCTGGGCAACATGGCAAAACCCCGTCTCTACTAAACAGAAAAAACTAGGCTAGTCGCGGTGGCTCAGGCCTGTAATCTCAGCACTTTGGGAGGTCGAGGCAGGCAGATCACCTGTGGTTGGGAGTTCGAAACCAGCCTGACCAACATGGAGGAACCCTGTCTCTCCTAATAATACAAAATTAGCCGGGCGTGGTGGCACATGCCTGTAATCCCAGCTACTCAGGGGGCTGAGGCAGGAGAATCACTTGAACCTGGGAGGCAGAGGTTGCAGTGAGCCGAGATCGCGCCATTGCGCTCCAGCCTGGGCAACAAGAGCGAAACTCCATCTCAAAAAAAAAAAAAAGAAAAAAGAAAAACACTATGAGATCCATTTATTTTCAATAAATGATGCTAGGTCAATTGAATAACCATACAGAACAAAATGAATCTGGAACTTTACATCCCAAACTATGCATAAAAATCAACTTTGGATGGATTATAAACTTAAATATGAGTGGTAAAACAATAAAATTACAGAAGAAAACAAAGGAAAATATCTTTGTGATTTCAGGGGTAGGGCAAAGATTTCTTAAACAGGACATTAAAAGAATCATAAAAAATAATAAACTGGATTTCATTACTATTATGAACTTCTCCTCATCAAAAGACACTATTAAGAGTGAACAGACAAGCAACAGAGTAGAAGACATTTACAACAATACATAGACCTGATAAAGAACTCCCATTCAGAATATACAAAGAAATTCTATATATCAGTCAGACATAGACAACCCAATAGAGAAAAATGGCCTCAAATCTCGGCAGGTTATTCACAAAAGAGAACATTCAAATGGCAAATACATGGATGAAAAAAATTCAATTTTATAAGTCATCAAGAAATAAACAGGCATACTTCGGAGATACTATATGTCTGGTTCCAGACAACCTCAATAAAATGATTATCACAATAAAGTGAGTGACACAAATTTTTAGGTTACCCAGTGTAAATGAAAGTTATGTTTACACTATAGTCTATTAAGTGTGCAATAGCATGTCTGAAAAAACAACGTACACACCCTAATTAAATGTACTTTACTACAAAAAAAATGCTAATGATCATTTGAGCCTTCAGCCAGTAGCAATGTTTTTGCTGGTGGAGACTCTTGCCTCAGTGTGGATGGCTGCTGACTCATTCGGGTGGTGATTGCTGAAGGCTGAGGTGGCTATGCCAATATCTTAAAAAAAGACAACAATGAAATTTACTGCATCAATTGACTCTTCCTTTCACAAAAGGTATCTCTGAAGCATGGATACTGTTTGGCAGCATTTTACCCAGAGTAGAACATCTTTCAAAATTGGAGTCAATCCTTTCAAATTCTGCCACTTCTTTATCAACTAAGTTTATGTAATATTCTAAATTCTTTTTTTTTTTTTTTTTTTTGAGATGGAGTTTCACTCTTGTTGCCCAGGCTGGAGTGCAATGGCACGATCTCAGCTCACCGCAACCTCCGCCTCCCAGGTTCAAGCGATTCTCCTGCCTCAGTCTCCCAAGTAGCTAGGATTACAGGCATATGCCACCACGTCCAACTAATTCTGTATTTTTAGTAGAGACAGGGTTTCTCCATGTTGGTCAGGCTGGTCCTGATCTCCCGACCTCAGGTGATCCACCTGCCTCGGCCTCCCAAAGTGCTGGGATTACAGGCCTGAGCCACCGCATCCAGCATATTCTAATTTCCTTGTGAACAGCCTCTTCACCAGGGGTAGATTCCATCTCAAAAAAACACTTTCCCTGCTTATCCGTTAGAAGTAATACCTCATCCATTCAAATTTTATCATGAGATTTTAGCAACTCAATCACATTTTCAGGCTCCAGTTCTAGTTTCCTTGCTATTTCCACGGCTTCTGCAGTTAGTTCCTCCACTGAAGTCTTGAACCCCTCAAAATCATCCATGAGGAATGGAAACTTTTTTCTTTTTTTTGAAACAGGGTCTTGCTCTGTTGCCCAGGCTGGAGTGGAGTGGCACGATCATGGCTCACTGAAGTCTCGACCTCCAGGGCTCAGGCGATCCTCCCACCTAGCCTCCAGAGTAGCTGGGATTACAGGCAAGCACCACCATGCTTGGCTAGTTTTAAAAAAAATAACATATGACAGCGTCTCCTTATGTTGTCCAGGTTGGTCTCAAACTCCCAGCCTCAAGCAGTCCTCCCACCTCGGCCTCCCAAAGTGTCGGGATTACAGGGGTGAGCCACGACCAATCACAAATGTCTTTAATGGCATTTAGAATGGAGAATCCTTTCCAGAAGGCTCTCAGTTGACTTTGCCCAGACCCATCAGAGGAACTATTCTATGGTAGCTGTAGCCTTTCAAAATGTATTTTTAAATAATAAGACTTGAAAGTTGAAATCATTCCTTGATCCATGGGCTGCAGAATGAATGCTGTGTTAGCAGGCATGAAAACATTTATTTCCTTGTACATATCCATCAGAGTTCTTGAGTGATGAAGTCCATTGTTAATAAGCAGTAATATTTTGAAAGGATTCTTTTCTTCTGAGCAGGAGGTCTCAACAGTGCACTTAAAATATTCAACAAACCATGCTATAAATAGATGTGCTGTCACCCAGGCTTTGTTGTTCCATTTATAGAGCACAGGCAGATGTAACAATTCTTAAGGGCCCTTGGGTTTTTGGAATGGTCATTGAATACTGGCTTCAACTTAAAGTCACCAGATGCATTAGTCCCTAACAAGACAGTCTGAATGTCCTTTGAAACTTTAAAACCAAGTATTGCCTTCTCTTCTCTAGTTATGAAAGTCATAGTTGATACCTTTTTCCAATAGAAGGTTGTTTGATCTACACTGAAAATCTCTTGCTTAGTGTAGCCACTTCATCAATTATCTTAGTTAGATCTTCTGGATAAATTACTTGCTGTAGCCTCTCCATTAGCACTTGCTGCTTCATCTTGCACGTTTATGTTATGGAGATGGCTTCTTTCCTTAAACCTCATGAACCAACCTCAGCTACCTTCAAACTTTTCATCTGCAGCTTCCTCACTTCTCTCAGCCTTCATAGAATTGAACAGAGTTAGGCCCTCCTTGCTCTGGATTATACTTTGGCTCAAGGGAATGCTGTGGCTGGTTTCATTTTTATCCAGAACACTCGGACTTTCTCCATATCAGCAATGAGGCTATTTTGCTCTCATATCAATCTTGTGTTCACTGGAGTAGCACTTTTAATTTCCTTCAATAATTATTTCTTTGTATTCACACCTTGGCTGTTTGGTGCAAGAGGCCTTGCTTTTGGTCTATCAGCTTTCGACATGCCTTCCTCATTAAGTTAATCATTTCTAGCTTTTGTGAGAGACATGTGGCTCTTCCATTCACTTGAACACTTAGAGGCCACTGTAGGATTATTAATTAGCCTAATTTCAATATTGTTACCTCTTAGGGAATAGGGAGGCTCCAGGAGAGGAAGAGACGGGAACAGCTGGTTGGTAGAGCAGTCAGAACACACAGGTTTATTGATTAAGTTCATCATCTTATATGGGTGTGGTTCATGCACCCCAAAACAATTACAATGGTAACATCAAAGACCACTGATCACAGATCAAAAACAGACATAGTAATAATGAAAAAGTTTGAAATACTGTGAGAATTACAAAATGTGACCAAGGATACTAAGTGACCATATGCTGTTAGAAAAACGGTACTGAAAGACTTCCAGGATGCAGCAGTATCACAAACCTTAGATTTGTAAAAATCACATTATCTGTGAATTGCAACAAAGCAAAGCACAGTAAAGCAAGGTATGCCTGTATATTAAAACCACAGTGTAAAACTACCACACAGCCACTGGAATGGCTAAAAAAGAAGAGACAGACAATACCAGGTGATAACAGGGATGCAGAACAGCTAGAACTTCTCTACACTGATGGCTGAAGTATAAACTAGCACAAATGCTTCACAGTATCTATTAAAACTGATCATGTGTATACACTCCCTGACTCAGCAATTCCACTCCTAGGTAAACACTCAAACGGAAATGTGTGCATATGTTTACCAAAAGACATGTAAAAGAATGATCATGTTAGTACTACTGTAACAGCAAAACTGGAATCACTTCATATGTCTACCAAGAGCAGAACATATACATAAATTATGGTATATTTGTACAAGGGTAAACTACACAACGAAGGGAGTGAATGAACCACAGCTATACGTAACAACATGGATAAATTTCAAAGACAATGAGCAAAAGAAAGCAGAACCAAAAGTTATCCTGCATGATTTGGTGTATACAAAGTTAAAACTTAGGCTACTTTTATCTTTGGTGTTAAAAGTCATGATAGTGGTTATCCTTGAAAGGGAGGAGAAGAATGACTAGAAAGAGGCACAGTGTGGGGTGGGGGCTCTCTTTTGAGGTACTGGTCAAGTTCTCTTTCTTGATCTATGTGTTCTATAGATGTAGTCACCTGGTGAAAAATCAGCAGCAGTATACATATGATTTGCCCGAATGCATAATGTACTTTAATAAAACATTTATTTGAAAGTGCTATGAGATCCACATATATTTTGCACATTTAAAATTCCCTTTCAAATTCTCTACATATCATTCAAAGGAATGACCACTCCTCTTTTCTCTAGTTTGCCCAAAATTAAAATACTTGAAATAAATTAAATACTTGAAAACAAGACCTAATCCTGAATGGGTTAAGTAAATTATTATTGTGGCATAGGATTATATTTGGAAGAAGAAAATAGTACACTTGACTCATATATCTAGGCCAATAAAAACCTATTTTATATTCCTCTGCAAAGCTACACTTCTAAGCTTTAAATTAAATGTCCCAAAATTTAAAAATGGCTTCTCATATGACAAGGTATCTCATCCCTCACTAGCCTTGTAACTCTCTTTTTAGGTGCTCTCCAATTTGTGAGTGTCTATGTCATCATGCAATACACAGGCATAGTCTTAACAGCCCCAAAGCACAGTGGTCTAATCCAAATACCACAATTTCATGAATGCAGTCTAGGAATTACCATCACACAATTTGTTCATGGAGGTTAACTAAAACTACCAGATCTTTTTCGCATTGTAAGTCAGATTTCCTAAAACCTGAAATTTAAAAAAAATTATTTTTAAAAAAGTTAAACATAGACTTAATATTTTTCTTACTAAATTTAACTTTGTTGGCTTCAGCTCATCACTCAAGCCTACTCAGAATACTTTGATTCTGTCTCCTGTCATCTTGGGTAACTCTCCTGGCTTCATATAATCTACACATACAATTTGTATTTTTTCTATGTCTTAACTCAAATTATTATTTTAAAAATATGTTGATCCCTGCGGTCGGGCTTTCCAGGAAAAAAAGAGAAAAGAAAACTGTTGATCCCAAACTGTCAAAGAAAGACATTTAGAGGGCACTGCCAGCATCTTCCTTAAAGCATTTGCCAAAGGATGTTTCATGTAATAAACCCTAAAATAAGTGAGGGAGGTGCCCTGTAATGAGTTTGGGAATGCTGGGTTACTGCAGAATTCCTATCTTTAAAATTCTAATAAAAGGCCAGGCACGGTGGCTTACACCTGTAATCCCAGGACTTTGGGAGGCCTAGCTGGGTGGATCACCTGAGGTCAGGAGTTCGCAACCAGCCTGGCCAACATGGTGGAACACTGTCTTAGCCAGGCCAGGTGTGGTGGTGTGCACCTGTAATCCCAGCTACTCGGGAGGCTGAGGTAGGAAAATCGCTCGAACCCCGGAGGCAGAGGTTGCAGTGAGCCAAGACTGTGCCACTGTACTGCAGCCTGGGCAACAGAGTGAAACCGTGTCTCCAAAAAATTAAAATAAAATAAAATTCTAATAAAAATGGTCTCTAAGAGGGGTTAAAATATAAAGTGCTTCCCAAACTTACCTGACTTGGAAACCTTTTCTCATCTTGAGAAATCAGTGTTCCTGGAAAGACCCTTTGGGAAATGAAGCTCTAGGGTGGTAACAATACATCAGCCAGCATTCTTTGGGCAAAGGATTGTTTCATTAGCTTGAAACCCACCTTACTGCTTTATCATTTGACCTACCTAAACTTCTCCATATTTTCTAAAAGATTATCAAGATACGATCAAATGAAATAATGATATCTTGCCAGTGTAAGTAACTTCTCACAAAATGCAACAGGATCAGTTAAAGAGGATTTAGTATAGTATTAGTGAAGCAATGGATGCTCAATCTACTGTGGAAATTATATGCCGTTAGAAGCTATGAAAGTGAGAGACACCTTCTTTAAAGTTTTCCATCAAAATGGCTATATTTAAAAAGCTTTGGCGATTAAAAAATAATCTTTGGTCACCTGGAAAATTCAGTTATATGTGACACCTCATTTCCCAGTGATATTTAGTGAAATATCTCTATGTATTAAGAATGAGTTATTAAAAAAATAAGTTATAAAAAATTATCACTGAATACTGCATATTATACAAAGAATCTTAATATAGTTTAAATTTTTTTAAGTTTTCATATATTGCCAAAAGAATTTCACATATGCATCTGAAATCCACTTGAAATATTATATTTAACAAAACATATGGTCTTTGTAAATGAAAACAGACACAAATAAGTATATCAAGTCCATCATTTAGCAACTTAATTTCAGAATAGGGGGTAACAGGATGATAGGCTTTACTTGTAAAAAAAATTTACACGAACAAATCATATTCACAAAGCACATTTAAATTGATGGAGGCAGCATATTCACATAATGTGGCACCAGTACCGCTAATCCTCCACATTGTCTACTAGAGCAGTAGGACTTAAGATGTTGTTGAGATAACTGGCTTCCATTAGCAAGTATGTGATTGGCAGGATGATAAAGTCTTTTCAATCACAGGTCAGCTATTTCCTTTTCCTTAGAAGAGGGCAATCCCGATGATCTATCTTTTAGCTAGTCTCTCATAGAGTCCCAATTCTCTTGCCTTCAGCTTTGATATGGTTCTAACTTTCCTCTTGTATCAGCTCATACTTGTCATCAACTCCTCTATTCAGAACAGCAAATATCAGGAGTTTGACCTCAGGGCAAAGTCCGGGTGGGCAGGTAAAATCTGACCACTGGACCTACTTCCTAATCTTTCATAGCAACTCATGAAGCAGTATCAAATTCAAACTAAAAAAAAACAGAAGCATGACCCCTTATAAGTACTATGAAAAGGGCTCTTTTGCCTTTCTAAGTATGCTTGAAAAGAACTGTCAACCACCCTATTAAGACAGAAATGGATCACAGACTGAAAAAAAAAAAAAAAAGAAGGAAAAGTGAAGAACCCCAACTGAAATGTAAATAAAGGTGTTAGCAACCCCTTTATATTTGGTGGTATACTACTTCATATAAAAGTGTTAAAGCAATATGCTATGAAATAGCTTTATGAAGTAAGGAACATAAAAGCCCTATTGAAACTTTAAAGCATCCTTATTTAAATAATCACTAACATCTGATTAAAAAAAAAACTTTTATCACCTCATGTGAGACTTCACTTTTCAAGACCAGTTTTATTTTTATTTTTTGCCAATTCCCCATACTTGGCATTTCACCACTTAACTATTTGTAAACTAATTTTAAAAACAAATATAAGCAAAAAAACAAATATAGGTGAAAAATATCTATCTTTTTCAATTTATTAAGTCCAAGCTGCTAAAATAATAAAATTCAAGCCATGCCACAGTGATCTAGCAGCTAAGGAATTAGTTGCATATTCTTATTTTGGAATACAGAAGTCCAAGAAGAGTATGATTACATTTTGACAATAATAATCAGAAAAAAGTATTTTAAGCCCCTTTTAAAACTAGAAAAATTAAAATGTAATAAAATAACTCACCCAAAATTTTCTATCCACTGATCCCTTCCACTGCATATTTACTACATTCTCAAAAATTGTTTTATATTTAGTTATTTCTACATAAATCTTGTATTCTAACAATTCTACACACATCATCATAGATTTCACAATTCTACATGTTTCATAATAGATTTTTAAAATTAACTTAGAAGTCTCTTAGATTACATTGATGAGGAAAAGTCAACCAGGACTTAATGCCCTCTAAGTGCACATACTTGAAAAGTAAATTCAACAAAAATGACTTGAGATGTTTATTAATATTTATAAGTATGTCTTAGTAACGATTCCCTAGTGAGCTATATACTTGTAAAGAGGCCTTCTATGCTGTCAAATGATGATTCTCTTTGAAGGAAGGAAGTACGTGGGGTCAGTGTTTTAATCTCCATTAAACCAACCATCTATCTATCCGGAAAAATCAAAGAACAGAATCCTTATGAACAGTTTCATAAACTATGTGGTCCTACTCACAATCCTACAATGAGATTATAAACTAGTTAACATCACATAAACGAATTAC